>NC_000011.10:71661756-71964786 GCF_000001405.40 Homo sapiens
CACAGAGAATTTGCTCTTTTTACCTGATTATATTTGAGCTGGGACATCAATCTTCTCCTGACTTTAGATGTGGACTCGAGTTGGAACTATATCATTGGCTGTCCTGGGTCTCCAGCTTGCTGGCTGCAGACTCCAGGACTCCTTAGCCTTCATAACCATGTGAGCCATCCCTTACAACAAATCAGTCTGTCTCTCTCTATGTGTATAGCTCTACCTCTATCTCTCTGCTCTTTCTCTGGAGAACCTAGAGTAATACACAAGGTTATATTAGAGAAGAGGATGACCCAAGGGAAATCATGGAGGCAGAAAAGTGCAAAGAGCATTTGGGAAGACTGGGGTCCTGATGGGGAGTTTGGATTTCACTGTGTGTATCATGGAGAATTATTGAAAATATTCAAGAGGTGAAAATTGTATTCTTGGAAGAACACCAGGAGTATGTGAAAAGAAAAACACTCACTCCATTTTAACTCCATTGAAGGGGGCATCAAAGGAATGTGCTGGGGACATGGGTTGGAGCATAGTTGAGGCCATATCTGGAGGATCTTTACTTCTAGGCTGAGTCTGAAGTTATCTTTCTGGGGAGTGGGAGATTACAAATCTTTGAGCTCCACTCAAGAGATGGTTTTGCTAACAATGGCAGGGCGACGGTGGTGGTGGTGGTGGTGGGAAACTGGTATCATGAATTCTAATTGGGCTTCTGTTATCCTAGCTGAGAACGTTGGGGAATGGACTTTCAGTAGAATAATAGAGATCTGGGAATCAACTGCATGGAGGAGGTAGTTATAGGTGATGAGATGGCTCAGGGACAAAGTTTGGTAGAAGGAGAAAATTTACTAGGCTGGTACAAAAATAATTGCTATTTTTGCCATTACTTTTAATGGTAAAATCCGCAATTACTTTTGCACCAACCTAATAGGGTGCAAACTTCGGAGCCATCTGCATCAGAGGGATTGATGAAGATCAACAAAGTTTGGGAACACAGGAAAGGAGCGGGGAAGGTAATGACTTGAGGGTATAGCAGGGATAATCAAGGTTTTTCTTGTTAGCATGTAGAGACTTAAGCATGATTCTATGTTAAACGCCTGGCACATACATGGTGCAAAATATTTATGAGTGAAAAGACAAGTGAAGGTGGTGAGTCATGGGAGTTCCAAGGGAACGGGTGATAAAGGGAGGTCTCAAATGAGGCACAAGTGGAGAAGGTAGCTTGGGAAAGGAGAAGGATGCTTCTCCTTATAAGATGGGAAAGGCAGAGGAAGAGGGTCAAGGTACAGTGATCTAGGGGTGAGATGGAAGTGAGTTGAGAGAACTCAACTCTGGGCTCTGAAACCCCTAGGGATGGGTTTGGGAGGCTTTGAGATATGTAAGAGGTTTAAAGTCAGTTGTTCTAGCAAATATGGTTTGGAATTTATTTGTGATGCTTAAAGATATTGCTGAACAGAAGTGAAGTCTATCCTAGAGTTGGATGGTGAGATTATTTAGTGGAACTACCAGATCCATGTTGTGATTCTTTCCAGTATCATTCAGCAGCCCTTGGGCAGTTGCGAGGCAAGTCATCAATGGGGTATGGAGATTTTCCAGGTGGGTGTGGTTGAAGGCAGGGAAGAACGAGTTCAGGAGCACATTACAAGAAGAAGGTGACTGTAAGGTCCAGGCTGAGCAGGAAGGTAAAGCAAGAAGGAAACATGAGGTTGTGAAGAGAAGTTTAGAGGGATGAGGAGGCAGGAGAGGTGAACAGTTGCAGGATGTAGCTAGAGTGGCAATGTTAGATCTTGGGGCCAGAGAGTGTTACAATTATTATGAAGATCAAAGGGCATTAGAATCAAGCTATAAAGAGCCACTGTTTGATGTTGGGATGTGAGGATGCTGCAGGTGGATGTCTGCACATTGATGGTGAGAACATGGTCACCCTGGCCCTGCTGGGTCTTTGCTAAAGAGATTGTGCTCTGTTCTTGGGGCCGTTTTCATCACCTGATTAGAGCAGTGGTCCCCAAATGGTGTTCTTTGGACCATCTGTATAAAATGTTCATAGGTCAAGGATAAAATGGAAAAACAGAGAAAATGTCACAGAAATGTGCCCATTGGTGAAAGACCACCAGCTGTCCTTTTTGGAGGATTGTTCTTTATTCTAAAAATGTATATATTCTATTCTATTAAAACATTTTTGTATTTGCATTTTTTTCTCTTTTATGAAATGCCATGGGGTAGAAATTTGTAATGTATCAAATTCTCCTGTCTTCATGCATTGCCCTGTGGTGGGGGAGGTGATGTGGCTAGTACTGGCCAAGAGGCTGGGGGCAGAGGTGCAGTGTGAGACTTCTAGCCTGGAGCATTTAATTCTTAGTACAAGGCTCCCTAGCATTCTTCTCCCGCTGTTCCCTGCTTGGTGATACTCGAGGTAATGCAGCCCCCATTAGCCTTAGTCTTAGAGCAAGTTTGATGGAAAACAGAGCACCCCACACCTCCCTGCAGATGTAGCATGAGTGAGAAAAACAACTACTGATGTTTGAAGTTACCAAGATTTAGGAGTTGTTTGTTATTGCAGCAAAACCTCACCTATTCTGACCAATCATGGTGGAATTTCTGTGTGTGTGTGTGTGTGTGTGTGTGTGTGTGTGTGTGTGTGTGTGAAACTGGTAGTTTAAAAAAGTTCCTTCTTACCAAAAAGAAAAAAAAGTAGCAACCTTATGTTGGTTCTCAAATTAATAAAATATTTTTACTGGTTTATAAAATAGAAAAATCTGAGAATCTGTAGCTTACAGAACTACAGTGTGGGATGTCTATAAAGACCAGGTTATTTTATCAGCTCCTAACACCCCTTAATAGAAGCTTAGCCAAGACTTGGACTATTTCAGTCTTTCCCATTCCACATTCCATGTACTCTTGAAGAGACATTGATGAAACGGTGCAGCCATGAATCACCCTCACTCAATCCTAGTGGCAGAATCCCCCTTTTACTGCAGAATGAGCTTCTTGCTACAGTGATACTTGAACCCCTTCGATATATCCTGTACTAATTATATTAAAACACGACCAATGCTTTTGCTTTGTTGTCCCCCAAATTAAACACCTTAATCATGAGAACCCAGAGAATTGGATTTAGTGTGACTGATTCCAAACTGTCAGTAAGAACACAATTAGGTTATATTTTTCTCCAGTTCAAATAAAAGAAAAATGACAATAAAATGCTGATCAATATGTGTAGCTCAGGACGTAGAGCCTGCTTTGAGATGCAGAAGTGTTTGTTTTTTTTAGATCTATATTCTTGAGTAAAGAAAAAATCCATCTCTTTTCCTAGAGGAGAAGACTTTCAGAGCTGGGCTTGGCAACAGCCTATCACAGGCTGAATTAAACAAATAGGTAACTCCCTTGAGTGAATGGTGCATTTCTCTTGTTCAGGGAACCATGCTTTTATGGTGGAGTTTGCTTTCTGTCTTGGTCTCCGGATGTGTGTATCTGTGGGTGGATGTCTGCATGTAAATGGCAGTGTATAGCTGTGTGGGTGTGTACAAAATTCCCATGTGAATCTCAGCTTTGTGGGGATCTCCGGGTCTTGAGCCCAGCAGATGCCAGTTGAAGAAAAATCACTTGAAAATGAGACAGAAAGAATGGAAACTAAATCCTAGCTCTAAAGGCACCAGGCTGATTAAAAACAAAACTCTGGATCTTCTTTGTTTTGGACTCTACCTACCTCCAAATGACATTTCTGTTTCCTATGAAATGATTAGAATGACAGAAATCCTGAGCACGAAAGAGCAGATACTGTGTGATTCTGTGTATGTCAGGGTGTCAGCTGTGACGCTGCTGACATTTCGGCTCAGCAATTTCTCTGTTCTATGTGTGGGGGTTCCCTGTGCATTTTAGGATGTTGAGCGGCATCCCTGGATCCCTGGACTCACTGGATGCAGTAACAGAACTCCCCCCAATTTCAGACAACCCCCAGTGTCTCCAGATATTGCCTAATGTCCCCAGGGGGCAAAATAGCCCCATCTGAGAACTGCTGCTTTCATAAAGTACAATGTCAGGTGAAATAGGTGGAGGCTGTTTGTAGTCAGGGGTTAGTAGAGATGGAAGAGACCCCAGGAATATCCTGGAAGGGGCTGTAATGTTCTGTTTCTTGAATTGGGTGTCGGTAATATGGAGATGTTCAGTTTTTTTGGGTTTTTTTTTTGGCAGGATCTTACTCTGTCACCCAGGCTGGAGCACAGTGGCACCGTCATGGCTCACAGCAGCCTCTGCCTCCTGGGCTCAAGCAGCCCTCCCACCTCAGCCCTCCTGAGTAGCTGGAACTACAGGCATGTGCCATCACTGTTGCCTAATTTTTGTATTTATTTATTTTTTGTAGAGAGGGGGGTCTCACTATGTTGCCCAGGCTGGTCTCAAGCTCCTGGGCTCAAGCAATCTGCTCACCTCGGCCTCCCAAAGTGCTGGGATGGCAGGCATGAGCCACTGCGCCTGGCCAGTATGTTCAGTTTGTAAGAAAAGTAGTGTTGACCTCTTCTACGTGCACATTTCTTTAAGTAATAATTCAATAAAGCATTTAGAAAAATTGGTCATAATAGGAGTGATTTGTAGAGTGATTGGCATGAAAGCTGATCACCTTAATTTGAACTACTCTGAAATGAGCACCAGGGGCCACCAAGAGGAACCTTTCAAGGTGTTATGGCCAAGGATAGGAGTGTGTTGTGTACATCTCTGCATAAAGGATTTGCTGGTTATATGGAAGGATGAAGCCTCCTTCTGAGGACACAGGCAGCAAGGCAAGTGGAAGCCCAAAGCATTGAGCTTTCTAAATGGACTTTGCTAAAATCTTGTGGATGACTCATGCTCTTAACATACACCCATGTACATATTGTCCATATAAACATTAATTCTGTAACAAGGCCCACACATAAGCGTATTTTTTTCTTTTGAGACAGTCTTGCTTTATTGCCCAGGCTAGAGTACAGTGCCATAATCGTGACTTACTGCAACCTCCACCTCCTGGGTTCAAGCAATGCTGTGCCTCAGCCCCCGGAATAGCTGGGACTACAGGTGCACACCACCATGCCTGGCTAATTTTTGTATTTTTAGTAGAGGCAAGATTTCACCATGTTGGCCAGGCTGGTCTCAAACTCCTGGCCTCTAGTGATCTGCCCACCTCAGCCTCCTAAAGTGTTGGGATTACAGGTGTGAGCCACTGTGTCTGGGCCCACACATAAGGTTTGAGTTGAGATAGAGAAACTCTGGCAGGACTGAGGAATTTGGCCACAGTCTCTGAGAAATATGCACAATTTCTGGAATCTTCTCTACTTCCAGAGTTCCCACTTTCTATCTGTCTCCTATTTATTCAAAAAACTTGTATGGAACCGCAGTGGGTCTAGAACTTGCCAGGCATGGAGGATAAAAGATGACTGAGGTAGAGCATGGTGGCTCATGCCTGTAATCCCAGCACTTTGGGAGGCCAAGGCAGGTGGATCACTTGAGGTCAGGAGTTTGAGCACAGCCTGGCCAACATGATGAAACGTCTCTACTAAAACTACAAAAATTAGCCAGGCATGGTGGCACGCACATGTAGCCCCAGCTACTTGGGAAGCTGAGGCAGGGGAATCGCTTGAACCCAGGAGGCAGATGTTGCAGTGAGCTGAGATCACCCTGCTGCATTCCAGCCTGGGAGACAGAGCGAGATTCCATGTCAAAAAAAGATGACTGAGATACAGACTCCATCAGAGTTGACTCTAACACAAATTTGGTAAGAGCCCGAGGTCTGGCCGGGCAAGAACCTTGATTGGCTTCATCCTGCAGCCTCTACTAGAATGAACAGCACTTTTTTCTTTACTCATGAAAATGTTTTGTGCTTCGTACCTACAAGTACAATTTGTGTAAATTCTGCAAAATTTGCCGCATAACTCTGCCTGTATTAGCATTTTTCCTTTGAGAGATTTCTCAACACATCATCTTTGGACTATGTGGAATTGGAAATTTACTTAGAGTCAAAAACAAGTACAGGAAAGTCAGTTCTTAGTCAAGAGTTAGGTTTTCAAAGATAGTGGATAAAATAAAAAATCTAGTACAGTCAAGATTATACGTGCAAATCCCCTCATCATTCATAAAGTTTAGCAGTCAGTCTTACCGTGGCTCACCAGGTCCAATCCACACTTCTTCCTCCACGATTGGATCAGAGGGTGATTTTTTTTATGAGCAACTGATGAAGTCATTTAGAGACAATTTGCGGTAGGAGCCCTGTGTATTAGAGACCAATCAATGTGCCCTCATGGCACCATTTCTTCCTCTCTCCCTCTTTGTTCTTGCCAAGTACCCATAGTTCAATTTCCATAGATTAAAAGAGCCCATGTTGGGCCTATACCTAGGAGTACAATTACTGGGTCATTTGATAACTCTATGTAGAATTGTTTGGGAAGTTGTTAAAGTGTTTCTCACAGTGGCTACACCATTTTAATTCCTACCAGCAGTGTATGAAAGTTCTAGTTTCTCTGCATCCTCAACAACACTTGTTATTTTCTGTATTTTTTTTTTTGAGACAAAGTCTTGCTCTGTCGCCCAGGCAGGAGTGCAGTGGCACAATCTCAGCTCACTGCAACCTCTGCCTCCCAGATTCAAGTTACTCTTCTGCCTCAGCCTCCAGAGTAGCTGGTATTATAGTCACCTGCCACGATGCTTGGCTAATTTTTGTATTTTTTTAGTAGAGACAGGGTTTCACCATGTTGGTCAGGCTGGTCTCAAACCCCTGGCCTCAGGTGATCCACCTGCCTCAGTCTCCCAAAGTGCTGGGATTACAGGCATTAGCCACCACACCAGGCCAATTTTCTGTATCTTCGATTCTAGCCATCCTTATGGCTATGAAGTGGTATCACATTGTGGTTTTGATTTCTGTTTCCCTGATGATGAATTTCATTGAGCATCTTTTCATGCGCTTATTGGCCACTTGTTTGTCTTCCTTGGAGATGTGCCATATTTTCATATTCAAAAATGAAAGCACAGGTCCACACAAAAATTTGTACATGAATATGAATAATTACAATAGCATCACTCCTAATAACCCACAGAGGGAATTAAACCAAATGCCCATCACCAGATGAAGAGATACACCGGTTGTTGTCTACCCACATGGTGGAATATTATTTGATCACAAAAGAGAGGAGAGTACATACTCTACAGCCTGGATGAACCTTCAAAACAGATGAAAGATCACATTCTACATGATTTCATTCAGATGGAAATCTATAGAAATAGGAAGTTGATTAGTGGTTGCTTAGGGCTGGTAGGGGCATGGGAGGATAGGGGGTGTTAGCCAAAGGGTATGAGGTTTCTTTTTGAGGTCATGAAATGTTCTAAAATTGACTGGTAATGTTTGCATATATCTCTGAATATATTAAAAACCATTGAAATGTAAAAAATGCAAAGAAAAAACAGCCCAAGTTGCAATTTTATTCAACACTTGATTGGCTTTAAAAATAGATTCCAGGCTGGGCACGATGGCTCACGCCTGAAATCCCAGTGCTTTGGGAGGCTGTGGTGGGAGGATTGCTTGTGGCCAGGAGTTCCAGGCCAGCCTTGGCAACATGGCAAGACCCTGTCTCTACAAAAAAAGAAAAAATAAATATCAGCTGGGTGCAGTGGCTCACACCTGTAATCCCAGCACTTTGGGAGGCTGAGGCGGGCAGATCACCTGATATCAGTTCAAGACCAGCTTGGCCAACATGGTGAAACCCCTTCTCTACCAAAAATATAAAATTTAGCCTTTTGGTACTCTGAGCAGCACCATGGCGGTTGTTAAGAACAAGTGCCTTATGAAAGGTGGCAAAAAGGGAGTTAAGAAGAAAGTAGTTGGTCCATTCTCTAAGAAAGATCAGTATGATGTGAAAGCACCTGTTATGTTCAATATAAGAAATATTGGAAAGACTTGGTCACCAGGACCCAAGGAACCCAAATTGCATCTGATGGTCTCAAGGGTCTTGTGTTTGAAATGAGTCTTACGGATTTGCAGAATGATGAAGTTGCATTTAGAAAATTCAAGCTGATTACTGAAGATGTTCAGGGCAAAAACTGCCTGACTAACTTCTATGGCATGGGTCTTACCTGTGACAAAATATGTTCCAAGGTTGAAAAATGTTCAACAATGATGGAAGCTCATGTTGATGTCAAGACTACCGATGGTTACTTCTTTCTTCTGTTTTGTGTTGGTTTTACTAAAAAACACAACAATCTGATACTGAAGACCTCTTATGCTTAGCACCAACAGTATGCCAAATCCAGAAGATGATGGAAATCATGACCTGAGAGGTGCAGACAAATGACTTGAAAGAAGTGGTTAATAAATTGATTCCAGACAACATTGGAAAAGATGTAGAAAACTCTTGCCAATTTATCCTCTCCTTGATGTCTTCATTAGAAAAGTAAAAATGCGGGAGAACCTTGGGTTTGAAAGGCGTGGAGCTTCGTGGTGACGGTAGTAGTTCTGGAAAACCCACTAGGGACGAGATACATGCTAAAGTTGAATGAGCAGATGGATATGAACCACCAATCCAACAATCTGTTTAAAGTTCAGACTTAAAACATTGGCAAATAAGAAGTCCTATTTGTGAAAAACAAACAAGAAACAACAATGAAAAAAGCAAAATTAGCCTGGTGTGGTGGTGCATGCCTGTAATCCTAGCTACTCAGGAGGCTGAGGCATGAGAATTACTTGAACCCAGGAGACACAGGTTGCAGTGAGCCAAGATTGCACTATTGCACTCCAGCCTGGGCAACAGAGTGAGACTCTCTCCAAAAAGAAAGAGGAAAAAAAAAGTATACGGTCTTGGTGGCATGTGCCTGTAGTCTCAGCTACTCTGAAGGCTGAGGTGGGAGGATAGCTTGAGGCCAGGAGTAATTTGAGGCTGCAGTGAACTATGATTGTGACACTGCACTCCAGACTGGACTGCAGAGCAAGACCCTGCCTCACATACGTACATACATACATACATACATGCATGCATACATACATACACACACACGCACATACATACATACCGAGGCTTTATCTCCGGTGATTCGACTCAGTAGGGTGGGGTATCCCCTAGGGATCCTGCTGTTCAGCCTGGTCTGGGATCCACTTTTCATTGGGAACTGAGACACTGGCTGTGAGCCTTTCTGTCCTGTGATGTAGAGGTCATGGCGATGCAGGTTCAAGCTTAAGGAGACCTGACTGTGTATTAGGTATTGTGCTGAACATCATCTCTTACTCTCACAACAACATCCTTAGAAGGTTAATGATGTGTACCCTCTCTACAGACGAGGAACTGAACTTTCAGAGGAGTTTAGCTTGTTCAAAACTTATTCTTCCTATTGGAAACTTTGTACCCTTTGAGCAGTGTCTCCTATCCCCTAACTTTCCTCCACCCCAGCCCCTGATAACCACTGTCCTACTCTCTATTTCTGTGAGTTCAACTTCTTTAGATTCCACATATAAGTAAAATCATGCAGTATCTGTCTTTCTGTGCCTGGCTTATTTCACTTAACACAATGTCTTTCAAGTTCATCTATGTTGTTGAAAATGACAGGATTTCTTTCTTTTTTAAGAGTTAATAGTATTCCGTTGTGTGTATGTAGTACATTTGCTTTATCCTTTCATCCACTGATGGACACTTAGGTTGATTCTATATCTTGGGTATTGTGAATAGTGCTGCAGTGAACACAGGAATGTAGGGATCCCTTCGACATATTGATTTCGATTTTTTTTTGTCTATACCCAGAAGTTGGGTTGCTGGATTGTATGTTTTGAAATCTATAGCACAGCAGCGTGACTATAGTCAATAATAATGTATCTTTCAAAATAACTAAGAGGCTACATTTCAAATGTCTCATCATAAAAATTGTCAGTAAATTAGTGGATGGACATTTTAATTAGTTTGATCTAATCATCCCACATTGTATACACATATCAAAACATCACATAAAAGTGTACAATTATGATTTGTCAATTAAAATAACGTTAGTTAAAAAAATAAGTAACTTGTTCAAAGCCCCAGTTGGGATTGATGGAGCCAGGACATGCACCAAGGCTTTTGCTCTCAGGCTCACAGAGTCCTTGGGCCACGAATGTTGAAGCCCTACCTGAGATTTCTACTGAGATCAGTGTAGGGATTCAATGTCTCAGAATCATCCCATCCCCCAGGGCCCACAAGTCCATGACCTTTGCCTCTACCCCCGAACCTGCTGACCTGAAATGTGGCCCCTGCTTTCATTTCCGGGAGCATACAACACTTACACCAAGCATTGATGGGTTTTATTGACTTCATTTGAGATGTGGGGCCATGGAGAGGGTCCCATGATCCTTGCTTGGTGTTGGCCAATTCATTGAATTCTCTCTTTGAATTCACCCTTCCCTTTTCTACTCACCTCCTCTGTCATGGATTGCTCTGAGAATTCTGAGCCCTAGTTCCTTTATTTTGCAGATAACCTTCACTCTTCTCTGCAACGAATCCCAAAAGTATGTAGTTGAGGTGACTGCAAGGTGCTTGACACGCAAGAGACTCCACAAATGGGATTCGGCCTCTGGAAAGTGATGGTAGTTCCAGATTTATGTGGATGTTACTTTGTTTTTCCCTATAAAATATATTCTTTAAACTATCAAGCTCTTGGCTCCTGGATGCAGTCCTTTGCTGGTGGCAGTGGGCTGGGTACTGTCACCGGGGAGAAATGCTGCCCACTTAGAGAAAGAGAAACTGGTTCTCTTTAAGAGGCAGAGGGAGGTTTCCAGTGCCACTTTGTTTGGAGGCAAAATGGCTGTTGTATTAAAATTGCCCAAACTTGGGCTGGTGCCTTGTGTGTTTAGAGCTCAAAGCCATGATTGTTTTCTTTTTTTTTTTTTTTTTTTTTTTTTTTTTGGTGGTCGGGTTTTCCATCCTTTTGCTTGGTAGGTTTCTGCTAATAGCTTCGACCTCAAGAGTCCCATTATACAGACACTAATAGCACCTACTATGTGTCAGTCTGTAGTGCCTACTATGTGCCAGGCATTGGAGATAATATAATGATGAACAAGATAAACATGGCACTTGGAAAGAGAGTCTAGTTCCCACTCTCAGCCCACCCCAAAGAGAGGCCAGAATTGGGCTTCCAAAGATCTCAGATGCCCTTGCATCATCTCCATGAAGAGGGTGGGTGAAGCTTTGGTGTCTGAAGAGAATTTGGCTGGACAATCCCCAAGGTTTGGAACGATGGGAAGGAGCTGCCATTTGTGTTTAAGGTGAGAAGGGGGGAGTGGCTGGATATCGGAGGAAGCCAAGATGAAGAGAAGGTTTTTGTGAGTTCCTATGCATAGTGGAGACCTGTTACAGTGAGGGTCCCTGGGGCTGAGCCTGTGGGTCAGTGGAATGATGCTGTGAGGAGGGTCTTGTTATAGCAGATGGCCCAAAAAAGGCTGATGGATCATGAGCAGCTGGAAGAATGTAGAGTTCGGGGGAAGTAGTTCCTACCTGGCTTTCCAACAGTGTGTAAGCCCAGAATTCTTACATAAGCCCATGGAGAAGGGAAAGGAATGCTGGTAACGACAAGATTGAATTCTCCACCTGCCAGGCATCCAGGGACTCAGAGCAGATTTAAGTGAAGTTACAGAAATAGGAATGTGACATTTCCTACAACGGGTGTGCTGGAGCAAAATGTATTCCCTCTCTGGTTTGTGGGGAAGGAGAATGCTAACAGACAAGACTCCAGGTTTTCGCTCTTAAACCTGGTGCCTAGAAATGCATTTTCTACTGGATGCAGACAGAAGCTCCATATAGACATATCCATCGCTGCATCGCTCATGCCTTGTGTTCTCCCTAATTTTCCCTTTTTAAACCACAGAGGAAGAAAATTCCAGCATCACTTCTGGCCTCTCAAGAGTGAGTTAGGTGGCCAGGTGGGGTTATTCATGCCTGTAATCTCATAATGAAGGGGTGGCCTGCCCCTCCACACCTGTGGGTATTTCTAGTCAGGTGGGATGAGAGACAAAAAAGAAATAAGACACAAAGTATAGAGAAACAACAGTGAGCCCAGAGGACCGGCGCTCAGCATACCATGGACCTGCACTGGCACCAGTCTCTGATTTCCCTCAGTTTTTATTGATTATTATCTTCATTATTTCAGCAAAAAGGAATGTAGTAGGAGGGCAGGGTGATAATAAGGAGAAGGTCAGCAACGAAGATGTGAGCAATAGAATCTATGTCATAATGAAGTTCAAGGGAAGGTACTATGACTGGACGTGTGCGTAAGCCAGATTTATGTTTCTCTCCACCCAAACATCTCAGTGGAGTAAAGAATAACAAGGCAGCATTGCTGCAAACATGTCTCACCTCCCACCACAGGGCGGTTTTTCCCCCATCTCAGAATTGAACAAATGTACAATCGGGTTTTATACCGAGACATTCAGTTCCCAGGGGCGGGCAGGAGACAGTGGCCTTCCTCTCTCTCAACTGCAAGAGGCTTTCCGCTTTGACTAGTCCACCTCAGCACAGACCCTTTATGGGTGTCGGGCTGGGGGACTGTCAGGTCTTTCTCATCCCACGAGGCCACTTTTCAGACTATCACATGGGGAGAAACCTTGGACAATACTCAGCTTTCAAGGGCAGGGCTCCCTGCAGCTTTCCATAGTGTATTGTGCCCCTGGTTTATTGAGACTAGAGAATGGCGATGACTTTTACCAAGTATATTGCTGGCAAACTTTTTGTTAACAAGGCACGTCCTGCACAGCCCTACATCCCTTAAACCTTGATTTCATACAACACATGTTTTTTGAGCTCCAGGTTGGGTCAAAGTGGTTGGGGAAAAGTGGCTGGGGCAAAGCTACAGATTAAAAACATCTCAGCAAAGCAATTGTTTAAAGTACAGTTCTTTTTCAAAATGGAGTCTCTTATGTCTTCCCTTTCTATGTAGACACAGTAACAGTCTGATCTCTCTTTCTTTCCCCTACATATCCCCCTTTTCGTTTTGACAAAACCACCACCGTCATCATGGCCCCTTCTCCCTGGTCGCTGTCTCTCTGGAGCTGCTGGATACACCTGTAGACTAACAATAGAAAAGTCAGACATACAAGAATTAATACAAAATTTGCAATAGTGGAATTTCCGGTGGTTTTAACCCAACTGACAGGGGGCAACAGGACGGTGTGGGTGCTGCGGCACCCAGGCAGTCTCCCACCTCCTTTGTGTCTTAGTTGCTGTTTCTCATAGTTTTCAGTCTTTCTCCTCACCTGCTGACTCGCACCTTTTATCTCTTTGTCTCCCTTCTCTTATGGTCTCTCTCTCTCTCTCTCTCTCTCTCTTTTACACTATCTCCCCAATCTCACTTTCTGTGTCTGTCTCTGATCTCCGTCTCTTTTTCTTTCTATTCTTCTCCCTGGCTCTCCACATGTGCTGTTTTCTTGGTGGATGGTAACTTTATCTGTTCTTCTGATATCACCATTTTGTTCATCCTGCGGGTGGATGATGCTCGATTGTGGGTTTTCTGTCTCTGCGGAGGCACTTTCATTTGCATCTCTGATGGGTTCATTGTAGAACTTCAAATGTCTAGTGGGTATCCAAACAGGAAGCTGATTTTCTCCTGGTGAAACACGAGCAAAACCTCTCCCCCATGTTATCACCTTACCTATTTCCCATGTTTTGTTTTTGTTGTCTTTCCACCAAATCAGTTTTCCCTCATGTGGGCTTTTCTTTTTACCAGTAAAATGTTCTGCAGAAGTAGTGGTCTGATTTCTATGTATGTTTAGAAAATTTAAAGTATAGAGTGTTAGATTAAGTTGCACCTGGGGAGTGTTATACTCCTTACTGTCTTTTTCCTTTTTTTGTTTAACCAATTGAGCTTTGAGTGTTCTAAGCAGGACAGGTAAGATCTGGGTCTGGCACAGCCAGCCAGGTCTCCTTACCCTCTGCTTCCCTTTCTGCCTGTGACTGAATGGGTATGTCAGGGTCTAGTAGGGGTTCCAGGAGGAAGAAGCCTCATTAACTTCTATTCTGCAGCAATTGATGGCCACCCAACTTGAACAGTGGGGCTTATCACCTCATGTACTAAGACCGGAGATAGCTGATGCCAAGGGTGTCTAAATTAGTAGCTTGAGATGTTAGGTTTTTCACTTGAGGTTTCTATGCTGCTATTGTCTTCTGCTCTTGGTCACAGAGGCTGCCACAATCCGCATGTCAAGTCCTCATGTGACAATATCCAGAGACAGCAAGGAAGAGGTACAGTGTATTCCTGCATGTTTCTTAAAAAAAGTTTTTGATAGAGAATAATTGTACACATTTGTGGGGTCCATGTGAGATTCTGGTACATGCATGCAATGTGTAATGATCAAATCAGGGTCTTTAGGATATTAATCACCTCAAACATTGATCATTTCTTTGTGTTGGGAATATTTCAAATCTTATTGCTATTTAGAAATATACAATAAATCCATTTATCAGGATACAAAATCTATGTACACAAATCAGTAGCAGTGCTATCCACCAACATCTACCAGGCTGAGAATCAAATCAAACCCTTTTATAATAGCTGTAAACATAAAATACTTAGGAATATACCTAACCAAGGAGGTGAAAGACCCCTACAAGGAAAACTACAAAACACTGTTGAAAGAAATCATAGATGACACAAAGAAATGGAAACACATTCCATGCTCATGGATGGGTAGACTCAATATTGTGAAAACGACCATACTGCCAAAAGCAGTCTACAAATTCAATGCAATTCCTATCAATATACCATCATCATTCTTTATAGAACTGGAAAAAAAAATGCCAAAATTCAATTGGATCTAAAAAAGAGTCTGCACAGCCAAAGCAAAACTAAGCAAAAAGAACCAATCTAGAGGCATCACATTACCCAACTTCAAACTATATTACAAGGCTATAGTCACCAAAACAGCATGGTGCTGGTATAAAAATAGGCACATGACCAATGGGACAGAGTAGAGAAGCTAAAAATAAAGCCAAATACTTAGCACCCAACTGATCTTCAGCAAAGTAAACAAAAACAAAGTAGAGAAAGTACACCCTATACAACAAATAGTGCTGGGATAATTGGCAAGCCACATGTAAAAGAATAAAACTGGATCCTCATCTCTCACCTTATACAGAAATCAATATAAGATGGATCAAAGACTTAAATCTAAGGTCTGAAACCATAAACATTCTAGAAGATAACATTGGAAAATGCTTCTACACATTTGCCTAGGCAAACAGTTCATGACCAAGAACCCAAAAGCAAATGCAATAGAAACAAAGATAAATAGATGGGACTTAATTAAACTAAAAGCCTCCTGCACAGCATAGGAAATAATCAGCAGAGTAAGCAGATCACCCACAGAGTGGGAGAAAATTTTCACAAACTGCATCTGACAAAGGACTAATGTCCAGAATCTACAGGGAACTCTAATCAGCAAGAATAATCCCATCAAAAAGCATGCCAAGGACATGAATAGACAATTCTCAAAAGAAGATATACAAATGGCCAACAAACATATGAAAAAATGCTCAACATCACTAATTACCAGGGAAATGCAAATCAAAATCACAATGCAATACCACGTGTAAAATAAACAAAAATAGGGCGGGGTGCGGTGGCTCACGCCTGTAGTCCCAGCACTTTGGGAGGCCGAGGTGGGCGGATCAGGAGGTCAGGAGTTTGAGACCAGCCTGACCAACATGGTGAAACCGAGTCTCTACTGAAAATACAAAAATTAGCCAGGCATGGTGGCAGTTGCCTGTAATCCCAGCTACTCAGGAGACTGAGGCAGAAGAATTGCTTGAACCCGGGAGGCAGAGGTTGCAGTGAGCTGATATCACACCACTGTACTCCAGCCTGGGTGACAGAGCGAGACTCCATCTCAAAAAAAAAACAAAAACAAAAACAAAAAAAGCAAAAATTGATGTTGGCACAGACGTGGTGAAAGAACGCTTTTACACTGATGGTGGGAATGTAAGCTAGTACCACCACTATGGAAAGCAGTATGGAGATTCCTTAAAGAACTAAAAGTAGATCTACCATTTGATCCAGCAATCCCACTGCTAGGTATCTACCCAGAGGAAAATAAGTCATTATATGAAAAAGATACTTTTGCACACATGTTTACAGCAGCAAAATTCACAGTTGCAAAACTATAGAATCAGCCCAAATGCCCATCAATCAATTAGTGGATAAAGAAAATGTGTATATATACGTATATATATATATACATGTATATATACGTATATATATGTATATATATATATACGTATATATACATGTATATATATACGTATATATATGTGTATATATATACGTATATATATATGTATATATATATACCATAGAATACTACTTAGCCTTAAAAAGGAATGAAATAATGGCATTCATAGCAAACTAGATGGAGTTGGAGATCATTATTCTAAATGAAGTAACTCAGGAATGGAAAACCAAACATTGCATGTTCTCACTCGTAAGTGAGAGCTAAGCTATGATGATGCGAAGGCACAAGAATGAAACAGTGGACTTTGGGGACTCAGGGGGAAGGTGGGAGGGGGTGAGAGATAAAAGACTATACACTGGGTAAACTGCTTTGGTGATGGGTACGCCAAAATTTCAGAGATCACCACTAAGGAACTTATCCATGTAACAAAATACCACCTGTTCCCTAAAAACTATTGAAATTAAAAAAATATATATATACAACAAATTATTGTAGTCACTTTCTGTGATAATGAACACTAGATCTTATTCCTTCTATTATATATTTTTATACCCATTAATCAACTTCTTTTCAAACCCCTCCTATTCCCAGCCTCTGGTAACTATCATTCTACTCTTTATCTCCATGCTATCAATTTTATATAGCTCCAGGGCACACAAGTCCATAACTGCGGTCTCTATCCCTGACCCTACTGACCTGAAACATGGCCCCCGCTTTGATTTCCAGGAGCATAAACCGCTCATATAAGTGAGAACATGCAATAGTTTTCTTTCTGTGCATGGCCTAGTTCACCTAACTTTATGACCTTTAATTCCATCCATTTAGCTGAAAATGACAGGATTTCATTCTTCTTTATGGCTGAATACTATTCTATTGTGCGTATATTCTCATTTTCTTTATCCATTCATCCATTGATTGACGCTTAGATTGATTTCATATCTTGGCTATTGTAAACAGTGCTGCAGTAAATATGGGGGTACAGATATCCCATTGATACACTGATATCCTTTTTTTTGGATATATACCCAGGAGTGGGATTGCTGGATCATATGGTAGATCTGTTCTCAGTTTTTTGAGAAATCTCTGTACTTTTTTTCATAATGGCTGTACTAATTTACATTTCCACCAACAATATACGATAATTTTCTTCTCTTCACATGCTTGCCAGCATTTGTTGTGCTTTGTCTTTTTAATAATAGCCATTCTATCAAGTGTGAGATGATATCTCACTGTGGTTTTGATTTGCATTTCCGTGATGATTAGTGATGTTGAATATTTTTTCATAAACTTGGTGATTTGTATATCCTCTTTTGAGAAATGTCTGTTTATATTTTGATAGTTTCTTTTGCTGTGCAGAAGCTCTTTCATTTAATTAGATCCCATTTGTCAATTTTTGCTTTTGTGGCAAATGCGTTTGGCATCTTCACCATGAACTCTTAGCCCATCACTATGTACCGGATGGTATTGCCTAGGTTGTCTTCCAGGGTTTTTATAGTTATGGGTTTTACATTTAAGTATGTAGGCCATCTTGAGTTAATTTTTGTATATGGTGTAAGGGAGGGGTGTTGTCTTTTCACTCTGTTGATTGTTTTCTTTGATATGCAGAAGGTATTTAATATAATCCCATTTGTCTGTTTTTGTTGCTTGTACTTTTTAAGTGTTAGCCATACAATCTTTGTTCCCAAGCGTTTCTCCTGTGTTTACTTCTAGTAGTTTTATAGTTGTGGCTGTTACATTTAAGTCTTTAATTGATTTTGAGTTTATTTTTGTAAGTGATGAGAGATAAGGGTCTAGTTTTATTCTTCTGTGTTTGGATATCTAGTTTTCCTGGCACCATTTAATGAAGAGGGTGTCCTTTATTCAAAGTATGTTCTTGACAGCTTTCTTGAAAATCAGTTAGCTGTAAATATGTGGATTCATTTCTGGATTCTTTAGTCTGTTTCCTTTGTTTTTGTGTCTGTTTTAATACCAATACACTCTGTTTTGGTTACTATAGCTTTGCAGTATGTGTGTGTGTGTGTGTGTGTGTGTGTGTGTGTATATATATATATATATATATTTTTTTTTTTTTTTTTTTTTTTTTTTGAGACAGTCTTGCGTTGTCACTCAGGCTGGAGTGCAGTGATGCAATCTCGGCTCATTGCAAGCTCCGCCTCCCGGGTTCACGCCATTCTCCTGCCTCAGCCTCGGCTAATTTTTTTGTTTTTTTTTAATAGAGACGGGGTTTCACCATGTTAGCCAGGATGGTCTCAATCTCCTGATCTCATGATCCACCCGCGTTGGCCTCCCCAAGTGCTGGGATTACAGGCGTGAGCCACCACGCCCAGCTGCTTTGCAGTATACTTTTAAATCAGGTAGTGTGAGGCTTCTAGCTTTGTTCTTTTTGCTCAGTATTGCTTTGGCTATTTGGGGTCTTCTGTGGTTCCATATGAATTTCAGGGTTTTTTTTTTTCCTGTTTCTGTGAAGAATATAATTGATAGGGATTATACTGAATCTCTAGATTGCTTCGGGTAGTATGGTCATTTTAACAGTATTAGTAATTCCAACCCACGAGCATGAGATGCTTTTCCATTTTGTTTGTGTCTTCTCAATTTATTTTATCAGTGTCTTGTGGTTTTCATTGTAGAGGTTTTTTTGTTTGTTTGTTTGTTTGTTTGTTTGTTTGTTTGTTTTCCGCATCCTTGGTTAAGTTTATTCCTAGGTATTTTATTTTTGTAGCTATTGTAAATAGAATTTCTTCCTTGGTTTCTTTTTTAGTTAGTTTGTTACTGGTATATAGAAACATTACTGATTTTTGTATATTGATTTTGTGTCCTGAAGCTTTACTGAATTATACATCTGTTTTTTTAAAAAAATTTTATTTTTTATTTTTTGAGATACAGTCTCGCTCTGTTGCCCAGGCTGGAGTGCAGTGATGTAATCTTGGCTCACTGCAACCTCCGCCTCTGGGTTTCAAGCGATTCTCCTGCTTCAGCCTCCCAAGTAGCTGGGATTACAGGCACCTACCACCATGCCTGGTTAATTGTATTTTTAATAGAGACAGGATATCACCATGTTGGCCAGGCTGGTCTCAAACTCCCAACCTCAGGTGATCCACCCACCTTGGCCTCCCAAAGTGCTGGGATAACAGGCATGAGCTACCATGCCCAGCCTAATTTATCCATTTAAAGAGTTTTTTGGTGGAGTCTTTAGGTTTTTCTGTTTAAAAGTATAAGATTATGTCATCTGCAAAGTGAGACAATTTGACTTCCTCTTGTCTAGTTTGGATGCCTTTTATTTCTTTATCTTGTCTGATCACTCTGGCTTGGATGTCCCATACTGTGTTGAATAAGAGTGGTGAAAGTGGGCATCCTTGTCTTGTTCCAGTTCTCAGAGGAATAGCTTTTCAATTTTTCCCAGTGAGTAGGTTGTTAGCTGTAGATTAGTCATATATGCCTTTTCTTATGTTGAAGTGTTCCTTCTATGCCTAATTTGTTGAGAGTTTTCATCATGAAGGAATGGTAAGTTTTACCGAGTGATTTTTCTGCATCTGCTGAGATGATCAGATAGTTTTTGCCTTTCATCTTGTTGATGTGATGTATCACATGCATTGATTTTGTGTATGTTGAGCCATCTTTGCATTCCTGGTATAAATCCCACTTGATCATGGTATATTATCTTTTTCATTCATCATTAGATTTGGCTTGGTAGTATTATGCTGAGAATTTTTCCATCTGTGTTCATTAGGAATATTGGCCTGTAGTTTTCTCTTTCTGTTGTGTCCTTGTCTTGATTGGATATCAGGGTAATGCTGGCCTTATACAATGAGTTAGGAAGAATTCCCTCCTCTTCAATTTTTGGGAATAGTTTGAGAAGAATTGGTGTTTGTTTTTCTTTATAAACTGGGTAGAAATCAGCATAAAACCCTAGTCTAGGGCTTTTCTCTTTGGGGAGACATTTTGTTACTGATTCAAACCTGCTATTCATTTTGAGTCAGTTCAGGTTTTCTGTTTCTTCCTAGTTCAATCTTGGTAGGCTGTGTATGTCTGGGAATTTATCCCTTTCCTCTAAGTTTTCCAATTTGTTAGGATATGGTTGTTCATAGTAGCCTCTAATCATCCTTTTTATTTCTTTGGTAACAGTTGTAATGTCTCCTTTTTCATTTCTGCTTGTATTTATTTGGGTCTCCTTTCTTTCTTTCTTTTTTTTTTTTTTTTGGTTAGCCTCACTAGTGGTTTATCAATTTTGTTTAACTTTTCAAAAAAACAACTTTTGTCTTGTTGATTCTTTGCATTTCTTTTTTGTCTCTGTTGCATTTGGTTCTGCTGTTATTTTTTTTTTCTTTCTACTAATTGTGTGTTTGGTTTGTTCTTGCTTTTTGAGTTCCTTGAGGTGCATCATTAGATTGTTTATTTGAGATCTTTCTACTTTTTTGGTGTAGGCATTTATTGCTATAAACCTTCCTCCTAGTACTGCTTTTGCTGTATCCCATAGGTTTTGCATGATGTGTTTCCATTTTCTGTTTAAAAATTTTTTTTGATTTCCATCTTAATTTCTTCATTGACCCAATGATCATTCAATAGCACATTTAATGTCCATGTATTTGTACAGTTTCCAAATTTCTTCTTGTTATTGATTTCAAGTTTTATTCCATTGTGGTCTGAGAAGATACTTGATATGATTTTAACGTTTAAAATTTTGTTGAGCCTTGTTTTGTGTCCTAACATATGGTCTATCCTGGAGAATGTTCCATGTGTTGATGAGATGATTGTGTATTCTGCTGCTGCTGGATGAAATATTCTGAAAATATCTGTTAGGTCCATTTGGTCTAAAGTGCAGCTTAAATCTAATGTTTCTTTGTTGATTTTATGTCTAGATGAACTATCCAATGCTGAAAGTAGGATATTGAAGTTCTCAACTATCATTGTATTGGACTCTATCTCTCCCTGTAGATTTAATAATATTTGCTATGTGTGTCTGGATGCACTTGTGTTGGTTGCATGCATATTTAGAATTGTTATATTTTGTTGCTGAGTTTATCCCTTTATTACCATATAATGACCTTCTTTGTCCTTTTTACAGTTTTTGACTTAAAGTCTGTTTTATCCGATGCAAGTTTAGCTACTCCTGATTACTTTGGATTTCTGTTTGTGTGGCATATCTTTTTCAATCCCTTCACTTTCAGTCTGTGTGTGTCTTTACAAGTGAAGTGAGTTTCTTGTAGACGTTGTTGAGTCATTTTTTATCCATTAAGCCTGTCTCTATCTTTTAGGTAGGTAATTTAACACATATTCAAAGTTATTATTGATAGGTGAGAACTTATTCCTGTCATTTTGTTCATTGTTTTCTGGTTATTTTGTATATCCTTTTGATTTGGTTTGGCTGTGTCCCCACTCAGATCTCATCTTGAATTTCCATGTGTTGTGGGAGGGACCCAGTGGGAAGTAGTTAAATCATGGGGGCAGGTATTTTCCATGCTATTCTTTTGATAGTGAGTAAGTCTCATGAGATCTGATGGTTTTAAAAGGAGGAGTTTCCCTGCTCAAGCTCTCTCTTTGCCTGCTGCCATCCCTGTAAGATGTGACTTGTCTCTCCTTGACTTCTGCAATGATTTTGAAGCCTCCCCAGCAAAGTAGAACTGTAAGTCCATTAAACCTCTTTCTTTTGTAAATTTCCCAGTCTTGTATGTGTCTTTATCAGCCGTGTGAGAATGGACTAATATAGTAAATTGGTACCAGAAGTGAGGTGTTCCTAAAAGATACCTGTATATGTGTAAGTGATTTTGGAACTGGGAAACAGGCAGAGGTTGGAGGGCTCAGAAAGAGACAGGAAAATGTGGGAAAATTTGGAAGAGATTTCCTAGAGACTTGCCCAAAATGCTGATGGTTATATGAACAATAAAGTCTAGGCTGAGATGGTCTCAGATGGAAATGAGGAACTTGCCAGGAACTGGCACAAAAGTGACTCCTGTTATGTTTTAGCAAAGAGACTGGTGGCATTTTGCCCCTGCTGTAGAGATTTGTGGAATTTTGAACTTGAGGGAGATGATTTATGTTATCTAGTAGAAGAAATTTCTAAGCAGCAAAGCATTCAAGAGATGACTTGGGTGCTGTTAAAGGCCCTCAGTTTTATAAGGGAAGCAGAGCATAAAAGTTTGGAAGATTTGCAGCCTGACAATGCAATAGAAAAGAAAATCCCATTTTCTCAAGAAAAATTTGATCTGGCTGCAGAAGTTTGTTTAAGTAACGAGGAGTCAAATGTGAATCTCCAAGACAATGGGGAAAATGTCTCCAGGGCATGTCACAGAGCTTCATGGCAGCCCCTCCCATCAAAGGCCCAGAGGCCTAGGAAGAAAAGATGGTTTTGTGGACTGGACCCAGGGCCCCCCTACTGTGAGCAGCCTCGGGTGCCTGAGTCTTAGCCACTCCAGCTGCAGCTAAAAGGAGCCAAGGTACAACGTGGGCTGTGGCTTCAGAGGGTGCAAGCCCCAAACCTTGGCAGCTTCCACATAGTGTTGAGCCTATGGGTGCATAGAAGTCAAAAATTGAGGGTTGGGAACTGCTGCCTAGACTTCAGAATATGTATGGAAATGCCTAGTTGCAGGCAGGAGTTTGCTGCAGGGGCAGGGCACTCATGGAGAACGTCTACTAGGGCATTGCAGAAGGGAAATGTGGGGTCGGAGTGCCCACATAGAGTCCCTACTGCAGCATCACCTAGTGGAGCTGTGAGAAGAGGGCCACCATCCTCCAGACCCCAGAATGGTGGATTCACTGACAGATTGCACTGTGTGTCTGGAAAAGCTGCAGACACTCAATGCCAACCCATGAAAGGAACCAGGAGGGGGTTTATACCCTACAAAGCCACAGGAATGGAGCTGTGGCCTTTTTTCTCCCAAGGTCATGGGAGCCCACCTCTTACATCAGCATGACCTGCATGTGAGACATGGAGTCAAAGGAGATCATTTTGGAGCTTTGAGATTTGACTGCCCCACTGGATTTTGGGCTTGCATGGGGCCTGTAACCCCTTTGTTTTGGCAATTTATCCCATTTGGAATGACTGTGTTTACCCAATGCCTATACCCCCCATTGTATCTAGGAAGTAACTAACTTGTTTTTGATTTTACATGCTCATAGGCAGAAGGGATTTGCCTTGTCTCACATGAGACTTTGGACTGTGGACTTTTGAGTTAATGCTGAACTTAGTTAAGACTTTGGGGGACTGTTGGGAAGGCATAATTTGTTTTGAAATGAGATTTGGCAAGGGCCAGGGGCAGAATGATATGCTTTGGTTGTGTACCCACCCAAATCTCATCTTGAATTCCCACATGTTGTGGGAGGGTCCTGGTGGGAAGTAATTGAGTCATGGGTGTAGGTCTTTCCCATGTTGTTCTTGTGAAAGTGAATACGTCTCACAAGGTCTGATGGTTTTAAAAAGGGTAGTTTCCCTGCAGAAGCTCTCTCTTTGCCTGCTGCCATCCAGGTGAGACATGACTTGCTTTTTCTTGCCTTCCAATGTGATTGTGAGGCTTCCTCAGCTACGTGGAAATGTAAGTCCATTAAACCTCTTTCTTTTGTAAATTGCCCAGTCTCAGTCAGGTATGTCTTTATCAGCAGTGTGAAAACAGACTAATACACCTTTGTTCCTTTTTTCTCTCATTATTTATTGTTGCAGTTTGGTGGTTTTCTTTAATGGTGACGTTTGAATCCTTTCTCCTTTGTGTGTCTGTGCTACCATGAGTTTTATACTTTCATGTATTTTCATGATGATAGATATTGTTCTTTTTCTTCCCAGTGTAGGACTCCCTTAAGCATTTTTTGTAGGACCACAACAAACAAGACACAAACAGTCTTTTGTTTATCTGGGAAATATTTTTTCTCTTTTTTAAGCAATGGAGTCTCACTCTGTCACCCAGGCTGGAGTACAGTGGCAGGATCATAGCTTACTGCAGCCTTGAACTCCTGGGCTCAAATGATCCTCCTGCCTCAGCCTTCTGAGTCTCTGGAATTGCAGATGTGAGCCACTGTGCCAGTCTTCTTCATTTGTGAAGGATAGCTTTGCTGGGTATAGCATTTTTGCCTTATTTTTTTTTTTTTTTTTACCTTGTAGTATACATCCCCTTTTCTCCTAGCCTGAAAGGTTTCTCCTGAGAAATCCCCTGTTAGCCTGATGGAGATTCTCTTATAAGTGACTTGCTGCTTTTCTCTTGCTGTTTTTAGCATTTTCTCTTTGTCTTTTGACAATTTTACCATAATGTGCCTTGGTGAAGACCTTTTTGAGTTGTATGTATTTGGTAATCTTTGAGCTTCCTGTATTTGGAAGCTTTCAGGAAGTTTTCAGTTATTATTTCATTAAATAGGTTTTCTATGCATTTACCCATCTCATCTCCATCCAGAACTCCCAGAATTTCAGTTTTTGGTCACATATGTGTCCCATATGTCATGTAGCCTTGCTTCATTCTTTTTTCTTTCTTTTTGTCTGACTGGATTATTTTAAAAGACTAGTCTTCAGGTTCAGAAATTCTTTGTTTTGCTTGATCTAGTCTATTGTTAAAGCTGTCAATTATCTTTTATATTTCTTTCAATGATTTCATCTCTTCCAGGATTTGTGTTTGGTTCTTTGTTATGCTGTCTATCCCTGTTGAATTTCTCATTCAGATCATGAATTATTTTCCTGATTTTTTTGTATTCATTATCTGTGCTCTCTTATATCTCCCTGAGTTTCTTTAATATCATTATTGTGAATTTTTTTCAGGCATTTCATAGATTTTCTTTTCATTGGAATCTGTTGCTGGAGAATTATTGTGCTTCTTTGGAGATGTTATGTATCCTTTTTCATATTTCTTGCATCCTTATGTGACTATCTGTGCCCCTGACATAGCAGTCATTTCTTCCAATTTTCTGGGTTGGCTTTTATATGGGAAAGACCTTTTCTTATAGCTGTATCTACAGTGTTCATTGGATATCACACTTTGGCTTTGATTCTCGGGGGGTACAGTGGTATAGTCTACATACGATTTCTTCAGCTGTAATTGGCATGAGTGGTGTCTGTGAGTTATTCAGTGGCTTAGACTGCAGTTTTTTTTGTTTGTGTGTTTGTGGTTGAGATGGAGTCTAGCTCTGTCACAAGGCTGGAGTGCAGTGACACAATCTGAGCTCACTGCAACCTCTGCCTCTCAGGTTCAAGCGATTCTCCTGCCTCAGCCTCCTGAGTAGCTGGGACTACACACACGTGCCACCACGCCCAGCTAATTTTTGTATTTTTAGTAGAGACGGGGTTTCACCATGTTGGCCAGGCTGGTCTCGAACTCCTGACCTCGTGATCTACCTGCCTCAGCCTCACAAAGTGCTGGGATTACAGGTGTGAGCCACCACACCCAGCCAGACTGCAGTTGTTATTGGAGGCTGTGGTGAGGCTTTGCTGAGGATGGGGATGCCTGGAAGTCTTGTCCTTCAGCATCAGTGGTAGTGGTGGTAGACCAGGTGTGTCAATACTAGGGACCATGGGCAGTGTATGTGGGCACTGATGATAGCCTGTCTGCATGGGCCAATCCCTGGGCCTCCAGGTGGCTTCTTTGGTTGCTGGCAGTGGCAGCACTGGGCCAGGTGGGCAGGTGCGCCACTGGGCTCCTGGGTGGTGTGTGTGGCAGGCTGATCTCTAGTTCTCCAGGTGACGTGTGCAGGTTCTGGTGGTGGGTAGGCAGGTGTTTCCTCAGGCCTCTCAGTAGTAAGTGTGAGCGCTAGCTCTGGAGGCAGTGTGAGTCAATCTCCAGGCCCCCAGATGGTACATTCAGGCACCAGCATATTCCTATGCATTTCTAGATAAAAGTATTTTTCAGAAAACCTGAGCATATGTCCTATTAATACAACTTACTCTCATCAGCTCTGCATGAGAAGAAGGGGGATTTCCCTCAGTAGAACAGTCAGAATGGAATCACAGACTTGTTTTGAGCCAGTCACTGGTAAGTGGGGGTAGGCTAAAATGATAAGCTCAGAATCTAAACCTTAGACTAGGGAATGGCAAACTTTTTCCATAAAGAAGCAAAAGGTAATATTTTAGGCTTTTGGTCTAGATAACCTCTGTTGCAGTGACACAGTGGTGCCATCGTAGTCTAAAGCATATGTAGACAAGGCATAAATGAATGGACCTGGTTTTATTCCAGTAAAACTTAATTTATACAAACAGTCAGAGGGCCAGAATTGGCCCTTGGTCTATAGTTTGCCAACCCTGTTTAGACCAGTCACAATTTATTCCCTGGGGCTGGGCCAAGTTTTTCTAAAAAAAAAAAAGTAAGCAACCCGCTGTCAGAATAAAATAGGGTTTCTATTTAAAAAGAAGAAGAGGCTGGGTGTGATGGCTCATGCCTATAATCCTAGCAATTTGGGAGGGTGAGGCAGGAGGACTGCTTGAAGCCAGGAGTTTGAAACCAACTTGGACAATATAGTGAGACCCTGTCTCTGCAAAGAATAAAAAAATTAGCCAGGCATGGTGGCACATGTCTGTAGTCTTAGCTATGTAGGAGGTTGAAGGGGAAGATCAGGGGATCCCAGGATTTTGAGGTTACAGTGAGCTCTGACTCCACTTGTACTCTAGCCTAGGCAAAGAGTAAGACTCCTTTTCAAAAAAAAAAAATGGTAATGGTTGGTTGGGGTGGGTTGGAGAAGAAAGTGTTTCTGAATTTCTGGGTAGGTAACTGGTAGTGTCAGGCCAAACTAGCTCTACAGTCTTATTCATTATAAATAAAGGCAACTAGAAGATCTCCATCTAGCTATTAAAAATTGGTTAAAATCTACAGAGATAAAGGATGGTGACCCTTGTATCTGTTAGTTATTGTCACAAAATGCTGCATAATAAGTCACTCCAAATCTCAGTGGCTTAATACAACAGTCATTTATTTTCATGGATCTATGGGTCAGCTGAGGATTGGTTAATCTAGCATGAGCATGTCTGGGAAGCTCTACTTTGCTCTTGGTGTCTCTTATCTTCTGCTGGAAGCAGCAGGCTGGCCTGGGCTTGTTCTCATGGTGATAGCAGGAGTGAGTGAGCACAAATGAATGCACACTTTCCAAGTTTTTGGTCATGCAGATTAATATTCCAGTGGCCAAAGCTAGACACATGACTAAACCCAACATTAGGGGCTGGAGAAATATACTCTGATTCTTCAGTGGGAGGAACTGCAGAGACAAATGGCAGAGTCTTGGATACAGGGAGGACATGGATCCATTAATGTACCTTAATCAACAACAGCCCTCTAACCACCAATACAATTAAATAAGTATTTGTTGAATGCACTTGTGCCTGAATGCTTCTGGCTGCAGCCCAGGCAATGGGGGCCTGACTGGGGAGGGACCATAGCAGGGACTCGATGTCCTGCAGGTCTGTATGTAATTGCGTACGGCCGACTCCACATTGGTCATGGCTGATTTGCTTTGTCCTGCGTCCCCAAGGGGCAACGATTGGCTGATTTTATTTCTGAACAATTTTGACAAAGTTGTTTTCAGGAGCGCAGGAAGCAAATAAATTGTAGATTTGAATTTTGCAGGGGGTCAGAATTGTTGAATATATATACAGTCTTTTACATGCTGATAATTATTTCCATACCACAAGGAAGGCTAGCTATTAGGAGGCTGCTGTTCAATTCCTTTGCCCTGTGAGCTCATGACCTGTGTCTATGTGGGGGGCACTCACTTGTTAGAGATATTTCCCTTCAGAATAACATTAGCCAATATTCTAAATAAATGCAGGAAATTAAATAGTCTTCCCCAGACAGGTACTTTGCCCTTCTAAAGTAAATTACACATTGTAAAATAAAAAACAGTCACATTAAAAAACCAAAAGGTCTTTGTATTAGGTTGGTGTGGCATCAGCAAAGATATTTTCCTCCAGAGTAGAAGATCTTTTTAATGCACGATATTGCGTGTGGCAGCCCCACATCTCGTTTCCTTTTTTTTGTTGTTGTTTTTAACTAAAAGAGTTGACAATTTTATTTTCACATTTCCCAATAGAAATGAAAACTGCATCTTTTTTGGTCCCACTTCTCCCCTCCAAAACTATTCTCTTTGATAAGGCAAGGGGCAAGTCTTCCTTATGCTGTTAAGAAAACCTGGCATCACAGCAGCATGATCTCCTGGTGAAGGGAACAGGTAAATATAAAACTCATATAGGTCGGGCACAGTGGCTCACACCTGTAATCCCAGCACTTTGGGAGGCTGAGGCGAGCGGGTCATGAGGTCAGGAGATTGAGACCATCCTGGCCAACATGGTGAAACCCTGTCTCTACTAAAATAAAAAAAATTAGTCGGGCATGGTGCGCACGCCTGTAGTCCCAGCTACTCAGGAGGCTGAGGCAGGGGAATCGCTTGAACCCGGGAGGTGGAGGTTTCAGTGAGCTGAGATCGTGCCACTGCCCTCCAGCCTGGGCGACAGAGGAAGACTGTGTCTCAAAAACAAAACAAAATATTACAAACAAAGAAAACACAACAATAATAACAACAAAACAACACTGATGTAATGAGGCCTCCCCTCTATCCTTATCTGTCTGGTAGAGTCATTCTGGGCTGACTGGGCACCATCATGAGATGGGCAGGAGGTCTCATCATTGGGCACCCAGGCATCATGGGCATGTGGCCTCCCATGGGCGGCCTCATTCCAGGAGTAGGTCCCACTGGCATCATCCCAGGAGGAGGAGGGCCCATCATTGGCATCATGGGAGGGCCCCCCATATGGGGTGTTGCCATCATTCTGAGATGTGCGAGAAGTGTCATATACACATTAGATTGTGAAGACTTAATATAAAAAGAAAGCAAAGTATTTTGTTAATGTTAAAATATTTTATACTTGCAGACCTGGTATTTCGGATAGATTTGTTTAAATCTGTGATATTATTCCAATTACCTTCACTTCTTTTGTTTTACTTTTTAAAATGTGGTTACTACAAAATGCAAAAGTAAATATGTGGCTTCCATCATATTTCATCACATTTAGTGTGGACCCTGAGGATCTAGGGGAGTTATGAGCCTTAAGTTGAGGGTGACCCAGGTCAACGTGAATTGCTCTGAAAGAGAAGCAAAGGGCATAAAGAGAACGTATAAATGGAGAGAGGAGCTCAGTCTCACAGGGTGAGGAAAGGCTTTCTTTCTTACACAGTCTGGCACTTCTTCAAAAGCTTAAACACAGAGTTCTGTGACCCACCACTTCCACTCCAGTTTATGAAAGAAATGAAAATATATGTCCGTGCAGAAAATTGTACACAAATGCTCATAGCAGCATTATTCATAATAGCGCCAAAGTGAAAACAACACAAATGCTTGTCTACTGATGAGTGGAGAAATAGAACATGGTTTGACCACACAATGGAATATTATTCAGTCATCAAAAGGAATGAAGTACTAACACGTGCTACAACATGGATGAACCATGAGAATATTATGCTAAGTGGAAGAAACCAGTCACAAAAGGTCACATATTATAAGATTTCATTTATATGAAATGTCCAGAACACGCAAATCTATGAAGACAGAAACCCTGTCTCTACTAAAAATACAAAATTAGATGTGCATGGTGGCATATCCCTGTAATCCCAGCTACTCGGGAGGCAGGAGAATTGCTTTAACCCGGGAGGCGGAGGTTGCAGTGAGCCGAGATTGTGCCACTGCACTCCAGCCTGTGACAGAGACTCTATCTCAAAAAAAGTAGATTGTCAGGGCTTAGTGGGAGGAGGAAATGGCAGGTACCTGCTCATGGATACAGGGTTTCTTTTGGGGTGATGAAAATGTTTTAAAATTGATCATGATGGTGGCTGCCAAGCTCTGTGAATGCACTGAAACCATAGATTTGTTTACTTTAAATGGGCAAATGATATGGTACCTGAATTATATTTTAATAGTTATATTAAAAAAGTAAAATCTTCCTTGAAGAGATGACACTTAAGGAGAGGCCTAGGGGTGGGATGAGTTCACTATGTGGAGAAATGAGGAACAGCATTTCAGGGTGAGGAACAGTATAGTGAAGTCCCTGAGGTTGATAGGCATAGAGCAGATTTAAGGGACAGTTTTTTTTTTGAGATGGACTTTCACTCTTGACGCCCAGGCTTGGGTGGAGTGGTGCGATCCTGGCTCACTGCAACCTCTGCTTCCCGAGTTCAAGCGATTTTCCTGCCTCAGTCTCCCGAGTAGCTAGGATTACAGGTGCCGTCCACCACACGTGGCTAATTTTGGGATATTTAGTAGAGATGGGGTTCCACCATGTTGACCAGGCTGGTCTCGAACTCCTGATCTCAGGTGACCCACCCGCCTCAGCTTCCCAAAGTGCTGGGATAACAGGCGTGGGCCACTGCACTCAGTCAGATTTAAGGGACTTTCAAGAAGTTTCTGTGGCTGAAGCCTGCAGGGAAAGCAAGAGAATCAGGAAATGAGGCTGGAGAAAGAGAGGGGCTAGGTCATGGAGGGTCTCACATTAGAGTGTGGAAACTTCACACGAGTGGTCCCACCTTGGGCATCCCACGTAACTACTCTCTGTCCCAGCTTCCCTACTGGTGAAATAAAGGGCTGATGTAGGGATGGACTGAGATAGTGTGTGCTCAGGAAAGGTGACCTTTTATCATTGTGTTTTGTTTTTTTTTTTTTTTTTCCGAGATGGAATCTCATTCTGTCTCCCAGGCCGGAGTGCAGTGGCGCGATCTCAGCTCACTGCAAGCTCCACCTCCCAGGTTCACGCCATTCTCCTGCCTCAGCCTCCAGAGTAGCTGGGACTACAGGCGCCTGCCACCACGCCCGGCTAATTTTTTTGTATTTTAGGTAGAGACGGGGTTTCACGGTGTTAGGGAGAATGGTCTGGATCTCCTAACGTCGTGATCCGACCGCCTCGGCCTCCCAAAGTGCTGGGATTACAGGCGTGAGCCCCTGCGCCCGGCCGAGCTTTTATCATTGTTAACCCACACAGCAGAGGGAGCCATTGAAATTTGAGTGATCTGTTTGGATGCACCTTCTGAAGTGATTGCTTTGGTCCCTGTGAGGAGTGCAGATTGTCACAGGGCCAGGGAAAAGCAGAGGCCAGTCTGGAGGCATTTGCAGTCAAACGGCTGGAGGTGATGGTGGCTTGGTTTATGGTGGTGTCAGGAGAGTGGCTGAGCAGTGAAGGATCTGAGAAAGATTTAGGAGGTAAAACCCACGTGACTTAGTCACTGAATGTGAGTTGTGTGGGCTGGAGGGAAGGTAAAAAAGAATGAGAAGAAAAACATACGCAGGTGGGCCCTCCAGCCTAGGGTTACTTGAGGTCCCTTTGTGAAGAGGAATGTTTGTGTTGATGATGAAGATGTCTAGACTTTGAAAGGCCATTTGCAGGGCTTTTTTTTTTTTTTTTAACAGCCAACAAATCCTCCTTCCCTGTGCCCTAAATATATGAATGTTTTTTGACCTAATTTATCACAGAGAGATAGACATTCATTTGCTTTAATGAGAAATGCGGAATGCCACTAAGAAAGCATATTAAATTAATCTGGATTGCTGTGAGGGAGTTAAATCTGTTTAGATGTGCACCAGTGTTACTATAATAGCTTGGTCTCAACCCATTTCTGGCCTGCGGCTGCAGGATGTTGACTCCCAGCTTGCTTTCATTTGAAAGATCCCAGCAACAAGCACATTTGGCATTTCCAGCCAAACCCACTTTGTGCAGCGAAGGAAAAGTTGAGGAGTGCCTCTGTTGTTTTCCCCCAAATCATTAGGCAGAAATGTGGCTGGGAGCTTCATTGTTGATTTTTTCAGTTTTAATATTGCTGTGGAAAGCCTGTACCAACACTCAGCCATGTTATTCATCTACAGCTCCAGTCTGGGCTGTGATTTGTTTTTCCTTTGAGTGACACAACCTTATTTTCCATTAAGACTCAATGCAAATAGACACTCATGCACCATCACCATCACTCCCCCTGATTGGAGAAGGGAAGTCAATGCAGTGATTCTAGTTTGGTGTTCATATCGGAGGGTTTTATTTATTTATTTTGAGACGGAATCTCTCTCTGTCACTAGGCTGGAGTGCAGTGGTGCGCTCTCGGCTCACTGCAACCTCTGACTCCCTGGTTCAAGCGATTCTCCTGCCTCAGCCTCCCGAGTAGCTGGGCTTACAGGCATGTGCCACCACGCCCGGCTAACTTTTTGTATTTTTAGTGCAGACGGGGTTTCACCGTGTTAGCCAGGATGGTCTTGATCTCCTGACCTCGTGATCCGTCCGCCTCGGCCTCCCAAAGTGCTAAGATTATAGGCGTGAGCCACTGCGCCTGGCCTGGGGTTGTTTTTAAAAGCACATTTCTCTCAAATTAACTCCGGGGTGTCCCACTGTGACTAGGGCAAAGGTTTGGATTTTCTGGAGGTGGAAAGTCAAACTTCAAATAGAATTTGGAGGCTGCCACTGTGGTTCATGCCTGTAATACCAGTGCTTTGGGAGGCTGAGGTGGGTGGATCATTTGAGGCCAGAAGTTCGAGACCAACCTGGGCAACATGATGAGGCCTCGTTTCCACTAAAAATACAAAAATTAGCTAGGTGTGGTGGTACATGCCTGTAATCCCAGCTACTTAGGAGGCTGAGGCAGGAGTTATTGCTTGAACCTGGGAGGCAGAGATGTCCTGTGTCCAAATCCCATGAGGGGTATCAGCTGACTGAAGATAAAATCGGTCACGCTGTGTTGAGATTGGGGTTGCTGTTATCATCCCTCATCCCCACCCCTGCTAGGCATCCACAAACAGTCATCTTCAATGAGACGTCCCTCCTGCCCCTGGCTGCCTTATTTCATCTGCACCCAACCATACCCATTGCTTGTCAGTGGGTCTCAACCTTGGCTGCACCTTGGAATCTCCTGGGGAGATGAGACAATACCAAGGCTCTCTCTCACTTAGCATGATGTTTCCAAGGTCCATCCACATGCAGTAGGCACCAATACTTTCATTGTATGGATACAGCACATTTTGTTTATTCATTCATCAACCAAATGGCCATCTTGATTGTTGCTACCTTTTGGTTATTATATATATTACATGATTCCATTTATGTGAAAGGTCCAGAATAGGCAAATCTGTAGAGGCAGAAAGCAGGTAAGTGGTTGCCAGGAACTGGGGGAAAGGGGAGGGGATGGAGAGTGCTTGATTGGATACAGGGTTATTTTTTGGGGGGGCGGGGGGTGTTAATGAAAATGTTTTGGAACTAGACAGAGATGATGATTGCTTAACATTGTGAATGTATTTAATGATACTGAAGTGTATGGTTTCATACAGGGACTTGTGTGTTGTGTGAATTTTGCCTCATTAAAAAAATACTGCTAGGAGCAATGGCTCATGCTTGTAATCCCAGCACTTTGGGAGGCCAAGGCGGGCAGATCACCTGAGGCTGGGAGTTGGTGACCTGCCTGGCCAACATGGTGAAACCCTATCTCTATTAAAAATACATAAATTATCCCTTCACATCTTTGGGGGGTAATTTTTACAATGCAGTCTAACAACCAGCTGCCTCAAAATGAACTGGGATCCCTCGTAACCAGGTAGCTCCCCTATCTCCAACTCTCACCTGCCAAGTCAGAATCTTGTGGGTGGGGCTGAGGACTGTACATATTGAAACAGGCAGTAACCTGGGAACTATTTCTGAACACCCCTATGTTTCCCCTGTGTTTGCTCTTTCCTTTCACATTTGGACCCCTTTTTGTGCTGACCACTGGGCTGTTTCACATAGACATAACATAAATAAGACAGGCCTGGTGCAGTGGCTCATGCCTGTAATCCTAGCACTTTGGGATGCCGAGGTAAGCGAATCACTTGAGGCCAGGAGTTCAAGATCTGTCTGGCCAACATGACAAAACCCCATCTCTACCAAAAATATGAAATTAGCTGGGTGTGGTGATGTACACCTTTGATCCCAGCTACTCAGAGGGCTGAGGCTGGAGAATCCCTTGAGCCCAGGAGGCAGAAACTGCAGTGAGCCGAGATCGCACTGTTGCACTCCAGCTTGGGTGACAGTGAGACTCTTAAAAAAAAAAAAAAAAAAAAAAAAAGACAAAGATAGTCCTTCCTTTATGGAGCTCTCAGTAAAACAAGAAAGCTCAAGATGTCCTGGCATTTGTCAGAAATACATTTGGTATATGTAGCTGGGGTCACATGCTTGACATGCCTATTGAAAGCTTCTGGGTAGGAAGAGAACAATCATCACAGCATCACAGCCTGGCATAACTGTCTCCAGGGACAGGTCTCCCTGGGGAGACTGAGACCACAACTCTGAAATCAGAGCTCAAATCCAGGTTCTACATTTCGCTCAGTAATGTACATGATGTAGGACAGTTTTTATATTAGTTATCTATTGCTGTGCAACAATGTTACTGCAAACTTTGTGGCTTGAGACAGCAGACAGTTATCACTGCATGGTTTCTGTGGGTCAGGAATCCAGGCGTGACTCAGCTGGGTTCAGTGCAAGGCTGCAGCCATAGTGTCAGCCAGGGCTCAGTTCTCATCTGGAGGCTTGACTGGTGATTGATCTGCTTCCAAGCTCATCTGGTTGTTGGCAGCATTCAGTTCCTTGCAGGCTGCTGGACTCAGGGCCCCAGTTTCTTGCTGCCTTCAGCTTCTTGCCACATGGGCCTCTCCATCTGGCCGCTCATGACATGGCACCTCACATCTTCAAAGCCAGCAAGACAGACAGCCTCCTAGCAAGACAACTTAACATCCTATCTAACATAATCACTACATCCCATCACCTCTGCCATATTCTCTTGGTTATAAGAAAGTCATAGGTCCCTTTGTCAGATGAGTAGATTGCAAAAATTTTCTCCCATTCTGTAGGTTGCCTGTTCACTCTGATGGTAGTTTCTTTTGCTGTGCAGAAGCTCTTTAGTTTAATTAGTTCCCATTTGTCAATTTTGGCTTTTGTTGCCATTGCTTTTGGTGTTTTAGACATGAAGTCCTTGCCCATGCCTATGTCCTGAATGGTAATCCTGAGGTTTTCTTCTAGGGTTTTTATGGTTTTAGGTCTAAAATTTAAGTCTTTAATCCATCTTGAATTAATTTTTATATAAGATGTAAGGAAGGGATCCAGTTTCAGCTTTCTCCATATGACTAGCCAGTTTTCCCAGCACCATTTATTAAATAGGGAATCTTTTCCCCATTTCTTGTTTTTGTCAGGTTTGTCAAAGATCAGATAGTTGTAGATGTGTGGCATTATTTCTGAGGGCTGTGTTCTGTTCCATTAGTCTGTATCTCTGTTTTTGTACCAGTACCATGCTGTTTTGGTTACTATAGCCTTGTAGTATAGTTTGAAGTCAGGTAGTGTGATGCCTCTAGCTTTGTCCTTTTGGCTTAGGATTGACTTGGCAATGTGGGCTCTTTTTTGGTTCCATATGAACTTTAAAGTAGTTTTTTCCAATTCTGTGAAGAAAGTCATTGGTAACTTGATGGGGATGGTATTGAATCTATAAATTACCTTGGGCAGTATGACCATTTTCATGATATTGATTCCTCCTAGCCATGAGCATGGAATGTTCTTCCATTTGTTTGTATCCTCTTTTATTTCTTTGAGCAGTGGTTTGTAGTCCTCCTTGAAGAGGTCCTTCATGTCCCTTGTAAGTTAGATTCCTCGGTATTTTATTCTCTTTGAAGCAATTGTGAATGGGAGTTCACTCATAATTTGGCTGTTTGTCTGTTATTGGTGTACAAGAATGCTTGTGATTTTTGCACATTGATTTTGTATCCTGAAACTTTGCTGAATTTTGGTATTTTTAGTAGAGATGGGGTTTGCTGAATGCAGCCCCCAGTCACGTACTCCCTGCTTGGTCAATAGATCAAGACCCTCTCATGTGGACCCCCTTAGAGTTGTGAGCCCTTAAAAGGGACAGGAATTGCTCACTTGGGGAGCTGGGTTGTTAGAGACATGCACCACCATGCCCAGCTAATTTTTTTTATTTTTAGTAGAGACGGGGTTTCACCATGTTGGTTGGCCAGGATAGTCTCGATCTCTTGACCTCGTGATCCACCCACCTCGGCCTCCCAAAGTGCTGGGATTACAGGTGTGAGCCACTGCACCCAGCCCAGAGAAGGCTTTTCATACTTGCTTCACAGCCTCCTGCATCCTACCCCAGCACCAGGCACTCACCACCTGTGGGCTGTGCTCATCTGTGATCATCTCTCCCCAGGTCTGCTGTTCCTCGAGAAAGGAAGTTGTAATGGGCAGAGTTCTAGGACAGCCCCCAAGAGACCCACTCCCTTATATCTGCTCCCTGTATCATCTCCTCTTGAGTGTGTGCAGAGCTTGTGATTTGACCAAGAGGAAGGAATTTTGCAAATGTGACTATGGTCACACTTGCTTTGTTAAGCACATTTGCTCAGCTGACTTTGAGTTCATCCAAAGCAGAATGATCTTAGGTGGGCCAGACCTAATCAGGTGAATCCTTTAAAGGTGAAGTTTCAGAGACTGAACTCTTAGCCTCCAAGGAGACACAAATGGCCATGCTGTGAGCTGTCTTTGGAGGTGGCAGCTCTAGGAGTTGAGGGCCTTCATTCAACAATTGTAAGTAATTGAATTCAGTTTACAGACTGAATAAGCTTGGAAGAAGACACTGAGCATCCCATGAGACCCCAGCTCCAACTGACACTCTGGTTGCCGTATTGTGATCCTGAATAGAAGACCCAGTTAAACCCTGCCCAGACCCTTGGCTCATGAAAACAGATAATAACTGGGTGGTGTTTTAAGCTGCTCATTTTGCACTGGTAAATCCACCAACAGGAAAGTAATATAGAAGTTAAATGGGCCGGACGTGGTGGCTCATGCCTGTAATCCCAACACTTTGGGAGGCTAAGGTGGGTGGATCACAAGGTCAAGAGATGGAGACCATCCTGGCCAACATGGTGAAACCCCGTCTCTACTAAAAATATAAAAATTAGCCAGGCGTGGTGGCATGCACCTGAAGTCCCAGCTACTCAGGAGTCTGAGGCAGGAGAATCACTTGAACCCAGGAGGTGGAGGTTGCAGTGACCCGGGACCATGCCACTGCATTCCCATCTGGGCAACAGAGAAAGACTCCATCTCAAAAAAAAAAAAAAAAAAAAAAAAAAAAAATTAAACGAATACTTTTGACCGTTGATGGAAGTTACTTTCATTCCCTCTTACTTAATCATCTTTATCTTAGCCCTGAAAGAGGGATGCTTTAACCCCATTTGTAACAAGTGAGTCTGAGGCCCAGGAAAGTGATATAATTTAGCAAAGTCCACCTTGCCCCCTGGTGGCTCCAGCTAGAACTCAGCCCCAGGTCCATATACCTAAGTCATTACAACATCCACTGAAATTTTGCCCCTCTCTCCATGCCTTCCTCTTTAGAAGCCTGTTCCTTCAGGGATAGATCCCAACCCAGTGTTACAAGGTACTGAACTCTGATTTTCACAAAATATAGTAACTACTCCCCAAAATTAATAATAGTATTTTTGAGCCAGGCACGGTGGTTCATGCCTGTAATCCCAATACTTTGGGAGGCTGAGGTGGGCGGATCATGAGGTCAAGAGATCGAGAGCATCCTGGACAACATGGTGAAACCCCGTCTCTACTAAAAATACAAAAATTAGCTGGGAGTGGTGGCAGGCATCTGTAATCCCAGCTACTCGGGAGGCTGAGGCAGGAGAATCGCTTGAACCCAGGAGGCAGAGTTTCCAGTGAGCTGAGATTGCACCACTGCACTCCAGCCTGGCAACAGAGCAAGACTCTGTTTCCAAAAAAAAAAAAAAAAAACTATTTTTGAGTCCTTATGTGTCAACCACTGGGCTATCCCAACACCAATAGATATTATGATTATGATTAGTTTTTCCAGTTTATTGATGAGGAAACCAACACAAACCAACACATAGAAACGTAAAGGAACTTGCCAGAGGTGACGGTCACACAGCCAAAGAACTGTAGAAGCAGCACAGGCATCCCAGCAAACTCACAGCCAAGCTCTGCTTTTCACCTTCACATCATACTGTCCTGAGACTAAAACCCTAACTCTGACCTTCCCAATCAAAAATCATACTCAAGGATGGGCGTGGCAGCTCACGCCTGTCATCTCAGCACTTTGGGAGGCCGAGGCAGGTGGGTCACCTGAGGTCAGGAGTTCCAGACCAGCCAGGCCAACATGGTGAAACCCCATCTCTATTAAAAATACAAAACTTAGCCAGGCGCAGTGGTGGGTGTCTGTAGTCACAGCACTTTGGGAGGCTGAGGCATGAAAATCACTTGAACCCAGGAGGCATAAGTTGCAGTGATCCATGATCATACCACTGCACTCCAGCCTGGGCAAGAGAGTGAGACTCTGTCTCAAAAAAAAAAAAAAAATTGTGCTTAATAATAACTTGGAAGTGCACATATCTTCTGTGAAGTTTGATGGACAATTAGCTTCAAAACACAAATAAGTAACTGTGTTTAAATGAGGCCTTCTGTGTAATAGCTAGGGAAAATCAATGTAGCTATTCATATTTTGATTCCCCTTCCAGGCACAGAGAAGTTGACCATGTCTCTGTGATCTGCTTTGTCCAATGAACCATGAGCAAGAGCAACTTGAGTCACCTCCAGGTGGAAGTGTTAAGAGGCTGTGTGATCCACCACATTCCCTTTCCCCTGAAGTGGTGATCAAGGACACATGCAGAGATGGGGCTTTTGTCAGCCTGGATCCCTGAGTGAACACAATGAACAGACCACCCCAAAATGCCCTAACACAGCCCAGACATCCAACGTGACCAAGAATAAGCCTCACTGTGGCCAGGCATGGTGGCTCATGCCTGTCATCCCAGCACTTTGGGAGGCCAAGGCGGGTGGATCATTTGAGGTCAGGAGTTCAAGATCAGCCTGGCTAACATGGTGATATCCTGTCTCTACTAAAGTACAAAAATTAGTGAGACAGTAGTGGCACAGGCCTGTAATCCCAGCTACTCAGGAGGCAGGAGAATCGCTTGAGTCTGGGAGGCAGAGGTTGCAGTGAGCTGAGGTTGCACCATTGCACTCTAGTCTGGGTGACAGAGTGAGACCCTGTCTCAAAAAACAAACAAACAAACAAACAAATACCTCACTGCATGAATCCACTGAGATTTGGGGATTGTTGTTACTGCACCAGAACCCAAATCATCCTGACTGCTAGACTGTCCTAACTAGGGTTTCTTACCAAAAGCAAAGGCATTTTTAAAGTTCATGACATTTAAACAAAAAAGCAAATACCAATATCTGCCACTTTGTCAGGCTAACAAACCCAAACAAAGCCAACAGCCAGAAGTTAAAAGAAAAAGATCATTAGGTTGAAAACAGAACTGTCAAAACAGGCACAATTGACTTCACTTAGTGATTGCAAAGAACGTCAGGCAACACACAGGTGTGGTCATCATATAATTTATCACATGCTTAATTGCACATGTTTGACTAAGAAAAACACAAAGTATTTAAACTCTTCTGTAGTTCAAAGTGCCTATCCATGTATTTATCCATTCATCCTGATCTATTTATTGAGCAACTCTTTTGTGCCAGGGACTGTGCTGGGTGGTGGTAATGCAATGATGAAGATGGCAGACACAGCTCTGCCCTCCAGGAGTTTCTAGGGTATGGAGGGAGACAAAAAATAAGTAAATCCATGAAAGAACTATTGACAGAACCTGCCCCCAATATTTCAACATAGGTTCTTTCTATTTTCTGTAAGTGTCAGCCAGCTGAGAAATAAAGAGAGACACTACAAAGAGAGGAATTTTACAGCTGGGCCCCTGGGGGTGACACTACATATCAGTAAGTCCGTGATGCCTGCTGAGTCTCAGACCAGCAAGTTTTTATTAAGGGTTTCAAAAGGGGAGGGGCTGTAAGAACAGGGAGTAGGTACAAAGATCACATGCTTCAAAGGGCAAAAAGCAGAACTACTAATAAGGGTCTAAGAAAGATCACATGCTTCTGAGGGAACAGGACAAAGGGCAAAAGCAGAACTACTGATAAAGGTCCAGCAAAGATCACAAAGCAAAGGGCAAAAGCAGAACCACTGATAAGGGTCTATGTTCAGTGGTGCATGTATTGTCTTAATAAACATCTTAAACAACAGAAAACAGGGTTTGAGAGCAGAGAACCAGTCTGACCACAAATTTACCAGGGCAGAGTTTTTCCCCACCCTAGTAAGCCTTTGGGTACTGCAGGAGACCAGGGCGTATCTCAGTCCTTATCTCAACTGCATAAGACAGACATTCCTAGAGCGGCCATTTATAGACCCCCCCCCAGGAATGCATTCCTTTCCCAGGGTATTAATATTAATATTCCTTGCTAGGAAAAGAATTTAGCAATATCTGTCCTACTTGCACATCCATTTATAGACTCCATGCAAGAAGAAACATATGGCTCTTTTTGCCCAACCCTGCAGGAAGTCAGACCTTATGGTTGTCTTCCCTTGTTCCCTAAAAATTGCTGTTATTCTCTTCTTTTTCAAGGTGCACTGATTTCATATTGTTGAAACACACATGTTTTACAATGAATTTGTACAGTTAACACAATTATCACAGTGGTCCTGAGGTGATGTACATCCTCGGCTTATGAATATAACAGGATTAAGAGATTAAAATAAAGACAGGCATAAGAAAGTATAAAAGTATTATTTGGGAACTGATAAATATCCACGAAATCTTCAGTTTATGTTCCTCTGCCGTGGCTTCAGCCAGTCCCTCCATTTGGGGTCCCTGAGTTCCCGCAACAAGAAATAACGAGGTTAAGGTGGAGAAGAGCAGGGAAGTCCACTTTATAAAGGGGTCAGGAAAGAGCTGTCTGGAAGCACCATTTTAGCTGAGACCTAAAGGATGGTCTAATTTGGGGAGGTGCAGAGGAAAATCATTCCAGGCTGAAGCAGCAAGTGCAAAGGCCCTGTTGTGGAGAAAGGTTTGAAAGTCGAAGAAAACAAAAGGAGGCCAGAGTGGCTGAAATAGAGTAGGCCAAGGGGACGAGATAGGAGAGAGCTGGAGAGGTGGCAGGAACAGGCAGAAGACTCGGGGTCTCGATTTTATTCTATGTGCCATGGGCAGGAAAGGCAGGGATGAGACTCAATGGATACCTGAAGATCACTGAAGCTGCTAGGTAGGAAATGGATTGCTGAGCATGGAGAGCAGGTGCAGAGGACCAGTTAAGACCAGTTAGGAGGCTGCTGCTGTAGCCCAGCTGGGATAGCGGTGTCCTAGGCAAAGATAATGACAGTGAAGATAGAGAGAGTGGACAAGTTGGATAAAGTTTAGAATCACAGGACTTCTGACTGGAGAAGAGGGCAAAAGCAGAGTTAACACAACACATGAGTTATGACCACCTTGAGCAGCTCAGCAGGAGGTGGTGCCATTTACAGAACAGAGATGGCATGGACAGAGCCCATGGAGAAGGAGGAGGAAAAAGAGTTTTGCTTTTGGTTTTTTTTAAGACAGGGACTCTGGCTCTGTCACCCAGGCTGCAGTGCATTGGTGCAATCATAGCTCTTTGCAGCCTCAAACTCCTGGGCTCAAGTGATCCTCCTGCCTCAGCCTGCCATGTAACAGGACTACAGATCCTACAGATGCACTTCACCATGCCTAGCTTTTTTTTTTTTTTTTTTTTTTTTTTGGAGATAGGGAGTCTCACTGTGTTTTCCAGGCTGGCTTCAAACTCCTGACCTCAAGTAATCCTCCCACCTCAGCCTCCCATAGCACTGGGATTACAGCCATCACCTACCTCTCCAAGCCATGAGTTTGGCTTTGGATTTAACAAGGTTGAGGTGTTCATGAGTTGACAAGTGGAAAAAACAAGAAAGAAGTTGAGTGTTTAAGACTGCTGTTTGAAGGAGAAGTCTAGCCTCAAGACAAAAGTTGAGGACTCATCATCTGAGAAATGGCACTGAAAATTATGCAAATGGATGAGCTCAGCTAGCAAACAAGTCCAGAGAGAGCAGAAAGTCCACAGAGAGCAGCACTGGGCTATGCACCTGGCCTAATGCTGCCCCGCTCCTCCCAATCCCTGTGTTATGCTGGAGACGGTTTCAGCCTCTGGTGAGTTTCACCAAACCGCCACATCTCTTTCTTCTGAGACCTTCTCTAAAATCTCCTCTTTTATACTTAGTGATATGGGATTCTCTTTTTCCCATCCAGCTTAAGCAAAAACTTTTGACTATGAGAAGAATGAGGATGCATTTACTATCTGTTCTGCATGGCTAATTCCATCAAAGATTTCTCATTATTCATGCCTGGCAGTCTCATTTTCTTCTTTCGCCTCTCAGAGCACAGTCGTAGTCTTAATTACTGACCTTTTCACTCTTCTAATACCAGCGATTTCCCCCATCTCAGTTCTCAGGAATTTCTGTTCGCAGAATTATCTCCTGAATCCTCACCTGGAGATAGAAATTGATCTCTGTGGCCATTTCTTCCCCCTCTAATTCTCATCAAAAAACTCAGTGATCTCTGTGCATCAAATATTAAACTCAAGCTTAACAGATCATGCTTCTGGCTTCTCTCTCTCTCCGGCCTGTGTGTTAACAGGTTTGCAACCTTTGCAGAGAAGACACCAAATTCTCAGGAGACCAGAGTTTCCAAGAGTGCTGGTCACTCTTGCTCTCTTTCTCCTGCTCAAAATTCAGTACTAGAGAGTGTTACACCATTGCACCTGCAGAGGAGTTCATCTGACTCTAGGGACTAAAGAGGAGAGGGATGGACAAACTAACAGGCATTCAGAAAATGACTACCATATTGGGGAAGAAAATGAAAGTCAAACCAAATAAGCAATGGTCAAAAAAAAAAAAAAAATATAGAGGCCAGCTGCAGTGGCTCACACCTGTAATCCCAGCACTTTGGGAGGCTGAGGCAGGTGGATCACTTGAGATCAGGAGTTCGAGACCGGCCTGGGCAACATAGTGAAATCACATCTCTACTAAAAATACAAAAAATTAGCCAGATGTGGTGGCAGGCACCTGTAATCCCATCATTTTGGGAGGCTGAGGTGGGTGGATCACCTGATGTCAGGAGTTTGAGACCAGCCTGGCCAACATGGTGAAACCCTATTTCTATAAAAAAAATTCAAAAATTAGCCAGGTGTAGTGGCAGGTGCCCATAATCCCAGCTACTTGGGAGGCTTAGGCAGGAAAATTGCTTGAACCCAGGAGGCAGTGGTTGTGGCGAACAAAGATTGCACCACTGCACTCCAGCCTGGGCAACAGTGAGACTTTGTCTCAAAAAAAAACAGAAAACAAAAACAACCTAGAGAAGTCCATCCAGGCTAAAGAGAATATTCCAGAGCAGAGGTTGGGACACTGTGGCCCATGGGCCAAATCTGACCTGCCTGCACATGTTTTTGTCAATAAAGTTTTATTGAAACACAGCCATGCCCATTTGCTGCATATTGTCTATGGCTGCTGGATTAGGCTGTTCTCTCATGCTATAAAGAAATACCTGAGACTGGGTAATGTATAAAGAAAAGAGCTTTAATTGGCTTACAGTTTTGTAGGCTGTACAGGGAGCATGACACTGACATCTGCTGAGCTTCTGTGGAGGCCTCAGGAAACTTACAATGATGGCAGAAGCTGAAGTGGGAGCAAGAGAGTAAGGAGGGAGGTGCTACACACTCGTAAACAACCAGATCTTGCAATAACTCACTCACTATTGCAAGGACAGGACCAAAGGGATGAGGCTAAATCATTCATGAGAAATCCACCCCCATGACCCAATCTCTTCCCACCAGACCCCACCTCTAACACTGGGGATTACATTGCAACATGAGATTTGGGCGGGGACACATATTCAACCTATATCAGCTGCTTTCATGCTATGGGTGGCAGAGTTGATTAACTACTACAAGAGACTGTATGGCCCACGAATTCTAAAATATTTACTATCTGATGCTTTCAAGTAAAAGCTTGCAAACCCTGCTCTTGAAAAGGAAGGGAAGGAAGAGGAGAGGAGGAAGGCAGGAAGGAGCAGAGAGGGACACGGGGCTGTATTCAAACATCTGTTGTTAAGAAAGAGAAATTCAATTTATTTGGTATGGTCCAAGTTATCAAACTAGGAGCACTCCATTGAAGTTTCAGGACAAACACTGTGCTGAATATAAGGATGACCCCATCTGTAATGCCTAACCTTGTTTTAATTAACTGTGTTCTTAGACTTTCCTTTTCTTTTAATCACTTAGCCTTGTTTCTACCTGAATTGACTTTCTTTTAGCTAAGAGAGCTAGACAGACTTTATCTTGGCTTTTTCACTGGCAGCCCCTTCCTCAAGGACTTAACTTGTGCAAGCTGACTCTTAGCACATCTAAGAGTGCAATTAACTGATAAGATACTGTGGCGGGCAATATCCGCAGTTCCTAGGAATTTGTCAGATTGATAATGCCCAAAGCCCCACGTCTATCACTTTGTAATAGTCTTAAAGCCCTTAGACCTAGAACTGTTTACTTTCCTGTAACAATTTATCCTTTTAACTTTTTTGCCTACTTTACTTCTGTAAAATTCTTTTAACTAGACCCCTTTTCCCTTTCTAAACTGAAGTATAAAAGAAAATCTAGCCCTTCTTCCTGGCCAAGAGAACTTTAAGAGCTAGCCATCTCTTGGCCGCCAGCTAAATAAACAGACTTAATTCATGTCAAATTGTGGCATTTTCTCTAACTCGCTCAAGTACAACATTTGGAGGCCCGAGCGAGAAACGCCACCAGGCGAGAGCCAGGCTCGCTCCAGGCTCCCCTGGAAGGACGGCCGGCTTGTAGGGGGGGTGCCACCTGAAAAAAAATTTTCAGGTCCCCAAAAGGTGACCGTCTTCCAGAGGAGAGCGGATCGACTACCGTGTGGGTGCGCACAAAAATTCCACCTCTGAGTCCTCAACTTCTGACCCCGAGGTTAGGTAGGTCAGATTTGATTTCAGTTCTAGTAAGAGGGAAGCGGCCCTGACGAGTGTGTCACTCTTTTGACTCTGCCCATTTCTCTAGGACGCTAGAAGGTAGAGCCCTGGTTTTCTGTTAGGCACCTCTGTGTCTCTTTCTAGGAGGGAAGTGGCCCTGACAGGGGTCCTCCTTTGACTCAGTCCACATCCCAGAATGCTGGAGGACTGAGTCCAGGTTTCTGGCAGACCAGTCACTCTCTCTCTCTCTCTTTTTCTATCTCTCATCTTTCTCTTGTTCAAGTTTCTTGAAGAATCTCCAAGAAAGAAAAAAAAACTGTTATAAACTCTTTGTGAATAATGAATGAATGAGTGAGGACAAGGGCTTGCGCTTGTCCTCCACTTTGTAGCTCCACGGCGAAAGCTACGGAGTTCAAGTAGGCCCTCACCTGCGGTTCCGTGGCGACCTCATAAGGCTTAAGGCAGCATCAGGCATAGCTCGATCTGAGCCGGAAGTTTATACCGGCCTGCCAATGCTAAGAGGAGCCCAAGTCCGCTCAGGGGGAGCGGCCAGGCAGGCATCTGACTGATCCCATCACAGAAACCCCTCCCCTTGTCTGTCTAAAAAAAAAAAAAAAAGGAAGAAACTGTCATAACTGTTTACATGCCCTAAAGTCAACTGTTTGTTTGTTTTATGTTGATTGTTCTGTTCAGTTTCTATTGTCTTGTTAGTAGTTGTGAAAGTTTTGCATGTCAAGACGCTGATATTGCCGAAGACGTCTAAGTAAAAAGTTCTTCAAAGTCCTTAGTGCTGATTTTTTGTCATAGGAGGTTAAATTTCTCATCAATCATTTAGGCTGGCCACCACAGTCCTGTCTTTTCTGCCAGAACCAAGTCAAGTGTTGTTACAAGAACAAGTGTGAAAAACATTTGCCTGATTAAGATTTCTAGCACCATGAAAGTTGTAAGTATTTAGATCGTCATACTCCACGTCCAAGTGATTAGACGTCCCCTAAACTAAACTAGTAGTGAGTTCAAAACAGCCACCCTGCAGATTTCCTTACTCACCTCTTTTGTCATTCTGTAACTTTTCCTGTGCCCTTAAGTAGAACACTGTGTAAAGAAATGTAGGCCCGTACTGCTTTACTTCGTTTAGATTCTTACTCTGTTCCTCTGTGGCTACTCTCCCACCTTAAAAGTGATCCGAGTAGTCCTTTTCCACCTTGTCCCTGCCCCCTACCCCGCACATCTCGTTTTCCGGTGCGACAGCAAGTTCACCGTCTCCAGGACTTGGCTCTGCTCTCACACCTTAAACCCTTAAAAGAAAAAGCTAAGTTTAAGCTATTTGCCTTTAAGTCATAAAGACACCAAAAGTATTTAAAGTGCAGATCTAGAAGAAGAAGAAGAACGCCTAGATCAAACTGACCCAGAAGATCTCAGGCTGGCTCTAGTCCTCCTCCCTCAATCTTAAAGCTACAGTAATGTAGCAAGTAGTATTAGGTGTTGTAGTTTTTCTGCTCTTTCTAGTCATGTTGATTCTGTTCTTTCACTACTCCAGTCCCCCAAGAAATAAGTTTCTCTGTCCATGCTAAGTTTAATATCTATGCTCAAATCTTATTAAATTGCCTTCCCAAAAAAAAATAAGAAACACTTCCTCCCAGCCTTATAAAAGTTAAAGCCCTCTCCAATGTATGCTGCAGAATTTTCCTCTCAGTTCCTCAGAGGATTATAAAGTCTGCCTTAAAAAAGGCAAGCTCCAGACACTGTGCAAAATGAAATGGCCAAAGTTTAAAGTCAAGTGGCCCCCTGAAGGGTCATTGAACCTCACAATTGTTCAAGCTGTGTGGCAGGTTGTTACTGAAACTCCTAGCCACCCTGATCAGTTTCCCTACATTGATCAATAGCTAAGTTTAGTCAGGATCCCCCCTCCATGGCTCCATTCATGCGCCATTCATAATTCTACCTCCAAGGTCCTCCTAAGCCAGACCGCATTTTCACCTCGACCCTCAGCCGGTTCAGCTTCCCCGGTACTGCCTCCCTCTGAAGAAGAGGAGAGTCTCCCTCACCCAGTCCCACCACCTTACAACCAACCTTCTCCCTTAAAGTTATCCCATGTCTCCTCGACGACGTCCCCTGTAGGCTCGCCACTCATTGCCTCTCAATCATGACTGTGGCAGGAAGAAGTAGCCCCTCTGCTACCACTGAGAGAGGCACAAGTCCCTCCAGGTGACGAGAGCTCAGCACCCTTCTTAGTTTGTGTCCCTTTTTCTACTTCTGACTTATATAATTAGAAAACTTATAATCCTCCCTTCTCTGAAAAGCCCCAGGCTTTGACCTCTCTGACAGAGTCTGTACTCCGGACTCACTCACCCACCTAAGATGATTGCCAACAGCTCCTTTTAACCCTTTTCACCTCTGAAAAGAAAGAACGTATCCGAAAAGAAGCCAAAAAGTACTTCCTCACATCAGCCAATGGACCGGAAGGAGAAGCTAGAGACCTTCTTGAGGAGGTCTTTCCCTCTACCAGGCCTAACTGGGACCCAAATTCCTCAAGTAGAAAGAGAGCTTTAGACGATTTTCACCGGTATCTCCTCACAAGTATTAAAAGAGCCGCTCAGAAACCCATAAACTTGTCTAAGACCACCGAAGTTGTCCAAAGGCCTGATAAGTCACAAAGAACGTTTTTAGAGCGCCTCCAGGAGGCTTATCGGATTTACACCCCTTTTGACCCGGCAGCTCCCGAAAATAGCCGTGCTCTTAATTTAGCATTTGTGGCTCAGGCAGCCCCGGATATTAAAAAGAAACTCCAAAAACTAGAAAGATTTGCTAGAATAAATATCAGTCAGCTTTTAGAAATAGCCCAAAAAGTTTTTGACAATCAAAAGTTTAATAAACAAAAACAAGCAACACAGGCAGCTGAAAAGGCCGCTGATAAAGCATTCAAAAGACAAACAAAAATCTTAGTGGCAGCTATCCAAGAAGTACAGAATGAAATAACCCATTAATTTAGCATTAACTGAAGCCCCTGCTTTAGCCTTCCCTAATATCTCCATAAAAGCCAAGGAGTTGCTAAAGACGTGCTTACTCAGACTCTAAGACCCTAAAGACGCCCAGTGGCCTATTTATCTAAGAGGCTAGATCCTGTGGCCTGTAGATGGCCAAGTTGTCTGCGAGCCGTAGCGGCTACAGCAAGCCTGGCCCAAGAAGATGATAAGTTAACTCTAAGCCAAAATCTAACCCTTACAGCTCCTCATGCCGTAAAGACCTTAGTACAAAATGCTTCTGACAAATAGATGTCAAATGCTCGCATCTTGCAGTATCAAAGTTTACTGTTAGATCAGCCTCGTTTGACTTTCTCTCCCACAAAGTGTTTCAATCCAGCTACACTACTTTCTTACTCAGACTGCACTATTCCTGCTCATGACTGTCAAGAACTGTTAGAAAATATCGAAACTGGCCGATCTGATCTTCAAGCTATGCCCCTAGAAAAGGCAGATGCCGCCGTGTTCACAGACAGTAGCAGCTTCCTCAAGCAGGCAGTATGAAAAGCCAGTGCAGCTGTTACCACGGAGACAGATGTGTTGTAAGCTCAAGCTTTACCAGCGAACACCTCAGCACCAAAGGCTGAATTGATCGCCCTCACTCAGGCTCTCCGATAAAGTAGAATAAACGTATTAACATTTACACTGACAGCAAGTACGCCTTTGCTACTGTGCATGTACATAAAGCCATCTACCAGGAAGGCAGGCTACTCGCCTCAGCAGGTAGCTGTGATCCACTGCAAAGGACATCAAAAAGAAAACACGGCCGTTGCCCATAGTAACCAGAAAGCTGATTCAGCAGCTCAGGTCGCAGCCAGACTTTCAGTCACGCCTCTAAACTTGCTGCCCACAGTCTCCTTTCCACAGCCAGATCTGCCTGACAATCCCGTATACCCAACAACAACAAAAAAACTGGCTTCAGATCTCAGAGCCAATAAAAATCAGGAAAGTTAGTAGATTCTTCCTGACTCTGGAATCTTCATACCCTGAACTCTTCAAGAAACTTTAATCAGTTACCTACAGTCTACCACCCATTTAATAAGAGCAAAGCTACCTCAGCTCCTCCGGAGCCATTTTAAGATCCCCCATCTTCAAAGCCTAAGAGATTAAGCAGCTCTCCAGTGCACAACCTGCGCCCACGTAAATGCCAAAGTCCTAAACCCAGCCCAGGCCACTGTCTCTGAAAAAACTCGCCAAGAAAAAAGTAAGAAATTGACTTTAGAGAAGTCAAACCACACCAGGCTAAGTACAAATACCTTCTAGTACTAGTAGGCACCTTTTCCAGATAGACTAAGGCATTTGCTACCGAAAACGAAACCACCAACACAGTAGTTAAGTTTTTACTCAATGAAATCATCCCTCAATATAGGCTGTCTGCTGCCATAAAGTCTGATAATAGACCAGCCTTCCCCTCGCCTATAGCTCAGTCAGTCAGTCGGTAAGGTGTTAAACATTCAACAGAAGCTCCATTGTGCCTATCAACCCCAGAGCTCCAGGTAGGTAGAACGCATGAACCGCACCCTAAAAAACACTCCTACAAAATTAATCTTAAAAAAAACAGTGTAAATTAAGTAAGTCTCCTTCCTTTAGCCCTACTTAAAGTAAGGTGCACCCCTTATCAGGCTAATTTCTCACCTTTTGAAATCATGTATAAGAAGGCGCCACCTATCTTGCCTAAGCTAAGAGATGCCAAATTAGCAGAAATATCACAAACTAATTTGTTACAATACTATCGTCTCTCCAACTGGTACAAGAGATCATCCTGCCACTTGTTCGAGGAGCCCATCCCAATCCAATTCCTGACCAAAGTCCTGCCATTCGTTCCAGCCAGGAGACCTAGCGTTTGTTAAAAAGTTCCAAAAAGAAAGACTCACTCCTGCTTAGAAAAGACCTCACACTGTCATCCTCACGACTCCAACTGCTCTGAAAGTAGACGGCATTCCTGCTTAGATTCATCCCTCCCGCATCAAAAAGGCCAACACAGCCCAGCTAAAAACATAAGTCCTCAGGCCTAAGTCAGGCCCCTTAAAACTGCACCTAAGTCAGGTGAAGCCATTAGATTCATTCTTTTTACTACCTAACTTATTTGTTTTTGCCCGTTACATCCTCTGTGCCTTCCTACTCCTTTCTCCTCACCTCTTTCACAACAGGACGTGTATTTGCAAACACCACTTAGAAGGCCAGTACCTCCAAGGAAGTCTCCTTTGCAGTTGATTTATTTGTACTATTCCCAAAGCCAGCCCATACCCACGAAAAGCAACACAATCTGCCAGTCCCAGGAGCAGGAAGTGTCGACCTTGCAGCAAGATTCAGACACTCCAAGAGCCAAACTAAGTGTAGAAGCTCCAAAAGTGCAGAAAAAAGACTCCAAAATATTGGCTTTTACCTCTGTCCTAGAAATCACCCTGATGCTAGCTGTCAAGATACTTATCAGTTTTTCTGCCCTGATTAGACACGTGTAACTTTAGCCACCTACTCTAAAAGATCAACCAGATCTTCAACTCTTTCCACAAGTCGTGCTTCTCATCCTAAATTATGTACTAGAAAAAATTGTAATCCTCTTACTATAGCTCTCCATGACCTTAATTCAACTCAATAGTATCATGGCATGTCACGAAGATTAAGATTTTATACCCCAGGATTTAATGTTAGGACTATGTTCACCATCCAAAAAAACCCTAGTCTCATAAAGCCCACCCAAGTCAATCAGGCCTTTAACTGATCTAAGTAACCCTATGTTCCAGAAACACCCTGACAAAGTTGATTTAACGGTTCCTCCACCATTCTTAGTCATAAAAGATATACTCCAGAAGGTACAAGAAAATCTAGATAAGCACCAACAAGAACAAGAAAATAACATCCCCTAGTATCAAAGCATGTTCAACTAGAACCCAGAGCTAACTATTCTAATTACTAAGTTAGCCAGAACCCCTCCCCATCCTAGTATTAAGTCTAATTTTTGGACCTTGTATACTAAATTAGTTTATTAATTTTGTAAAACAACACATAGCTTCTGTCAAACTTATGTATCTTAAGACTCAATATAACCCCTTTGTTATAACTGAAGAATCAACGATTTGATTCCCCAAAAACACAAGTGAGGAATGTAATGCCCAACCTTGTTTTTACAAACCCTGTTCTTAGACTCTCCCTTTCTTTTAATCACCTAGCCTTGTTTCTACCTGAATTGACTCTCCCTTAGCTAAGAGAGCCAGACAGACTCCATCTTGGCTCTTTCACTGGCAGCCCCTTCCTCAAGGACTTAACTTGTGCAAGCTGACTCCCAGCACATCGAAGAATGCAATTAACTGATAAGAAACTGTGGTGAGCAATATCCGCAGTTCCCAGGAATTCATCCAATTGATAACGCCCAAAGCCCCGCGTCTATCACCTTGTAATAATCTTAAAGCCCCTAGACCTAGAACTGTTTACTTTCCTTAACAGTTTATCCTTTTAACTTTTTTGCCTACTTCTGTAAAATTGTTTTAACTAGACCCCCTCCCCTTTCTAAACCAAAGTATAAAAGAAAATCTAGCCCCTTCTTCGAGGCCGAGAGAACTTTAAACGTTAGCCGTTTCTTAGCCACCGGCTAAATAAACAGACTCTTAATTCGTCTCAAAGTGTGGCATTTTCTCTAACTTGCTCAAGTACAACACATCCAGCAGGCACGTCATCCACTCTAAAATGCCATCCTGGGGTAGTGAAGATGATGTTGCTGGAAATATCCTGAAATGGCATGTGGATGAGTTCCCCCAGAGACATACATGTTGAGCTAAATACTTTGCTGATGAAGGGTACAAGTTGAAGGGGTTTTGAAGGGCAGAGCGAGGTTCCTCAGAAGGCTGTTGCTACAGAAAGCCAGGAGAAGAAATTACATGGCCAGATAGAGTGGCATGACCATTGGATAAGGACTTTTTGTTTGTTTTTGAGATGGAGTTTTACTCTTGTTGCCCAGGCAGGAGTGCAATAGCACGATCTCAGCTCACCGCAACCTACGCCTCCCAGGTTCAAGCGATTCTCCTGCCTCAGCCTCCCTAGTAACTGGGATTACAGGCATGTGCCACCACGCCCGGCTAATTGTGTATTTTTTGTGGAGATGGGGTTTCTCCATGTTGGTCAGGCTGGTCTTGAACTCCCGACCTCAGGTGATCCGCCCGCCTTGGCCTCCCAAATTGCTGGGATTACAGGCGTGAGTCACCGTGCCCAGCCTGGATGAGGGTCTTTGGCAAAGATGGAAGTTTTGGTACCTTGCAGTTTAGTCTCTTCATTTATGTCCTCCTGAAATCTTCAGGAATAGCACTATTTTGTCAATACTTCTGGGGTCGTACTTAGGGGGACTTAAAGGAGATGTGATGTGGCAGCCTTTGACTCAAGGGAGTATCATACTAGCTCAAAGAGATCTGGGTACATGCCAGTTGAACCAACTCTTCTGAGGATGTGATAGATCCTGGGAGGCCACTCTGATCCTGCCAACCTTGAGGCCAGATGAGTCTTTGAAAAACATGGTTTGGCTTAACACCAGCACTTAGTCTAATACCCACCATGAATCTTGCTGAAGTGAAGCTATACAAATACCTTTTCAAAAGATTTTTTTTCATTCCAGATCCTTCTTAGAAATTCCTAAGGCTCAATGCTGTGTGGAAGATTCTGAGAAAGAAAATAGTTTCCGATCTTTGGGATTCCCGAGATGGTCCAATCTGCAAAAAGTTCATTGCCATTTCCATCAAGGACACTGAGAACAAGAGTCTTATCCGGATTGGATCCTGGGAATTGAGAAGCTTCAGCAGGTGGGAAATGCACCCTCCACAGGCTCACACCCTTGTGGGCTGTTTCAGTTACCTATTGCACCTAAAATTAGAAACTTTAAACCACCACAAGCCATTATTGCTCGTTACCCTGTGAGTTGCATGGGGACTTCCTGGCTGGTTTAACCTGGGCTCATTTGTGTGGCTACCTGCAGCTGGAGGGCCAGCTGGGCGGAACATTCAGGACAGCCTCACGCATGTGCCTGGCAGTTGGTGCTGGTTGTCAGCCGGGGAACCTTGTTTTCCTCCATGTGGCCCCTCGCCCTCCAGAGCCCCTCTCCAAATGTTCCTTTAAGCAGGATAGCCAAGGTTTGCTTGGTGCCAGCATCCAAGAGGGCAAAAATGTGGAAACTACGAGAGGGCTCTCAAGGCGTAAGACTATTTGCACCCCAAAAATCTGAGGTCTCAGTTAACTCAGAAAGTTTGTTTTGCCAAGGTTAAGGACGCATGCCTGTGACACAGCCTCAGGAGGTCCTGACAACATGTGCTTAAGGTGGTAGGGACACAGCTTGGTTTGATACATTTTAGAGAGACATGAGACATCAATCAATATGTGTAAGATGTACATTGGTCCAGTCTGGAAAGGCGGGACAACTCCAGGTGAAGGTGAAGGTGAGACAAGGGGAAGGGGCTTCCAGGTCATAGGTAAAGAGACAAATGGTTGCATTCTTTTGAGTTCCTGATTAGCCTCTCCAAATGAGGCAATCAGATATACATTTATCTCAGTGAGCAAAGGGGTGACTGAATAGAATGGGAGGCAGGTTTCCCCTAAGCAGTTCCCAGCTTGACTTTTCTCTTTAGCTTAGTAACTTTTTTTTGGGTGGGGGGACAGAGTCTTGCTCTGTTGCCCAGGCTGGAGTGCAGTGGTACGATCTCGGCTCACTGCAACCTCCAACTCCAGGGTTCAAGCAAATTCCCTGCCTCAGCCTCCCAAGTAGCTGGGATTATAGGCGCCTGCCACCACGCCTGGCTAATTTTCATATTTTTTAGTAGAGACGGGGTTTTGTCATGTTGGCCAGACTGGTCTTGAACTCCTAACCTCAGGTGATCTGCCCGCATCAGCTTCCCAAAGTGCTGGGATTACAGGCGTGAGCCACCGAGCCCAGCCTAGCTTAGTGATCTTGGGGGCCCAAGGTTTATTTTCCTTTCACGGCTAGAAGTTGGTCAGCATCACTTTGGCAGCATTTCACTGGCCAAAGCAAGTCATAGGTAGCCCAGATTCATGTAGAGGAGTATAAAGTCTACCTCTTAAAGGAAAGATTGGTTCAATTACACTGCACGAGCATTTGCAGAAAGTTGTACCCATCTTTGGAAACTACCACACACACACACACCTTTACATGCAACCCTCCCTTGAGGTGCATCTACTTCCAGGCAGAACCAAAACTTGACAGTACTCGACAGAAGAAAAATAGTGTCCTAAATGCCAGTTCTCTTCTTACTCAACTTCAGCCTCATTATAAGCAGATTCTAACAGTTTATGTGTCTTGAGAAACATTCTAATTAATCTTTGGAATTTAAGAATTTGAATTCATAGCAGTAGCCTGTGCATAGGAAATACGCATATTGTAAGTTTTTCCTTTCTGATAAATCATGCTGGGGGAACCACAAGGTAACTTTTTTTTTTTTTTTTTTGAGAAGGAGTCTCACTCTGTTGCCCAGGCTGGAGGGCAGTGGCATGATCTCAGCTCACTGCAAACTCCACCTCCCTGGTTCAAGCGATTCTCCTGCCTCAGCCTCCTGAGTAGCTGGGATTACAGGTGCACAAGACAGGGTTTCACCATGTTGGTCAGGTTGGTCTCGAACTCCTGACCTCTGATCTGCCCACCTCAGCCTCCCAAAGTGCTGGGATTACAGGCGTGAGCCACCGGCTCACGTATGCTGTGGCTGTATATTGAAAGTTTCTCTTTTTTTTTTTTTCAAATAATTAACAGGTTTAACAGACTGTATCTCTGATCTATTCCTTTCACTGCAGACATCTATTGCCTTTTCAGCCTAGCGGCCCTCCCCTCTATAGAGACTCACACTTCCTATTCCAGTCATGTGGCTCTCATGGGGGCTGCCATGTTCTCAAATGACTCCACCCCTCTGGCATCAGTTGATTGGTCCAGGGATGAGCATCTGGCCTAAATTGGCCAATCAGAATTCTTCCCTTGAATATTTTTCCAAACTGGAACTAGACCAAGTTAATCATTCTGTGTGATGACAGGAATTGTGTGTAGTGAGAAATACAGGAGCTTTTGTGGCCACGTTTCTCGCCTTATGGAGAAAAGGCTTGAGTAAGAAGAAATTAAGCCAGGATGCAGACAAAGCTAGAGACAGAGATAGAGAGAGAGATCCTGTGGTAAGCCCCTTGGTTTTTATCATTCTAGTACATGCTTGCTACTGCATACTACCAAGATTTTCACCTGAGGGCTTTCTCAAAGTCAGGCATGGAGTATGTCAGAAAAGCCACAGAAGCCGGGTGCAGTGGGTCACTCCTGTAATCCCAACACTGGGAGGCCAAGGCAGGTGGATCACGAGGTCAGGAGTTTGAGACCAGCCTGACCAACATGGCAAAACCCTGTCTCTACAAAAAATAAAAAAATTAGTGGGGCATGGTGGCAGGTGGCTGTAATCCCAGCTACTCAGGAAGCCGAGGCAAGAGAATCGTTTGAACCTGGGAGGCAGATGTTGCAGTGAGCCGAGATCATGCCATTGCAGTCCAGCCTGGATGACAGAGCAAGACTGTGTCTCAAAAAAAAAAAAAAAAAAAAAAAGAAAAGAAAAAAGAAAAGCCAGAGAGTTGATGCCCTGGGACCAGTCCTCAGCCAGTGACGGATGGGAGCCAGGCTATAAATGCTTCAATATCTTCGCCCCCTGGATGGAACAACTTTGAAATGTATTCCACATCACCTCCCAGAGGTCCCCAGTGGGGTCAAATCCTAGTTGCCTGGAGTAGTAAGCTGCTCATTGAAGCCCCCTGTGTGGCCTCCTGCCTTTCCATGAATCAATTCCTCACTCCCCTATTGGTGTTCCCTGGAATCATCTCCTAAATAATCCACTTGCAATCCTGTGCCTCTTTCAGGATCTGCTTGGGGTTGGGGTTGGGGAGTGCAGAGAAAAACATGATCGCTTTTCCACTCCACACTAGTAAGATGAGTTTCTGTCACTGGCAACCAAGAGTTCTGACTACTACCTCCTTCTGAGATAATTCCTAAAATGTATTTGGGAATTTCCCCACCTCCACCCCACTGCGTATGTCATCAATATGTAGATTTCTTAATAAAATTTAATGGTATTCTTTGATCAACCTCAAGTTTCACAAAACACACTGCACTTTCATAAGGGCTCCCCATGGCTGACAGATCAGCCGTTCAAAAGAAGGGAAGTGTCAGAGATGGCTCTGCTAGACTCACGTATTTTTCAGTAGAATCTGGGTCAGGTTGTGGTGGTCAGGAGATGCTTCTGGAGCTCTGGGACCCACAAGCCTGAGTGTCATGGTGGAGTATTAGGACAACTTGAAAACATAGTGGCAAGAGAAGGCTTCCTCTCTCCCCTGCAGTTCATCCTCCACCACACCCAAAGTGCTAAATAGATATTGGTTAAATGAATAATGGGGCCGGGCATGGTGGCTCACGCCTGTAATCCCAGCACTATGGGAGGCTGAGGCAGGTGGATCACGTGAGGTCAGGAGTTCAAGACCAGCCTGGGCATAGAGGCAGGAGAAGCACTTGAACCTGGGAGGCAGAGTTTACAGCACGCTGAGATGGCACCACCGCACTCCAGCCTGGGTGACAGAGCAAGACTCAAAAAAAAAAAAAAAAAAGGATTTATTCCTTCCAAACTGGAACTCACCAAAAGAAGACCAACACGCATCACAATGTTGTGGCCATAATCACCACAGTGACAATAATAAATATAATCAACTCTCGAGCCAGCCACCTCCACTAAACCTAGTGGATCACATCTGGTGTTTCACTTTGGGGATATTTTAGTGGTCATGGCAGATTGTCACCTGACTGCTGGCTGTTTCTACCATGTTTCAGGAATATAGAGATGTGTACAGATGACCCCTAAAATTAATTAGTATGCAATTCTCAAAGAGCCAAACTGTACCCCAAAAGCTACTGGAATGAAAAAAAAAGTTTTAATTCTCAAAGAGACAAACTAGATAGTAGAAACATTTATGTTCCCTTGGAGAATCTTCCCACCAAGGAGTCAAAGTTGTCTCCAGACCAGGGAATGCCTGGGGCCTTGGACTTTCCCAATTCTGGTATCATCTCCCATTCTCCTTTAGGTCCAGTTTTCTCAGAGGGGCATGCATTGTTCATTGCCACCAAGGGTATACAAGGACACAAACTGAAGATAATAGTGCCTTATTGTCTCTCAGTCATCTTTCTCTCCCACATGCTGGAAGGAGAGCCAAGTCCAATTTATCCAATTACAAAATAGCAACATTGGCATCATGAGATCAGCTAACACAACTTTCAGAGGCAATCTATCTTCCTACCAAAAGTAACCAACATCTGTGGAGCACTTACCATGACTAAGGGTCAACATAAGTGGTTTGCATGCTGCATGCATCAGGATGGACCAGGTTATGCTGCAGTAACAAATTAACCCCAGAGTCTCAGCAGCTTAGCAACCAAGGTTGATTTCTTACATTCCATGTCCACAATGGGTTGGCTGGGTATGGTGTGCTCCATATGGCCACTCAAAGACCTAGAATGATGGAAATTCTACCATGTTAATGCAAGGATTCTCCCATAGTTACTACACCAGGAGATGAGAGAATGAGATAGTTATTCCCAAGCCCTCAAAAGCTGTAGACTAGAGGTGATATCAGTGACTTCCACTTATAAAGCCTTGGACCCTGGCATGGATCCATCTAACTACAGGGGGTCTGGGGAATACAGGGAGCACCTGGAAATCCCATGAGCAGTAACCATTCCTGCCAGCATGCATTATTTCATCTGAACCTCACAACCCCATGGAATATAGAACAGAGGCTTGGAGAGTTAAGGGACCTGCCCCAAGGCGTCACAGATAATGAGTTGCAGAGCTGAGATATGGCCCTCAGCCTGGCAGGTTTCAAACCACTATGCTGCATACTCATCACAAAATTCTATGAAATTCCTCATACAGCAAAACACCACACCAAGTGAAAAGAAAGCCAAGTTGTGCAAATACAAAATAGAACTGCCCGGACACTTCACCTCCTCACCCACCCCACCCCCACCGAAAGAATCAACCTACGCAAATAACTGGAATGAAATTCTCAGGCAATTTCAGCAGGGGAAATGGGGTTATCTCATCTGGGTCTCACATCCGAACTCATCAAGACAAGACCTTCCCTAAACTTCACCTGAACACCTGGACACACCGTCATGTCTTGCCGCTTCTTGTTACTGGAAATCCAATGATGATGTCTTTATACAATTTATAGGTCTTTCTATAAGTGCCAAGATAAATGTCATCTCTGTACCTGCATATCATTCAGAGGTAGGCAAGCTTCTATGTAAAGTGCTAGATAGTAAATATAAACTTTGCAGGACTCATATGATCTCCATCCTATACATTTTTTTGTTTTTGTTTTACAATTTTTTTTTTCTTTTTAGATAGGGTCTAAAAAGAAAACAAAACTTATCCATGTTGTGATATGGATGAACGTTAAAAACATGCTCAGTGAAAGAAGCAGACATGAAAGGTCATATATTGTACAATTCCATTTATATGCAATGTTCAGTCTAAGCCAATCGACAGAGATAGAAAGTAGATGAAGGGTTTCCAGGGGCTGCAGGAGGGGATATGCAAAGTGACTGCTGAATGGATATGAGGCTTCCAATTGAGGTGTTGAAAAAGCCCTGAAACTAGGTAGTGGTGACAATTGCACAACATGATAAATGTACAAAATGTCACTGAACTGTACACTTTCAGATACACAAAATGGTAAATGTTGCATATATTATACCACAATTTTATTCATTTATTTTAGAGAGAGAGTCTCACTCCATCACCCAGGCTGCAGTGCAATGGCACAATCATAGCTCACTGCTGCCTTTACCGCCTGGGCTCAAGCAATCCTCCCACCTAGTCTTCCAAGTAGCTGGGACTACATGTGAACGCTACCACACACAGCTTTTTAAATTTTTTTATAGAGTTGCATTCTCGCTTTATTGCCCAGACTGGCCCAAACTCCTGGCTTCAAGTGATTCTCTCATCTCAGCCTCCCAAAGTGCTGGGATAACAGGTGTAAGCCATCAGGCCAGGCAATTTTTAATTCTTATGCGAAATTTTCAAATAATTCCTAGGATTAAAAAAAATGTCGATCAACATGGGGATTAGAGGAAAAAATAATTTTAAACAAAGAAAAAATTAAATGAGATGATGTATATGTATACAGTGCCTGGCCTCATGATCACTGAGTCCACTGCAGCTTTTTATTTTTTTTTTCCATATAGGGTCTCACTCTGTCACCCAGGCTGAGTACAGTGGCATAATCATGGCTTACTGCAGCCTCAACCTCCTGGGCACAAGTGATCCTCCCACCTCAGCCTCTCATGTAGCTGGGACTACAGATGCACACAACCACACCTAGCTATATTTGTTGTTGTTGTTATATTTTTTGGTAGTGACAGGGTCTCACCATGTTGCCCAGGCTGGCATCTTGAACTCCTGGGCTCAAGCGATCCTCCCACCTCAGCTTCCCAAAGTGCTGGGATTACAGGTGTGAGCCACCATGCCCATCCTGTTGTAGCTATTTTAATAGTGCTGGTGAACAATAATTTGCTCTCCCTATAAAAACAGAACATACAAAGCCAAGGAAAGCACCAATCTAGTTTGTTCTCCCCAGATCTTGAAATGTTGGAATTAGTATAAGAGTGCAAAATATTCATGTGGTTTGATTTTTTTTTTTTTTTTTTTTTTGGAAATGCAGTCTCGTTCCATCGTCCAGGTCAGAATGCAGTGGCGCAATCTCGGCTCACTGCAACCTCCGCCTCCTGGGTTCAAGCAATTCTCCTGCCTCAGCCTCCCGAGTAGCTGAGATTACAGACATGTACCGCCACGCCTGGCTAATTTTTGCATTTTTAGTAGAGATGGGGTTTCTCCATGTTGGACAGGCTGGTCTTGAGCTCCTGACCTCAAATGATATACCCGCCTTAGCCTCAAAGTGCCGGGATTACAGGTGTAAGCCACCATGTCCGGCCAGTTTGATTTTTTACTGTGGTAAAATACATACAAAATCTATTATTTTAGCCATTTTCAAAGGAAAAATTCAGTGGTGTTAAGTGCATCCACCACATTGTACAGCCATGTTCCCCCACCCATCTCCAGAACACTTTCATACTGTCCTGCAAATATGCAGCACCTTGCTACACTCCAGTTTGTTTGTCCCACAACAGAGCTGGGCTGAATTAATTATTAATGTGACTTTGTTCAACAACGGACTAAAGAGGGAGAAGCCCATGAACTGTGTGAGGAGTGCATGACAGGTGCTCGTGGGATGACGTGGCTCGGCGCCCTCCAGCTGCTGCTACCGCTGCCTGTCCTGCTGGGCGGCCACCTCCTCCCAGGGAAGAAGAGCACTCACAACTGCTGCTGATCTCCTTCCAGGGCTTCCGCTGGGACTAGGATCAGGATGTGGACACCCCCAACCTGGACCGTCTGGCCGGGGAGGGCGTCAAGGCCAAGTACCTCATGCCGCCCCTTGTCACAATGACCTCCCCGTCCCACCTCACTGCCATCCCAGGTAAGCGTCACTCTGCCCATTTCACCTGATGCCCATCAAAGCCCCAGCGTCCGTCATTCCCTGTGATAAGAAGCAAAAGCTCGGTCAGCTCTAGGGAGGTTGAGGCGGCTCCGGGGTCTCACTCTGTTGCCCAGGCTGTAGCTCAGTGGCATAATCACAGCTCAGTGGAGCCTCAAACTCCTGCTCTCAAGCAGTCCTCCCTAGCTCAGGCTCCCCAGTAGCTGGGGATACAGACAAGCCACCGTGTCTAATTTTCTCATTTTCTTAGAAATTGGGGCAGGGGGTGTCTCACTATGTTGCCTGGGCTGGTTTCGAACTCCTGGCCTCAAGTGATCATCCCACCTCAGCCTCCCAAAGGCTGAGATTGGAGACATGAGCTACTGTGACTGGCCTGATCTTTTTTAAAAAAGTAAATAAGGCCGAGCATGGTGACTCACCCCTGTAATCCCAGCACTTTGGGTGGCTGATGCGGGTGGATCACCTGAGGTCAGGAGTTCAAGACCAGCTTGGCCAACATGGTGAAACATCGTCTATCCTAAAAATACAAAAATAAGCTGGGCATGGTGGCAGATGCCTGTAACGACAGCTACTCGGGAGTCTGATACAGGAGAATCACTTGAACCCAGGAGGTGGAAGATGAAATGAGCTGAGATCATGCCATTGCACTCCAGTTTGGGCAACAGAGCAAGATTTTGTCTCAAAAAAAAAATAAAAGTAATAAAAATAAAAAGGTAAATAACTAGAATCACTTTTAAATAATTGTATAAAAATAATAAAACATTGACATTTACAGAGCTCAGTTAGATGAGGTGACTCATACCCTCCAATGGTGTCCTGGTTCTCTTACATAAGAATTGAAATGTCTTTCTGTGGCTCAAAAGATCCCACGCAGACTGGCCCCTGGCCCATCTTCTGCCAGCCTCTCTCATCTCTCTCCCTCTCCTTCACTTCCTTCCGGATCACAAAGGCCTTTTGCCTGTGCCTTCTGCCCTGCTCCCTCCAGCCCCAGGGCCTTGGCCTGCGCTAGTCCAGTCCCTCCAGCTCACCAGGAGCATGCAGTCCAGTCAGGGAGACAGACACCAGACACCCAAACAGGCACATACATCCCGTGACAACTCAGGAGGCATCAAGGAGGAAAACGAGTTTTCCAGGTACAGACTACAGGGGTAAACTGGCTTCAAGCTAGAGAGGGAGAAAGGGGGTCTCTGATCATGGGGCGGTTGAGCTGAAAGAGATCTTAGGGGATCAGAGCAAGGAAAAGTGTTCCAGGCAGAGGGAAGAGCATGTGTGAGGTCTCTGAGACAAAGACCTGGTCATTTCAGAATCCCAGTGGCCACTAAAATAGAGGGATTCCAACCTAAAAAGGAGGAAGAGGAGGCTGCTGGAAAGCAAAGTACTCTGTGTAAGAATCATAATAGCGGGGGTGGAGCCAAGATGGCCGAATAGGAACAGCTCCAGTCTACAACTCCTGGCTTGAGCGACGCAGAAGACAGGTGATTTCTGCATTTCCAACTGAGGTACTGGGTTCATCTCACTGGGGAGTGTCAGAAAGTGGGTGCAGGACACTTGGTGCAGTGCACTGAGCATGAGCCCAAGCAGGGCGAGGCATTGCCTCACCCGGGAAGTGCAAGGGGTCAGAGAATTCCCTTCCCTAGTCAAAGAAACGGGTGACAGATGGCACCTGGAAAATCGGGTCACTCCCACCCTAATACTGCACTTTTCCAATGGTCTTAGCAAACGGCACACCAGGAGACTATATCCCGCACCTGGCTCGGAGGGTCCTAAACCCATGGAGCCTCACTCATTGCTAGCACAGCAGTCTGAGATCAAACTGCAAGGTGACAGCAAGGCTGGGGGAGGGGCGACCACCATTTCCTAGGCTTCAGTAGGTAAACAAAGCAGCTGGGAAGCTCCAACTGGGTGGAGCCCACCACAGCTCAAGGAGGTCTGCCTGCCTCTGTAGACTCCACCTCTGGGGGCAGGGCATTGGCAAACAAAAGGCAGCAGAATCCTCTGCAGACTTAAATATCCCTGTCTGACAGCTTTGAAGAGAGTAGTGGTTCTCCCAGCACACAGCTGGAGATCTGAGAATGGACACACTGCCTCCTCAAGTGGGTCCCTGACCCCCGAGTTGCCTAACTGGAGGCACCTCCCCGTAGGGGCAGACTGACATCTCACATGGCCAGGTACCCCTCTGAGACAAAACTTCCAGAGGAACAATCAGGCAGCAACATTTGCTGCTCACCAATATCCGCTGTTCTGCAGCCTCCACTGCTGACACCCAGGCAAACTCCAACAGACCTGCAGCTGAGGGTCCTGACTCTTAGAAGGAAAACTAACAAACAGAAAAGACATCCACATTAAAACCCCATCTGTACGTCACCATCATCAAAGACCAAAGGTAGATAAAACCACAAAGATGGGGAAAAAACAGAGCAGAAAAACTGGAAACTCTAAAAATCAGAGTGCCTCTCCTCCTCCAAAGGAATGCAGCTCCTCACCAGCAATGGAACAAAGCTGGACAGAGAATAACTTTGACAAGTTGAGAGAAGAAGGCTTCAGACGATTAAATTACTCCGAGCTAAAGGAGGAAGTTCGAACCCATGGCAAAGAAGTTAAAAACCTTGAAAAAAAATTAGACGAATGGCTAACTAGAATAACCCATGCAGAGAAGTCCTTAAAGGACCTGATGGAGCTGAAAACCAAGGCACGAGAACTACGTGACAAATGCACAAGCCTCAGTAGCCGATTCGATCAACTGGAAGAAAGGGTATCAGTGATGGAAGATGAAACGAATGAAATGAAGCAAGAAGAAAAGCTTAGAGAAAAAAGAATAAAAAGAAATGAACAAAGCCTCCAAGAAATATGGGACTATGTGAAAAGACCAAATCTACGTCTGATTGGTGTACCTGAAAGTGACAGTGAGAATGGAACCAAGTTGGAAAACACTCTGCAGGATATTATGCAGGAGAACTTCCCCAATCTAGCGAGGCAGGCCAACATTCAAATTCAGGAAATATGGAGAACACCACAAAGATACTCCTCAAGAAGAGCAACTCCAAGACAGATAATTGTCAGATTCACCAAAGTTAAAATGAAGGAAAAAATGTTAAGGGCAGCCAGAGAGAAAGGTCAGGTTACCCACAAAGGGAAGCCCATCAGACTAACAGCTGATCTCTTGGCAGAAACTCTACAAGCCAGAAGAGAGTGGGGGCCAATATTCAACATTCTTAAAGAAAAAAATGTTCAACTCAGAATTTCAAATCCAGCCAAACTAAGCTTCATAAGTGAAGGAGAAATAAAATACTTTACAGACAAGCAAATGCTGAGAGATTTTGTCACCACCAGTCCTGCCCTACAAGAGCTCCTGAAGGAAGCACTAAACATTGAAAGGAACAATCAGTACCAGCCACTGCAAAAACATGCCAAATTGTAAAGACCATCAAGGCTAGGAACAAACTGCATTAACTAATGAGCAAAATAACCCGCTAACATCATAATGACAGGATCAAATTCACACATAACTATATGAACCTTAAATGTCAATGGGCTAAATTCTCCGATTAAAAGACAGACTGGCAAATTGGATAAAGAGTCAAGACCCATCAGTGTGCTGTATTCAGGAAACCCATCTCATGTGCAGAGACACACATAGGCTCAAAATAAAGGGATGGAGGAAGATCTACCAAGCAAATGGAAAACAAAAAAAGGCAGGTGTTGCAATCCTAGTCTCTGATAAAACAGACTTTAAACCAACAAAGATTAAAAAAGACAAAGAAGGCCATTACATAATGGTAAAGGGATCAATTCAACAAGAAGAGCTAACTATCCTAAATATATAGGCACCCAATACAGGAGCACCCAGATTCAAAAAGCAAGTCCTTAGAGACCTACAAAGAGACTTAGACTCCCACACAATAATAATGGGAGACTTTAACACCCCACTGTCAACATTAGACAGATCAACGAGACAGAAAGTTAACAAGGATATCCAGGAATTGAACTCAGCTCTGCACCACGTGGACCTAATAGACATCTACAGAACTCTCCACCCCAAATCAACAGAATATACATTCTTCTCCGCACCACACCACACTTATTCCAAAATTGACCACATATTTGGAAGTGAAGCACTCTTCAGCAAATGTAAAACAACGGAAATTATAACAAACTGTCTCTCAGACCACAGTGCAATCAAACTAGAACTCAGGATTAAGAAACTCACTCAAAACTACTCAACTACATGAAAACTGAACAACGTGCTCCTGAATGACTACTGGGTACATAATGAAATGAAGGCAGAAATAAAGGTGTTCTTTGAAACCAACAAGAACAAAGACACAACATACCAGAATCTCTCGGACACATTCAAAGCAGTGTGTAGAGGGAAATTTATAGCACTAAATGCCCACAAGAGAAAACAGGAAAGATCTAAAATTGACACTCTAACATCACAATTAAAAGAACTAGAGAAGCAAAGAGCAAACACATTCAAAAGCTAGCAGAAGGCAAGAAATAACTAAGATCAGAGCAGAACTGAAGGAAATAGAGGCACAAAAAGCCCTTCAAAAAATCCATGAATCCAGAAGCTGGTTTTTTGAAAAGATCAACAAAATTGATAGACCACTAGCAAGACTAATAAAGAAGAAAAGAAAGAAGAATCAAATAGACACAATAAAAACTGATAAAGGGGATATCACCAGCAATCCCAGAAAAATACAAACTACCATCAGAGAATAGTATAAACACCTCTATGCAAATAAACTAGAAAATCTAGAAGAAATGGATAAATTCCTCGACACGTACACCCTCCCAAGGCTAAACCAGGAAGACGTTGAATCTCTGAATAGACCAATAACAGGCTCTGAAATTGAGGCAATAATTAATAGCTTACCAACCAAAAAAAGTCCAGGACCAGACGGATTCACAGCCGAATTCTACCAGAGGTACAAGGAGGAGCTGGTACCATTCCTTCTGAAACTATTCCAAATAATAGAAAAAGAGGGAATCCTACCTAACTCATTTTATGAAGCCAGCATCATCTTGATACCAAAGCCCGGCAGAGACACAACCAAAAAAGAGAATTTTAGACAAATATCCCTGATGAACTTCGATGCAAAAATCCTCTATAAAATACTGGCAAACTGAATCCAGCAGCACATCAAAAACTTATCCACCATGATCAAGTGGGCTTCCTCCCTGGGATGCAAGATTGGTTCAACATATTCAAATCAGTAAACATAATCCAGCATATAAACAGAAACAATGACAAAAAGCATACGATTATCTCATTAGATGCAGAAAAGGCCTGTGACAAAATTCAACAACCTTTATGCTAAAAACTCTCAATAAATTAAGTATTGATGGGGCGTATCTCAAAATAATAAGAGCTATCTATGACAAACCCACAGCCAATATCATACTGAATGGGCAAAAACTAGAAGCATTCCCTTTGAAAACTGGCACAACACAGGGATGCCCTCTCTTACCACTCCTATTCAACAGTGTTGGAAGTTCTGGCCAGGGCAATCAGGCAGGAGAAGGAAATAAAGGGTATTCAATTAAGAAAAGAGGAAGTCAAATTGTACCTGTTTTCAGGTGGCATGATTGTATATCTAGAAAACCCCATTGTCTCAGCCCAAAATCTCCTTAAGCTGATAGGCAACTTCAGCAAAGTCTCAGGATACAAAATCAATGTGCAAAAATCACAAGCATTCTTATATACCAATACAGACAAACAGAGAGCCAAATCATGAGTGAACTCCCATTCACAATTGCTTCAAAGAGAATAAAATACCTATGAATCCAACTTACAAGGGAGGTGAAGGACCTCTTCAAGGAGAACTATAAACCACTGCTCAAAGAAATAAAAGAGGACACAAACAAATGGAATAACATTCCATGCTCATGGGTAGGAAGAATCAATATCGTGAAAATGGACATACTGCCCAAGGTAATTTATAGATTCAATGCCATCCCCATCAAGTTACCAATGACTTTCTTCACAGAATTGGAAAAAACTGCTTTAAAGTTCATATGGAACCAAAAAAGAGCCCACATTGCTAAGTCAATCCTAAGCCAAAAGAACAAAGCTGGAGACACCACGCTACCTGACTTCAAACTATACTGCAAGCCTACAGTAATCAAAACATCATGGTACTGGTACAAAAACAGAGATATAGACCAATGGAACATAACAGAGCCCTCAGAAATAATGCCACATATCTACAACCATCTGATCTTTGACAAACCTGACAAAAACAAGCAATGGGGAAAGGATTCCCTATTTAATAAATTGTGCTGGGAAAACTGGCTAGCCATATGTAGAAAGCTGAAACTGGATCCCTTCCTTACACCTTATACAAAAATTAATCCAAGATGGATTAAAGACTTAAATATTAGACCTAAAACCATAAAAACCCTAGAAGAAAACCTCAGCAATACCATTCAGGATATAGGCATGGGCAAGAACTTCATGTCTAAAACACCAAAAGCAATGGCAAGAAAAACCAAAATTAACAAATGGGATCTAATTAAACTAAAGAGCTTCTGCACAGCAAAAGAAACTACCATCAGAGTGAACAGGCAACCTACAGAATGGGAGAAATTTTTTGCAATCTACTCATCTGACAAAGGGCTAATATCCAGAATCTACAATGAGCTCCAATAAATTTACAAGAAAAAAACAAACAATCCCATCAAAAAGTGGGCAAAGGATATGAACAGACACTTCTCAAAAGAAGACATTTATGCAGCCAAAAGACACTTGAAAAAAATGCTCATCATCCCTGGCCAGAGAAATGCAAGTCAAAACAACAATGAGATACCATCTCACACCAGTTAGAATGGCGATCATTAACAAGTCAGGAAACAACAGGTGCTGAAGAGGATGTGGAGAAATAGGAACACTTTTACACTGTTGGTGGGACTGTAAACTAGTTCAACCATTGTGGAATTCAGTGTGGCAATTTCTCAGGGATCTAGAACTAGAAATACCATTTGACCCAGCCATCCCATTACTGGGTATATACCCAAAGGATTATAAATCATGCTGCTATAAAGACACATGCACACGTATGTTTATAATGGCACTATTCACAATAGCAAAGGCTTGGAACCAAGCCAAATGTCCAACAACGATAGACTGGATTAAGAAAATGTGGCACATATACACCATGGAATACTATGCAGCCATAAAAAATGATGAGTTTACGTCCTTTGTAGAGACATGGATGAAGCTGGAAACCATCATTCTCAGCAAACTATTGCAAGGACAAAAAACCAAACACCGCATGTTCTCACTCACAGGTAGGAATTAAACAATGAGAACACACGGACACAGGAAGGGGAACATCACACACTGGGGCCTGTTGTGGGGTCAGGGGAGGGGGGAGGAATAGCATTAAGAGATATACCTAATGTTAAATGACGAGTTAATGGGTACAGCACACCAACATGGCACATGTATGCATATGTAACAAACCTGCACGTTGTGCACATGTACCCTAAAACTTAAAGTATAATAAAAAATAAAATATAAAATAAAAACTTTGGCTGTTGACTCCAAATATCCTGCTTCATCATCTCTCCACTCCAGAAACTTTTCACATGCTTACAAAGGGTGTTCGTTTCTCCTCTAAGTATTTGCTCCCCAGCCCCACCTGCAAGAATGTGGAAGTAGGGACTCTGCCTGGGATGGTAACTCTCAAATATAAGGCAAGACTTGTCCCTCCACCAATATCCCCAGGACTGAAGGACTGTGAAAGTCTGCATATTGATCAAGCTTCTCCCTCCCTTATCTGAAGGGACTTACTTCCTTCAAGACACTTTTCCTCTTCCCACCTAGCTCCATGCCCCCATCCAGTCATCTTCCAACCCATCTCTCCCCACCTGCATGCCACACAAGAAGGGCATGACCACAGCACCTGGAAGTTCCTTAAAGTTGAGTGGTGTGTCAGGCCGGGTGCGGTGGCTCATGTCAGTAACCCCAGCACTTTGGGAGGCTGAGGCAGGCAGGTCACTTGAGGTCAGGAGTTCGAGACCAGCCTGGCCAAAATGGTGAAACTCCATCTCTACTAAAAATATAAAAATTAGCTGGGGGTGGTTGTGCTTGCCTGTAGTCCCAGCTACTTGGGGAGCTGAGGCAAGGGAATCACTTGAACCTGGGAGGCAGAGGTTACAGTGAGCCAAGATTGTGCAATTGAACTCCAGCCTGGGCGATAGAGTGAGACTCTGTCTGAAAAAAAAAAAAAAAAGAAATCGAATGGTGTGATTAGCTTATGATTTTTTAAAAATGGAATGATGTATTCATTTTCTAAGCTGCATAACAAATCAACACAAATTTAGCAGCTTAAAACATCCATCTATTACCTCTCCTTTCCTGTGGGTCATGAGTCTGGGGGTGCAGCTTTAGCTGGGTCCTCTGCTCAGGTTCTTACAAGGTTGTGATCAAGGTGCCGGCTGGAATTAGTGTGTCATATGAGGCTTGGGGTCTTCTCCCAACCTCACATGGTTGTTGGCAGAATTTATTTCCATGCAACTGTGGAACTCATGTGGCTGGCTTCTTCAAAACCAGCCAGGCATGGTGGCTCACGCCTGTAATCCCAGCACTTTCGGAGGCCGAGGCAGGTGGATCACCTGATGTCAGGAGTTCGAGACCAGCCTGGCCAATATGGTGAAACCCCATCTCTACATAACTTAGCCGGGCATGATTCTCAAGGAGAATCACTTGAACCCAGGAGGCAGAGGTTGCAGTAAGCCGAGATCGTACCACTGCACTCCAGCCTGGGCAACAGAGTGAGACTCCATGTCAAAAACAAACAAACAAACAAAAAACAAAAACCAGGAGGAAGGAGTCTCTCTCCTCCAGACCTTCATTGAAGATCTCACCTGAAGATGTCAGGCCCACCCTGAATAATCTCCCTTTTGATTAACTCAAAGTGAATGGATTAGGGGCTTAGTTACATCTGCAAAATTCCTTCAACTTTTTCATAGGTATAGATTAGAAGCAAGCCATGGGTCCTGCCTACACTCCAGGGGAGAGGAGATTACACCTGGCATTTATCCAGGGCAAGAACCTAAGGGGTCATCTCAGAATTCTGTCTTCCAAATAGATCCTCGGTGGAGCTTACATGCCTGGGCGAGCACCAGCCTTTGTTTAAAGGCAACAGAGAATTGTGGCCTGGCTCAGATCTCCAGCAAGCCTCCAGAATGATGGTCCACTCTCTGAACCCAGGGCCAAGGCAGCAGGAGCTTTTGGTGCACATGGGGGCTTACCCCACTTTGAGGTGAGTCGTCACATCCATATTAGACCCTAGCTGTTGCTTAGGCAAAAATGATGATTTAGAAGAAGACGGAGAGAAGAGGAGAGTTAATTTAAAAGTACTTATATTCGGCCGGGCGTGGTGGCTCATGCCTGTAATCGCAGCACTTTGGGAGACTGAGGCAGGCGGATCATGAGGTCAGGAGATGGAGACCATCCTGGCTAACACGGTGAAATCTTGTCTCTATTAAAAATACAAAAAATTAGCTGGGCGTGGTGGCGGGCGCCTGTAGTCCCAGCTACTCAGGAGGCTGAGGCAGGAGAATGGCATGAACCCAGGAGGCGGAGCCTGCAGTGAGCCGAGATCTCACCACTGCACTCCAGCCTGGGCAACAGAGCGAGACTCCATCTCAAAAAAAGAAAAAAAAAAGAGAAAGTACTTATATTCATTCCCTAGGGATGCCACAACCAAGTACCAAAAGCTGGGTGACTTGAAACCAGAGAAATTGATTGTCTTGTGGCTCTGGTAGCCAGCAGTCTGAAACGGAGGTGCCAGCAGGGCCATGCTCCCTCCTGCACTTGTCGGGGAGTCCTGCCTTGCCTCTTCGTAGCTTCCTGTGGTCTCCTGGCAGTCTTCAGTGTTTCTTGGTTTGCATACGCATCAGTCCAATCTTCCGTCCAATCCATGGCCTTCTTCCCTGTGTCTCTATGACTCGGCGTGTCCTCTCCTCTTTTATAAGGACACCAGTCATTGACTTGGGCCCTCCCTACTCCAGGACGACTTCATCCTAATCAATAGCATCTGCAATAACCCTATTTCTTTCCTTCTTTCTTTCTTTCTTTCTTTTTTTTTTTTTTTTTTTTTTGAGACGGAGTTTCACTCTTGTTGCCCAGGCTGGAGTGCAATAGCGCGATCTCAGCTCAATGCAACCTCTGTCTCCTGAGTTCAAGCAATTCTCCTGCCTCAGCCTCCTGAGTAGCTGGGATTACAGGTGTGTGCCAACACACCCAGGTAATTTTGAATTTTTAGTAGAGAAGGGGTTTCTCCATGTTGGTCAGGCTGGTCTCAAACTCCTGACCTCAGGTGATCCGCCTGCCTTGGCCTCCCAAAGTGCTGGGATTACAGGCGTGAGCCACCACGCCTGACCCGCAATAACTCTATTTCTAAATAAGGTCACATTCTGAGCTACTAGAATTCAGGATTTCAACATGTTTTGAGGAGGACTCAATTTAACCCATAAGAATACTATGTGGGCCACACGTGCTGCTTCACATCTGTTATCCCAGCACTTTGGGAGGTTGAAGCAGGAGGATCATTGCTCAGGGCGTAGGGGGGCACCAGGTGCATAAAACCACAGCGTTGACTGGTGTGGGGGCTCACACCTGTATGTTTGGGAAGCTAAGGCAGGGCGATCACTTGAGCCCAGGAGTTTGAGGCCAGCCTGGGTGACATAGTGAGATCTCACTTCTAAAAAAAAAAAAAAAATTTAATTAACTGGGCATGTTGGTACCCACCTACAGTCCCAGCTACTCAGGAGGCTGAAGCAGGAGGGTCGCTTGAGTCCAGAAGATCAAGTCTGTGGCGAGAAGTGATTGCACCACTGCACTCCAGCCTGGACAACAGAGCAAGCCCTGTCTCAACCAAAAAAAAAAAAAAAAAAAAAAAAATCTCCCTTGTCTTCTGATTCCCTGAGCTGTCATAGAAAGGAAGTGAAGCAGTGAAAGCATCCCCCCAAAAAGGACTTTTCAAAACCAGCCTAAGCAACATAGCAAGACCTTGCCTTTAGAAACTATTTAAATTTGAAGGAAAAAAAAAAAAAGCAGTACTATGGCACAGAGTTGACAGCTACAGGTGTGGCTACATCCAGGTCCTAAAACTAAATCATCAGAATGACCCCTCACCCTCCCCCCGCTTTCCATTTTACTTTCTTAAGAATGAACATGAAATTTCCAAGATTGTTTCTCCTTTGGCTAATCTGCTTCTCAGACCCAATCACTGTGGCCAGGGTGGTGGAAGGATACTGACATCCAGGCTGGGACCACATGCCCCAGCTCCAGATCAGGGTGGGGAATGGCCAGTCGCACACATGTCGTGGGGGACTAGTGACTCCTCGGTGGAAAATCGGGGACTGTCATTGGAGAGGAGCGATAGAAGAAAGGCTGAAGCAGTGCATTGTATCTCCTGCACCAGCCTGGGCCTCAATGTCTTGAGTACTGATGACCCAGTACTCAGTCTAGGGCAATCCCAACTCCATCTGCGGGGCTGCCCACAGTACATGGACCCCCTCACTGGATTTGCTGACCACACGTGCAAACAGCCACTTCCCAGCCCCACTCCACGCAGTCCCCCTGAACCCTGTCAAAATTCCCCTCAGTTCTCACCAAGACTAAAAGCAATTCTGAGGGTGAGCGGCTCATTCTGCTAGTTTAACTCTCTCGATTCCTTCCCTCTCCAGAACTCTGTACTTACTGCTCCGTCACTGGAAATGACAATGAACATCTTCACAATCTCAGGTTTTATTGCAAAGTGATTGAGGACCAGTTAGAATAAGTTATGCTACAGAAACTAAAGAAATCCCGTCAAACAAATGGTATGTAATAGAAAGTCTTAGGGCAGCCGTGTATATTTTCTCCCCCAATGAATCAATTGAAAATGAGAAGCTGTTACCGCCATGTTCCGGGCAGAAGCTATCAAAAGTATAAGCCATGATATTATAATTTGATGATTTTTCATCCGTCAAATGGATATGGCCCAGGGGTGAAAAGTGGATGCTCCGTAACTAGATGATGGTCAAGAGTTATAAAAATGAGGTCCTCTCTGTTCAACATTTCTCCTTTCTTGAAAGGATACTCAATGTCATGCTCAGGGCCTCTAATGGCCAGAAATAAATTTCCTCCCAGTTCCAGAGCACCCCAGGGCAACCCCAAAACCAGAGCAACTGCTTATTGCCATGTAGACTATGTACTATGCAATTCCTGGGGTGGCATTTTCATAAATATGTGGGTGGCGCCCCCTGGAGGTATGCAATGCACAACTTGCACAAATGGTAAGTCATCGTATCCCAAGGTCCACAAAGAAGAGGTAAACAAAATTCCCATCGATGTTGCCATCAGTCATGAGTCTGCCTTTTCTTCATGGGACAGTAGCAAAAACAATTTGGCCAAGTGTGCTTGGATGATCTCTAAGATGGAATCAGGGTCTCTCACTTTCAGCACTATTGACCTTTGGGGCTGGATCATTATTTTGTCTTAGTGGGATTTGTCCAGGGAATTGTAGGATGTTTAGCAGCATCACTGGCCTCTACCCATTAGCTGCCAGTAGCACCACCTCCTCCAGCTGCAACAACCAAAATTGTCTCCAGACATGGTCACATGTTCTCTGGGGGGCAAAATCACCCCCTGGTTGAGAAGTCCTGAAGTAAAGACATAATACGCAAATCACATGTAAGTAAGAGAGCCTAAGGGCCACACAGGTGATGCTGTATCCATGACAAAGACAGAGACTTAAAGAGATTAGAGAGGTGGAGAAAGATAAAAGAAATGAAGTCCCAGCTGCCGAGAGCAACAGATGCTGACTAGATGTTGTTGATAGTCATCTTTAAACTGAGTTAAAAGATGCTGAGAAGCAATCAGCTGCCATCCTGCCCTCCAGGGACAACGCTGCTGAAAAAGGCCTGGAGAGCAACAAAGCCCCAAACGCAGGTGCACTGAGTAAAGAAACCAGAGATTGAGACAAAAAAGACATTCCCTCAAAGACTACTCATTTCCAAGAGGGGAGAAAAAGTGGAGTCATGAAAAACAGTTGAGGCTGGGTAGAGTGACTCGCACCTGTAATCCCAGCACTTTGGGATTACTCCCGGGCTGAGATGGGAAGATTGCTTGAACTCAGGAGTTTAAGACCAGCCTGGGCAAGATAGCAAGACCTTGCCTCTAGAAAAAGGGAAAAAATTAGCCAGGTGTGGTGATACATGCCTGTGGTCTCAGCTACTTGGGAGGCTGGGGTGGGAGGATCGCTTGAACCCAGGAGGTAGAAGCTGCAGTGAGCAGGGATCGTACCACTGCACTCCAGCCTGGGCTACAGATCCTGTCTCAAAAAAGAAAAAAATTAAACAAAATTAAGGCTGGGCACGATGGCTCATTCCTGTAATCCCAGCACTTTGGGAGGCCAAGGTGGGCAGATCACGAGGTGAGGAGATTGAGACCATCCTGGCTAACACGGTGAAACCCCATCTCTACTAAAAATACAAACAAGTAGCCGGACATGGTGCTGGGTACCTATAGTCCCAGCTACTCTGGAGGCTGAAGCAGAAGAATGGAGTGACCTCGGGAGGTGGAGCTTGCAGTGAGCCAAGATCACACCACTACACTCCAGCCTGGGCAAAAGAGCAAGAACCCATCTCAAAAAAAAAAGAAAATTAAAAATTTTTTTGAGACCAAGTCTCACTCTGTCACCCAGGCTGGAGTGAAATGGTGCGATCTTGGCTCACTGCAACCTCCGCCTCCTGGGTTCAAGTGATTCTCATGTCTCAACCTTGTGCCTCAACATGACTACAGGCATGTTGTCACCATGCCTAATTTTTGCATTTTTAGTAGAGATGGGGTTTCACCATGTTGTCCAGGATGGTCTTTAACTCCTAGGTTCAAGCAGTCTACCCACCTCAGCCTCCCAAAATGCTGAGATTACAGGCATGAGCCACCGTGCCCGACCTCTAACTTTTCATTATGGAAATTTCCCATATACACAAAAAGCAGGGAGAGAATTATACCATGAACCCCCATGCACCCATCATCCCACTGGAAGAACTTGTCAACATTTCTCCAATCTCATTCCAGTTCCCACTTTTCTTTTCCTTCTTGCTATTTTAGGACATTTTAAAGCAAATTCCAGACATTTCATTTCACCCATATCCATAACACACCAGGGTGCATTCTTGATGTAAGGATTTTGTTTTGTTTTATAACACCCATGACATTGCCACAGTTAATAGATTTAACATGAAGAAACTAAGATTCTTGCAGGTGGAGAAAAGATCTAATTACCACCTTAAAGCCTCTCCTACTAGAGCTTCTCAGAGCTGAACATGTATGCAAATCACCTGGGCATCTTGTTAAAATGCAGATTCTGGCCCAGGAGGTCCTTCCGGGTGAGCCCTGAGAGTCTTCAATTCCAAAAGCTCCCAGGTGATGCAATGCTAAGGGTCCATGAATCACAAAAGAGGAAGGGTCGGTCAAACACCCACAACAACTGGGTGCAAAGTCCTGACTGTTCCTGACTGCAGGGCCTTCAGTGAACGGGGAAGCTGGGGACCATTTGGGAAAGAAGGGAGGTTTTTCGTATCAGCTCCAGGCCTTGTAGAACTGCCAGGGAATAACAGACACAAGGTCAGCAAAGTCTAACCAACAGCACGAGTGCATTCATATTCCACAACCACTGCAGCAAAGAACCATGAAATGGGTGGCTTCAAACAATGTCTGGGCCGGGTGCCATGGCTCACACCTAAATAATCTTAGGACTTTGGAAAGCTGAGGTGGGTGGATCACTTGAGGCCAGGAATTCGAGACCAGCCTGGCCAATATGGCAAAACCTCGTCTCTACTAAAAATACAAAAATTAGCCATGCATGGTGGCAGGCACCGGTAGTCCCCACTTCTTGGGAGGCTGAAGCAAGAGAATGGCTTGAGCCTGGGAGGTGGAGGTTGCAGTGAACTGAGATCGTGCCACTGCACTCCAGACTGGGCAACAGAGCAAGCCTCTGTCTAAAAAAAAAAAAAAAAAAAAAAAAAAAGATTATCTGGAGGCCAGAAGTCCAAAATTGATCAAAGGTCAGCAGGAGCATGCTCCTTTCAGAGGTTCTAGGAGAGAATCCATTCCTTGCGTCTTCCAGCTTATAGAGGCTACTAGAATTCCTCAACTTGTGGCTGCATGATCCAATCTCTGCCTCTGTGATCACCTTGCCTCTTTCTCTTCTCCTCTTCTGTCTGGGTCTCCTCCTCTGGAGGAAGAGTGTCAGGCCTCTGAGCCCAACCTAAGCCATCATATCCCCTGTGACCTGCATGTACACATCCAGATGGCCGGTTCCTGCCTTAACTGATGACATTATCTTGTGAAATTCCTTCTCCTTGCTCATCCTGGCTCAAAAGCTCCCCTACTGAGCACCTTGTGACCCCCACTCCTGTCTGCCAGAGAACAACCCCCTTTTTTCGTTTACCTACCCAAATCCTATAAAATGGCCCCACCCCATCTCCCTTCACTGACTCTCTTTTTGGACTCAGCCCACCTGAACCCAGGTGAAATAAACAGCTTTATTGCTCACACAAAGCCTGTTTGGTGGTCTCTTCACACGGATGCATGTGAAATTTGGTGCCATGACTCGGATTGGGGGACCTCCCTTGGGAGATCAATCCCTTGTCCTCCTGCTCTTTGCTCTGTGAGAAAGATCCACCTACGACCTCAGGTCCTCAGACTGACCAGCCCAAGAAACATCTCACCAATTTCAAATCTGGGAAGCAGCTTCTTTTTACTCTCTTCTCCAACCTCCCTCACTATCCTTCAACCTCTTTCTCCTTTCAATCTTTGCACCACACTTCAATCTCTCCCTTCTCTTAATTTCAATTCCTTTCATTTTCCAGTAGAGACCAAGGAGACACATTTTATCTGTGGACCCAAAACTCCGGTGCCGGTCATGGACTAGGGAAGGCAGCCTTCCCTTGGCGTTTAATCATTGCAGGGACGCCTCTCTGATTATTCACCCAGGTTTCAGAGGTGTCAGACCACGCAGGGACACCTGCCTTGGTCCTTCACCCTTAGCAGCAAGTCCCGCTTTTCTTGGGGAGAAGCAAGAACCCCTCAACCCCTTCTCCTTCACCCTTAGCAGCAAGTCCCACTTTTCTGGGGGAGGCACAGGAACCCCGCCCTCTTATCTCTGCACCCTGATCCCTTATTTCCATGCCCCGCCCTCTTATCTCTGTGCCCTGATCCCTTATTTCCACAACCTGACCTCCTATCTCTGCACCCCAACCCTGTATTTCTGTGCCCCAACCCATTTCCTGCTTTTCTGGAAGGCAAGACCACCCCACCCCTTCTCTTTGTGTCTCTACTCTCTCTTTTCTCTAGGCTTGCCTCCTTCACTATGGGCAAGCTTCCACCCTCCATTCCCCTTTCTTCTCCATTAGCCTGTGTTCTTCAAAACCTAAAACCTCTTCAACTCACACCTGACCTAAAACCTAAATGCCTTATTTTCTTCTACAATGCCTCTTGACCCCAATACAAACTCAACAGTGGTTCCAAATAGCCAGAAAATGGCACTTTCAATTTTTCCATCCTACAAGATCTAGATAATTCTTGTCATAAATGGGCAAATGGTCTGAGGTGCCTGACGTCCAGGCATTCTTTTACACATTGGTCCCTCCCTAGTCTCTGTTCCCAATGCAACTCATCCCAAATCTTCTTTCTTTCCCTCCCACCTGTCCCCTCAGTCCCAACCCCAAGTGTCGCTGAGTCTTTCTAATCTTCCTTTTCTACAGACTCATCTGACCTCTCCCCTCCTTGCCAGGCTGAGCTAGGTCCCAATTCTTCCTCAGCCTCTGCTCCTCCATCCTATAATCCTTTTATCACCTCCCCTTCTTACACTGGGTCCGGCTTACAGTTTCATTCCATGACTAGCCCTCCCCAACCTGCCCAGCAATTTACTCTTAAAAAGGTGGCTGGAGCTAAAGGCATAGTCAAGGTTAATGTTCCTTTTCCTTTATCCCAAATCAAATAATGTTTAGGCTCTTTTTCATCAAATATAAAAATCCACCCCAGTTCATGGCTCGTTTGGCAGCAACCCTGAGATGCTTTACAGCCCTAGACCCTAAAATGTCAAAAGGCCGTCTTATTCTCAATATACATTTTATTACCCAATCTGCTCCTGACATTAAATAAAACTCCAAAAATTAAATTCCGGCCCTCAAACCCCACAACAGGACTTAATTAACCTCGCCTTCAAGGTGTACAATAATAGAGTAGAGGCAGCCAAGTAGCAACATATTTCTCAGTTGCAATTCCTTGCCTCCACTGCGAGACAAACCCCAGCCACATCTCCAGCACCCAAGAGCTTCCAAACGCCTAAAGCGCAGTGGCCAGGCATTCCTCCAGAACCGCCTCTCCCAGGAGCTTGCTACAAGTGACAGAAATCTGGCCACCAGGCCAAGGAATGCCTGCAGCCCGGGATTCCTCCTGAGCCATGTCCCATCTGTGTGGGACCCCACTAGAAATCGGACTGTTCAACTCACCTGGCAGCCACTCCCAGAGCCCCTGGAACTCCAGCCCAAGGCTCTCTGACTGACTCCTTCCCAGATCTTCTTGGCTTAGCAGCTGCAGACCGACAGTGCCCGATCGATCACCTCGGAAGCCTACAGGACCATCACAGACGCTCTACGTTACTCTCACAGTGGAACGTAAGTCCATCCCCTTCTTAATCAATACAGAGGCTACCCACTCCACATTACCTTCTTTTCAAGGGCCTGTTTGCCTTGCCTCTATAACTGTTGTGGGTATTGACAGTCAGGCTTCTAAACCTCTTAAAACTCCCCAACTCTGGTGCCAACTTAGACAATACTCTTTTAAGCACTCCTTTTTAGTTATCCCCACCTGCCCAGTTCCCTTATTAGGCCGAGACACTTCAACTAAATTATCTGCTTCCCTGACTGTTCCCGGACTACAGATACATCTCATTGCCACCCAACTTAACCCACAAGTAGAAGATACCTCTACTCTCTCCTTGACGACCTATCATGCACCCCTTACCATCTCATTAAAACCTAATCATCCTTACCCCGCTCAATGCCAATATCTCATCCCACAGCATGCTTTGAAAGGATTAAAGCCTGTTATCACCCACCTGCTACAGCATGGCCTTTTAAAGCCTATAAACTCTCCTTACAAGTCCCCCATCTTACCTGTCCTAAAACCAGACAAGCCTTACAAGTTAGTTCAGGATCCATGACTTATCAATCAAATTGTTTTGCCTATCCACCCCAAGGTGCCAAACACATATACTCTCCTATCCTCAATTCCTCCCTCCACAACCCATTATTCTGTTCTGGATCTCAAACATGCTTTCTTTACTATTCCTTTGCACCCTTCATCCCAGCCACTCTTTGCTTTCACGTGGACTGACCCTGACACCCATCAGGCTCAGCAAATTACCTGGGCTGTACTGCTGCAAAGCTTCACAGACAGCCCCTATTACTTCAGCCAAGCCCAAATTTCTTCCTTATCTGTTACCTGTCTCCACATAATTCTCATAAAAACACACGTGCTCTCCCTGCCAATCGTGTGTGACTAATCTCTCAAACCCCAACCCCTTCTACAAAACAACAACTCCTTTCCTTCCTGGGCATGGTTGGATACTTTCATCTTTAGATATCTGGTTTTGCCATCCTAACAAAACCATTATATAAACTCACAAAAGGAAACCTAGCTGACCCCATAGATCCTAAATCCTTTCCCCACTCCTCTTTCTGTTCCTTGAAGACAGCTTTAAAGACTGCCCCCACCCTAGTCTTGGTTCCCTGACCGGGAAGCAAGGTAATTGACGGAAAGTCGAGGCAGCCCTTTAGGTGGCTTAGGCCTGCCCTGTGGAGCATCCCTGAGGGGGACTCCGGCCAGCTTGAGCGACGCTGATCCTGAGAGCTCTCCCGGGTAGGCAATTGCCCCGGAGGAATGCCTCGTCAGAGCAGTGTGTGGTTGGCCCCCATGGAGGATCAACACAGTGGCTGAACACAGGGAAGGAAGAGGCACTTGGAGTCCGGACATTTGAATCTTGGTAAGACTGGTCTTTGGAACTTGCCCACTCCATTTGAGTGGAAGCGTGTCCTGATCGCCCACGGCGTGCCTGTACTGGCACTTTGGTTTTTGTTTTTGACTTGACTTGAATTGCTTGATACTTTGGTTTTGGTTTGACCTGGCTTGGATTTCTGGATACTCTGATTTTGGTTTTGATTCTGGTTTGGTGAAAACTGAAAAAGTGTGTGTGTGCCCTTTTTACCCATTCTTTGTTCTGTGGTGTGCGTGTGGTGTGAGCTTGGTGTTTTGTCTCGAGGAAACGTGGGTCAGATACAAAGTAAGCCTACTCCGCTAGGAACTATGTTGAAAAATTTTAAGAAAGGATTTAATGGAGACTTTGGGGAACTTAGAACTTTGTGTGAAATAGATTGGCCAACATTAGAAGTAGGGTGGCCATCAGAAGGAAGCCTGGACAGGTCCCTTGTTTCTAAGGTATGGCACAAGGTAACTGGTAAGTCAGGACACTCAGACCAGTTTCCAAACATAGACACTTGGTTACAGCTGATGCTAAACCCCCCACTGTGGCTAAGAGGGCAGACAGCAGCAGTGCTAGTAGCAAAGTGACAGATAGCCAAGGAAGGATCCCGCTCCACCCGCTGAGGGAAATGAACTCCTGAAGTTCTGTTCGACCCAACATCAGAAGATCCATTGCAGGAGATGGCACCAGTGATCCCAGTGGTGCCCTCTCCTTACCAGGGAGGCAGGCTCCCCACTTTTGAGTCCACAGTGCTTGCGCCTCCACAAGACAAACATATCCCTAGGCCACCCAGAGTAGACAAGAGAGGAGGTGAGGACTAGGGAGAAACCCCTCCCTTGGCAGCTCGTTTAAGACCCAAAACGGGGACAGAAATGCCCCTGAGAGAGCAGCGGTATACTGGGATAGATGAGGATGGTCACGTGGTGGGGAGGCGTGTTTTTGGGTACCGGCCCTTCACCTCTGCCCACTTTCTCAACTGGAAAAGCAATACCCCGTCCTGTACCGAAAAGCCACAAGCTCTGATTGATTTGCTCCAAACTATTATCCAGACCCATAACCCCACCTGGGCTGATTGCCACCGGTTGTTCATATTCCTCTTTAACACAGATGAAAGGCGGAGAGTGCTCCAAGCAGCAACTAAGTGGCTAGAGGAACATGCACCAGCTGATTACCAAAACCCCCAAGAGTATGTAAGGACCCAGTTACCAGGAACGACCCCCAGTGGGACCCACATGAAAGAGAGGATATGCAAAGGCTAAACAGAGACAGGGAATCTCTCTTGGAAGGATTAAAGAGGGGAGCCCAGAAGGCCACAAATGTTAACAAAGTCTCTGAGGTCATTCAGAGAAAAGAAGAAAGTCCAGCACAATTGTAGGAGAGACTGTGTGAGGCCTATGGTATGTATACTCCCTTTGATCCCAGTAGCCCTGAAAATCAAGGCATGATTAACATGGCTTTAGTTAGTCAAAGCGCAGAAGACATTAGAAGAAAACTGCAGAAACAGGCTGAGTTTGCAGGGATGAACACATCATAGTTATTAGAAATAGCTAACCAGGCGTTTGTAAACAGGGATGAAGTAAGCCGTAAGGAAAACCACAGAGACAATGAACGTCAGGCCCAGCGAAACACCGACCTGTTAGCGGCAGCAATCAGAGGGGTCCCCCCAAAGAGGCAAGGGAAGGGGGGCCCCGGGAAGGAAACTCAGCCTGGCTGTCAGAGCTTGCAGCGTAATCAGTGTGCTTATTGTAAAGAAATAGGACATTGGAAAAACAAATGCCCTCAGCTAAAAAGAAAACCAGGTGACACAGAGCAGGAGGCCCCGGACAAGGATGAAGGGGCCCTGCTCAACCTGGCAGAAGGGTTATTGGACTGAGGGGGACTGGGCTCAAGGACCCCCAAAGAGCCTATGGTCAGGATGACAGTTAGGAGTAAAGATATTGATTTTCTTGTAGATACCGGTGCTAAACATTCGGTAGTAACCGCCCCGGTCACCCCCTTATCCAAAAAGATTATTGACATCATCGGAGCCACAGGAGTTTCAGCAAAGCAAGCTTTCTGCTTGCCTCGGACTTGTGCTGTAGGAAGACATAAAGTGATTCATCAGTTTTTGTACACACCTGACTGTCCCTTGCGCTTGTTGGGAAGGGACTTGCTTAGCAAACTGAGAGCCACTATCTCTTTTACAGAGCACGGCTCTTTGCTGCTAAAGTCACCCAGAACGGGAGTCATTGTGACCCTTACGGTCCCCCGAGAGGAAGAATGGAGACTTTTCTTAACTGTGTGGGGCCAAGAGATAAGACCAGCTCTGGCTAAGCGGTGCCAAGAGTGTGGGCGGAAGACAACCCTCCAGGGTTTGCAGTCAACCAAGCCCCCGTACTTATAGAAGTTAAGCCTAGGGCCCAGCCGGTTAGGCAAAAACAGGAGCCGGTCCCCAGAGAAGCTCTTGAAGGTATCCAGGTCCATCTCAAGCACCTAAGAAGTTTTGGAATTAGAGGTCCTTGTCAGTCTCCATGGAACACTCCCCTCCTGCCTGTTCCCAAGCCTAAGACCAAGGACTACTGGCCGGTACAGGATTTGCGCTTGGTTAATCAGGCTACAGTGACTTTACATCCAGCAGTACCTAACCCGTACACATTGCTGGGGTTGCTGCCAGCTGAGGACAGCTGCTTCACCTTCTTGGACCTGAAAGATGCTTTCTTTAGCATCAGATTATCCCGAGAGCCAGAAGCTGTTTGCTTTCAGTGGGCAGATCCAGAGTCAGGTGTCACTACTCAGTACACTTGGACCGGGCTTCCCCAAGGGTTCAAGAACTCCCCCACCATCTTCGGGGAGGCATTGCCTCAAGACCTCCAGAAGTTTCCCACCAGAGACCTAGACTGCGTGTTGCTCCAGTACGTTGATGATCTTTTGCTGGGACACCCCATGGCAGTCGGGTGCACCAAAGGAACAGATGCTCTACTCCGGCACCTGGAGGACTGTGGGTATAAGATGTCCAAGAAAAAAGCTTAGATCTGCCGACAGCAGGTACATTACTTAGGATTTACTATCCGAAAGTGGGAGACAGCCTAGGATCAGAAAGAAACAGGTCATTTGAAATCTACTGGAGCCTAAGACCAGAAGGCAGGTGAGAGAATTCTTATGGGCTGTGGGGTTTTGAAGACTGTAGATCCCAAAATTTGCAGTATAAGCCAAGCCTTTGTATGAGGTCACAAAGGGAGGGGGAACGGGAACGTTTTGAATGGGGATTCCAGCAACAGCAAGGCTTTCATGAGTTAAAGGAAAAACTTATGTCAGCCCCAGCCCTGGAGCTACCCGATCTAACAAAGCCTTTTCCATTGTATGTGTCAGAGAGAGAAAAGATGGCAGTTGGAGTTTTAACCCAAACTGTGGGGCCCTGGCCGAGGCCGGTGGCCTACCTCTCTAAACAACTAGACGGGGTTTCTAAAGGACGGCCCCGTGTTTGAGGGCCTTGGCAGCAACTGCCCTGCTAGTACAAGAAGCAGATAAGCTGACTCTTGGACAGAACCTGAACATAAAGGCCTCCCGTGCTGTGGTGATTTTAATGAATACTAAAGGACATCATTGGCTAATGAATGCTAGACTCACTAAGTAATAAAGTTTGCTCTGTGAAAATCCCCGTATAACCATTGAAGTTTGTAACACCCTGAACCCCACTACCTTGCTCCCAGTATCAGAGAGCCCTGTCGAGCATGACTGTGTAGAAGTGTTGGACTCAGTTTACTCTAGCAGACCTAACCTCCAGGACCAGCCTTAGGCATCAGTAGACTAGGAACTATACGTGGCTGGGAGCATCTTCATCAACCCACAAGGAGAGAGATGTGCAAGATATGCGGTGGTAACTCTGGACACTGTTGCTGAAGCCAGATCGTTTCCCCAGGGCACTTCAGCTCAGAAAGCTGAACTCGTTGCTTTAATTCGGGCCTTAGAACTCAGTGAAGCTAAGAATGTCAACATTTACACTGACTCTCAATATGCCTTTTCAACCCTTCAGGTGCGTGGAGCATTATATAAAGAAAAGAGCCTATTGAACTCTGGGGGAAAAGACATAAAATATCTACAAGAAATCTTGTAATTATTAAAAGCCGTATGGAGACCCCGCAAGGTGGCAGTTATGCATTGCAGAGGACACCAGCGAGCTTCCACCTTGGTGGGTTTAGGGAATTCCCGCGCTGACTTAGAGGCTCGAAAAGCAACATCTGCCCCCTTCCGGGCATCAGTCACAGCCCCCATGCTCCCTCAAGCACCTGATCTTGTACCTACTTATTCTAAAGAAGAAAAGGACTTTCTCCAGGCAGAGAGAGGACAAGTGATGGAGGAAGGATGAATTCGGTAACCGGATGGGAGAGTAGCTGTGCCACAGCTGCTAAGAGCTGCAGTTGTACTGGCTGTTCATGAAACCACCCATCTAGGTCAGGAATCACTTGAAAAGTTGTTAGGCTGGTATTTCTACATCTCGCATTTGTCAGCTCTTGCCAAAACGGTGACGCAGTGGTGTGTTACCTGCCGACAGCATAAAGCGAGGCAAGGTCCAGCCGTTCCGCCCGGCATACAAGCTTATGGAGCAGCCCCCTTTGAAGATCTCCAGGTGGACTTCACAGAGATGTCAAAGTGTAGAGGTAACAAGTATTTACTAGTTCTTGGGCGTACCTACTCTGGGTAGGTGGAGGCTTATCCAACACTAACTGAGAAAGCTCGTGAAGTAACTCGTGTGCTTCTTCGAGATCTTATTCCTAGATTTGGACTGCCCTTACGGATCGGCTCAGATAACAGGCCGGCATTTGTGGCTGACTTAGTACAGAAGGCGGCAAAGATATTAGGGATCACATGGAATCTGCATGCTGCCTACTGGCCTCAGAGTTCCGGAAAGGTGGAGCAAATTAATCAAACTATCAAAAATAGTTTAGGGAAAGTATGTCAGGAAACAGGATTAAAATGGCTACAGGCTCTCCCTATGGTATTATTTAAAATTAGATGTACCACTTCTAAAAGAACAGGATATTCCCCTTATGAAATATTATATCATAGGCCCCCTCCTATATTGCGGGGACTTCCAGGCACTCCCTGAGAGTTAGGTGAAATTGAGTTACAGCGACAGCTACAGGCCTTAGGAAAAATTACACAAACAATCTCAGCCTGGGTAAATGAGAGATGCCCTGTTAGCTTATTCTCCCCAGTTCACCCTTTCTCCCCAGGTGATCGAGTGTGGATCAAGAACTGGAACGTAGCCTCTTTGTGTCCACTGTGGAAAGGACCCCAGACTGTCGTTCTGAGCACTCCCACCGCTGTGAAGGTAGAAGGAATCCCAGCCTGGATCCACCACAGCCATGTAAAACCTGCAGCGCCTGAAACCTGGGAGGCAAGACCAAGCCCAGACAACCCCTGCAGAGTGACCCTGAAGAAGACGACAAGCCCTGCTCCAGTCACACCCGGAAGCTGACTGGTCCACGCACGGCCGAAGCCTGAGGAAGCTCATCATGAGATTCATTTTTCTTAAATTTTGGACTTATACAGTAAGGGCTTCAACTGATCTTACTCAAACTGGGGACTGTTCCCAGTGTACTCATCAGGTCACCGAAGTAGGACAGCAAATTAAAACAATCTTTCTGTTCTATAGTTATTATGAATGTATGGAAACAATAAAAGAAACTTGTTTGTATAATGCCACTCAGTACAAGGTATGTAGCCCGAGAAATGACCGACCTGATGTGTGTTATAACCCATCTGAGCCCCCTGCACCACCGTTTTTGAAATAAGAATAAGAACTGGCCTTTTCCTAGGTGATACAAGTAAAATAATAACTAGAACAGAAGAAAAAGAAATCCCCAAGCAAATAACTTTAAGATTTGATGCTTGTGCAGCCATTAATAGTAAAAAGCTAGAAATAGGATGTGGTTCTCTTAACTGAGAAAGGAGCTAAAGAGTAGAAAATAAATATGTTTGTCATGAGTCAGGGGTTTGTAAAAATTGTGCCTATTGGCCATGTGTTATTTCGGCTACTTAAAAAAAGAACAAAAAGGACCCGGTTTATCTTCAGAAGGGGGAAGCCAACCCCTCCTGTGCTGCCGGTCACTGTAACCCACTAGAACTAATAATTACCAATCCCCTAGGTCACCGTTGGAAAAAGGGAGAACGTGTAACCCTGGGGATCAATAGGACAGGGTTAAACCCTCAAGTTGCCATTTTAATTAGAGGGGAGGTCCACAAGTGCTCTCCCAAACCAGTATTTCAAACCTTTTATGAGGAGCTGAATCTGCCAGCAGCAGAACTTCTGAAAAAGACAAAAAATTTGTTTCTCCAATTAGCAGAAAATGTAATTTTCTTACTTAATGTTACTTCTTGTTATGTACGTGGAGGAACCACTATCGGAGACAGATGGCCTTGGGAAGCCCGAGAGTTGGTGCCTACTGATCCAGCTCCTGATATAATTCCAGTTCAGAAGGCCGAAGCTAGCAACCTCTAGGTCCTAAAAACCCCAATTATTAGACAATACTGTAGAGCTAGAGAAGGGAAAGACTTTATCATCCCTGTAGGAAAGCTTAATTGTATAGGACAGAGGTTGTATAACAGCACAACAAAGACAATTACTTAGTAGGGCCTAAACCACACTGAAAAGAATCCATTTAATAAATTTTCTAAATTAAAAACTGCTTAGGCTCATCCAGAATCTCATCAGGACTGGACGGTTCCCGCTGGACTATACTAGATATGTAGGCACAGAGCCTACATTCGGTTACCTAATAAATGGGCAGACAGTTGTGTTGTTGGCACTATTAAGCCATCCTTTTTCTTATTACCCATAAAAATGGGTGAGCTCCTAGGTTTCCCTGTCTACGCCTCCCGAGAAAAGAAAGGCATAGTTATAGGAAACTGGAAAGATAATGAGTGGCCCCCTGAAAGGATCATTCAGTATTATGGGCCTGCCACATGGGCACAAGACGGCTCATGGGGATACTGAACCCCCATCTACATGCTCAATTGGATCATGCAGTTGCAGGCCATCTTAGAAATAATTACTAATGAAACTGGCAGAGCTTTGACTGTTTTAGCTTGGCAAGAAACCCAAATGAGGAATGCTATCTATCAGAATAGACTGGTCTTAGACTACTTGCTAGTAGCTGAAGGAGGAGTTTGTGGAAAATTTAACTTAACCAATTGCTGCCTACACATAAATGATCAAGGACAGGTGGTTAAAAACATAGTCAGGGACATGACAAAGGTGGCACATGTGCCTGTACAGGTTTGGCACGAGATTAATCCTGAGTCTTTATTTGAAAAATGGTTTCCAGCTATAGGAGGATTTAAAACCCTCATTGTAGGTGTATTGCTAGTGATAGGAACTTGCTTGCTGCTCCCCTGTGTATTACCCTTGTTTTTTCAAATGATAAGAGGTTTTGTAGCTACTTTGGTTCATCAGAAAACTTCAACACACGTGTGTTATATAAATCAGTATCGCTCTATCTCACAAATAGACTCAAAAAGTAAAGATGAGAGTGAGAACTCCCACTAAAAAGTGAAAATGCTCAAAGGGGGGAAATATGGTATGAGACCACCACTTCTCCTGTTGTCCTTCCCAGTTTCTCCCCAACCTCCCCTTTTCCCTAGTTTGTAAGACAGCAAAAAAGGGAGAAAGCAAAAAGTTGGAAAAAACAGAAGTAAAATAAATAGCTAGACGACCTTGGCGCCACCACCTGGCCCTGGTGGTTAAAATAACAATAATATTAACCCCTGACCAAAACTACCTGTGTTATCTGTAAATTCCAGACACTGTATGAGAAAGCACTGTAAAAACTTTTTGTTCTGTTAGCTGATGTTTGTAGCCCCCAGTCACGTTCCTCACGCTCACTTGATCTATTATGACTTTTTCACGTAGACCCCTTAGAGTTGTCAGCCCTTAAAAGAGCTAGGAATTTCTTTTTCAGGGAGCTCGGCTCTTAAGACACAGTCTGCCGACGCTCCCGGCTGAATAAAAAAACCTCTTCCTTCTTTAATCCGGTGTCTGAGGAGTTTTGTCTGCAACTCGTCCTGCTACACTAGCTCTCCGTGACTCATCCCAACCCTTTTCATTACACACAGCCAAAGTGCAGCGCTGTGCAGTTGAAATTCTTACACAAGAACAAGGATCTCATCCTGTAGCCTTTTTGTCCAAACAACTTGACCTTATCGTTTTAGGTTGGCTGTTATGTCTCTGTGCAGCAGCTGCTGCCACCCTAATACTTTTAAAGGCCCTTAAAATCACAAACTATGCTCAACTCACTCTCTACAGCTCTCATAATTTCCAAAATGTATTTTCCTCCTCACACCTGCCACATATACATTCTGCTCCCCGGCTCCTTCTGCTGTACTGTTTGTTGAGTCTCCCACAATTACCATTGTTCCTGGCCCGGACTTCAATCCGGCCTCCCACATTATTCCTGATACCACACCTGACCCTCATGACTGCATCTCTCTGATCCACCTGACATTCACCCCATTTCCCCACATTTCCTTCTTCCCTGTTTCTCACCCTGACCACACTTAGTTTATTGATGGCAGTTCCACCAGGCCTAATTGCCACACACCAGCAAAAGCAGGCTATGCTATAGTACAAGCCACTAGCCTGCCTCTTAGAACCTCTCATTTCCTTTCCATCGTGGAAATCTATCCTCAAGGAAATAACTTCTCAGTGTTCCATCTGCTATTCTACTAATCCTCAGGGATTCTTCAGGCCCCCTCCCTTACCTACACATCAAGCTCAGGGATTTGCCCCCACCCAGGACTGGCAAATTAGCTTTAATCAACGTGCCCCGAGTCAGGAAACTAAAATAACTCTTTGTCTAGGTAGACACTTTCACTGGATAGGTAGAGGCATTTCCCACAGGGTCTAAGAAGACCACCACGGTCATTTCTTCCCTTCTATCAGACATAATTCCTCAGTTTGGCCCTCCCACCTCTATAGAGTCTGATAGCAGACCGGCCTTTATTAATCAAGTCAGCCAAGCATTTTTTCAGGCTCTTAGTATTCAGTGAAACCTTTATATCCCTTACAGTCCTCAGTCTTCAGGAAAGGTAGAACAGACTACTGGTCTCTTAAAAACACACCTTACCAAGATCAGCCACCAACTTAAAAAGGACTGGACAATACTTTTACCACTTTCCCTTCTCAGAATTCAGGCCTGTCCTCGGAATGCTGCAAGGTACAGCCCATTTGTTGCGGGAAGTCAGGGACCCCAAACGGAGGGACCGGCTGAAGCCATGGCAGAAGAACGTGGATTGTGAAGATTTTATGGACATTTATTAGTTCCCCAAATTAATACTTTTGTAATTTCTTGTGCCTGTCTTTACTGCAATCTCTAAACATAAATTGTAAAGATTTCATGGACACTTATCACTTCCCCAATCAATATCCTTGTGATTTCCTATGCCTGTCTTTGCTTTAATCTCTTAATCCTGTCAGCCAAGAAGGATGTATATGGCCTCAGGACCCTGTAATAATTGCGTTAACTACACAAATTGTACAGCATGTGTGTTTGTGCAATATGAAATGTGGGCACCCTGAAAAAAGAACAGGATAACAGCAATTGTTCAGGGAATAAGAGAGATAGCCTTAAACTCTGACCGCCGGTGAGCCGGGCAGAACAGAACCATATTTCTCTTCTTTCAAAAGCAAATGGGAAAAATATCGCTGAATTCCTTTTCTCAGCATGGAACGTCCCTGAGAAAGAGAATGCGCACCTAGGGGTAGATCTCTGAACTGCCCCCCGCGGGGCGTACCTGTCTCTTATGGTTGAGATTGCAGAGGTGAAATAAACTCCAGTCTCCCATAGCACTCCCAGGCTTATTAGGAAGAGGAAATTCCCGCCTAATAAACTTTGGTCAGACCGGTTGATCTCAAAACTCTGTCTCCTGATAAGATGTTATCAATGACAATGGTGCCAAATTTCATTAGCAATTTTAATTTCACTCCGGTCCTGTGGTCCTGTGATCTCACCCTGTCTCCACTTGCCTTGTGATATTCTATTACCTTGTTAAGTACTTGATGTCTGTCACGCACACCGATTCGTATACTCCCTCCCCTTTTGAAACTCCCTAATAAAAACTTGCTGGTTTTTGTGGCTTGTCGGGCATCACGGATCCTACCAATGTGTGATGTCTCCCCCGGACGCCCAGCTTTAAAAGTTCTCTCTTTTGTACTCTGTCCTTTTATTTCTCAAGCCAGTCGATGCTTAGGAAAATAGAAAAGAACCTACGTGATTATCGGGGCAGGTCTCCCGATACCCATTGGATCTCCCCTATAGATGCTCCTTTTTATTAGGCCCCAGTCTCATTCCAGACACAAGACCAACTTGGACTGTGCCCCAAAAAACTTGTCATCCCTACTATCTTCTGTCTAGTCATACTTCTATTCACCGTTCTCAACTACTCATATATGCCCTGCTCTTGTTTACACTGGTGGTTTACACTGTTTCTCCAAGCCATCACAGCTGATATGTCCTGGTGCTATCCCCAAACCACCACTCTTAACTCTTAAATAATCTTTGCTGGCAAGCCTATGCTGAACCTCCTTAGGCACTCTCTAATTAGATGTCCTAGGTCCTCCCAATTCTTAGTCCTTTAATACCTGTTTTTCTCCTTCTCTTATTCCGTTTAGTTTTTCAATTCATACAAAACTGTATCCAGGGCATCACCAATAATTGTAAATGACAAATGTTTCTTCTAACAACCCCACAATATCACCCCTTACCACAAAATCTTCTTTCAGCTTAATCTCTCCTACTCTAGGTTCCCATGCCACCCCAATCCCGCTCGAAGCAGCCCTGAGAAACATCGCCCATTATCTCTCCATACCACCCCCAAAAAATTTTCACCATCCCAATACTTTACCACTATTTCATTTTATTTTTCTTATTAATATAAGAAGACAGGAACGTCAGGCCTCTGAGCCCAAGCTAAGCCATCATATCCCCTGTGACCTGCATGTACACATCCAGATGGCCGGTTCCTGCCTTAATTGATGACATTCCACCACAAAATAAATGAAAATGGCCTGTTCCTGCCTTAACTGATGACATTATCTTGTGAAATTCCTTCTCCTTGCTCATCCTGGCTCAAAAGCTCCCCTACTGCGCACCTTGTGACTCCCACTCCTGCCAGATAACCCCCCTTTTTCCTTTACCTACCCAAATGCTACAAAATGGCCCCACCCCTATCTCCCTTCGCTGACTCTCTTTATGGACTCAGCCCACCTGCACCCAGGTGAAATAAACAGCTTTATTGCTCACAAAAAGCCTGTTTTGTGGTCTCTTCACACGGACGCACATGAAAAAGAGTGTCCTTTTTTTTTTTTGAGATGGAGTTTCACTCTTGTTGCCCAGGCTGGAGTGCAATGTCATGATCTCAGCTCACTGCCACCTCCTCCTCCTGGGTTCAAGCAACTCTCTTACCTCAGCCTCCCCAGTAGCTGGGATTGCAGGCATGTGCCACCATGCCCGGCTAATTTTGTATTTTTAATAGAGATGGGGTTTCTCCATGTTGGTCAGGCTGGTCTCAAACTCCTGACCTGAGGTGATCCACCCACCTCGTCCTCCCAAAGTGCTGGGATTACAGGCATGAGCCACTGCACCCGGACAATAGTGTCATCTTATAAGGACACTTGTTGTTAGATGTACAGCCTACCTAAAATACTCCAGGAGAATCTCAAGATCCTTAATTACATCTGCAAGACCCTTTTTCCAAATAATGCCACCTCCACAGATTCTAGGCACAACGATCTGGATATATCTTGTGCAAAGCCACCATTCAACTCACTACACTAGAAAGAGCAAAAACAACGAAGTAACAAAAGGCTCAGAAGAAAGAACAGATGCAGCTTGTGTGGCAGTGGCCATCAAGGCAGGCTGGGGTAAAACTGTGTTAACAGAACCCCCAGATGCAATTCAAGTGTGGCCGTCTACTCCCAGCTACTCACAGAGAACGTTTCTGTTTCTGACAGCAGAGTAAGAGAAGGGGTGGGAAGAGAGAGAGCCCATTCTCTGTTGGCCTAATTCTTAAGGAATTGTGCGTCTGCCTTCGGGTCATTCTCAAGTCTTGTTCAAGGATAAAATGATTTATTGATGGCCGTAATTAAAAAGCAATGCCAACAGAAGCAGCTTCAGCATTTTTCATTTGTACTTACACATGAGCAAGAGCAGTTTAGGGAAACGGGTGCCTTCAGATTCTGTTTTCTCCATCTAGAAAAGGGCTGCCTTTGTGGAATGCTGGTCCTAGGGAGAAGCCTCATTTCTATAGCAGGAATTGATACAGTTTTAAATTCCGATTGGTACACGGAGCTACCCGTCCTCATTTCAAGCACTTCTGGTTTGTTCTGGGTTCAGTGGGTGAGCAATGAGTAGAACGCTGGGGAGGAGGATTTGGAGCGAGGGTGGTTTTGATCCACAGAGGGAGCTGTTTTTCCATCAATGTCTTGACTGTGATTCAGAATGGGCTTCTCTGCTCAAGATGGGAGTACTGGGTTGATTTAAGGCAGGTGATTGACTTGATTTGGTGGCTACTTTTATACTATCTGGTTAACGAGCTATTTTCTTCATTAGTTTCAGGCATGTGAGCTTAATGAAGCATTGGAACTCCCAAATTACAAGGAAAATACAGATATAGCTTATGTGGTAGGTTCAAAGGAGTTAGTGAACAAACACAGTAGGGCCACAAATTATTGTTAAAGACATGAATGCATGAAAGTGTATCTATGTCCAAATGGACTCTCTGCAACCATACTGTTCCACCTGAAAATTAGTAGATAGAAATTCAGCAAATGCTTGGACAGGGGATACTCTCAGAAGTATTCTGACTAAATAGCATGGTTTCTTTTCATATCACTAAAGTAATTTCTTCTCAAATTGACTCTGGACTAAATCTTATGATACCTACTTTTTCCGATTGTACTTAGCCATCTGCAAATAAGGTGGGGGCAGTGGTAAGAGGAGCTGTTGAATGAAATTAAACATTTGTTGGATGCCTACTGAAGATAAACCCCTGTGCTTTGTGTCAGGGAGATTCCAGAATAAATGAGGCACAGACCTAGTCTCAGGAAGCTTTTGCAAACTAATGGAGAAAACACATCTGCAGGCAATGACTTATGGTATAAGAGGAAATGGGGCCAGGTACGGTAACTCACACCTGTAATCCCAGCACTTTGGGAGGCCGAGGTAGGTGGATCACTTGAGGTCAGGAGTTCAAGACCAGCCTGGCCAACGTGGCAAAACCCTGTCTCTACCAAAAGTACAAAAAAAAAAAAAAATGAGCCAGGCTTGATGGTGTGCACCTGCAATTCCAGCTACTTGGGAGGCTGAGGCACAAGAATCACTTAAACCTGGGAGTTGGAGACCGTAGTGAGCCGAGATCCCACCACTGCACTCCAGCCTAGAAGAGAGAGCGAGACTCTGTCAAAAAAGAAAGGAAATAAGATTGGTGTTGAATGGGAAATCTAAGCAGGATGGAATGACAGGAGAGCACCCACTTGCCCAGCTCCAATAACATTTTTGACAGCCATGAAAATATTGCAGGGACACCCATTCCTCATGGTATCTGAAGTCTCATGAAGGCTTGAGTCTGGAGGCCGGTTCAGTCTTGACTTTAAGATAGGGGGATACAAGGAATGATTTTCATCTGTCCCAAGCCAATAGTCCAGCCAAAAATCTAGGTCTGAGATGATGAGAAAAAGCGAGTCATCAACCATGTCAGCCATTTCATCATCATCATCATCATCATCATCATCATCAAAAACAAAAGACAGACCTGTAACCGTCTTGTGTGCCTGGCTCTCATCTTAGTTCAAAATATAGAAGTAAATTCTATGGCCAGCGAACAATGACCAAAATAGCTCTCATCACTCTTGTCTGCCACCATGTAAGACATTCCTTTTGCCTTCCACCATGATTTCGAGACTTCTTCAGCCACATGGAACTGTGAGCCCATTAAACCTCTTTTTCTTTATAAATTACCCAGTCTTGAGTAATAAAATAGTGGTTTGTCCACAACATCAATGAACGATGCTGTTACTTGTTCCAAACACGTATCATTTAAGAGGTTTGGATAAACAACAACCTAAAATAAATAAGCACTAAGCAAACTCAGGGCTACATAATCCCTGTGGTGAGGTAACTGACAATGGGTACAACTGGGACACTTTACTGTTAAATCACCTCTATCTACATGTGCCCAAGCAGTGAGATACTTGGTTCTAATCCTAAAAAATCATGGTGCACATTTACTCCTGCCTTCCAACTGGGCTCTAACGTCACCTCCTCAGAGAAGCCCGCTTTTCTGTGCTTCCACTCTGCTTTTTTTCAGCATTTAGTAGAGCATCAGTCACCATCCATATCTGGGAACAATGATTGTAAGAAACAGAAACCCATTTGCATGAGCTTGAGGACAAGGAGCACACCTTATCTCTAACAGGCAAACTCATGGGCACAAGAAACAAATGAGAGGCCATGAGAGAATGGAAACTGCAGTTACAGAAACCAAAATTCCTCTTTCTTGCTCTCAGAAGCCCATGGTCTCTTTTTTTTTTTTTTTTTTTTTTGAGACGCAGTCTTGCTCTGTCGCCCAGGCTGGAGTGCAGTGGTGTGATCTCAGCTCACTGCAAGCTCCACCTCCTGGGGTTCATGCCATTCTCCCACCTCAGCCTCCCAATTAGCTGGGGCTATAGGCACCTGCCACCACACCCAGCTAATTTTTGTATTTTTAGTAGAGATGGGGTTTCACCGTGTGAGCCAGGATGGTCTCGATCTCCTGACCTCGTGATCCGACCATCCTAGCCTCCCAAATTGCTGGGATTACAGGCGTGAACCACCGTGCCTGGAAGCCCATGGTCTTTCTTATCAGCCGTGTGGACTTTCTTCTCTCTTCTTCTCACTGACAACCAATTTTCCCTTTTTGCTGGTGGCCCATCATGGCAGCCAGCAGAGCCCACCCCCAGCTGATCAGTCAGTTACTGGATATCTTGGAGAGGGAGGGAGGGAGGGAGGGAGGGAGGGAGGGAGGGAGAAAGGGAGAGGGAGAGAGAGAGAATGACAATTGGGCTTCTGGTCAACCAATTGAGTATAGGGAGGGGAAGTACCATGGTACAAATATAGCGCCAAGACCTGCTTTCCAGCATGGCCAGTGAGTAGGGAAATTGAGGGAAGGTACCTGCAAACACAGCAGACATCTCAGAACATGCTCTCTGTTCTTAGTTCTCTCTCCTGCCTTCCCCTAGATTGTAAATATCACAAGACAATCTAGGATAGTACCTGGCTCAAAATATTTGAGAAAGAGAAAAAGGAAGGCATTGGATCAAACTGTGTACTTCATGGTTTCCTAAATTCACTCTGCAAGTTTTTGGGTTTTTTGTTTTTTGAGAGAGAGTCTCACTCTGCTGCCCAGGCTGGAGTGCAATGGCATAATCTTGGCTCGCTGCAACCTCCACCTCCCAGGTTCAAGCAAATCACCTGCCTCAGCCTCCTGAGTAGCTGGGATTACAGGCATGCACAGCTACACCAGTTAATTTTTGTATTTTTAGTAGAGACGGGGTTTCACCATGTTGGCCAGGCTGTTCTCGAACTCTTGACCTCGTGATCCACCCACCTCGGCTTCCCAAAGTGCTGGGATTACAGGTGTGAGCCACCACACCTGGCCGACTCTGCAAGTATTTAAGTGAATGAATGTCAGTCCCTGAAAATCAGAATTTCTTCTGATTTAACGGCATTAAATCTCCGTTAGGTTTAATCCTGGTCAGCAGCTGTGGGGTGTCCTGGGTTTGGGATCAGTGGGATGAGGAACAAGCAGGTTCTCCAAACCACCACGCAGGGAGGGGAGGTGTTAACTAGGCCAAAGATAATGGTTGGGGTACGTGCCTGGGTTTCAAACAGCTTATGCCAGGCCTAAAAACCGACGCTGAGGAAGAAATGAGGAAGAAACTATATTAAGCAAATTGATGACACAATGGAGGGGGTCAAAAAGTTTAATATTGCTAAGAAGAATACAAATAATGATCATGCAATATATTATTGTTATCACACCATCTCCTGCTACACGCCAGGTTTCCTTTACCATGAGATACAAGAGATTTGTGGATCTGACCTAACCCTCCAAATTGTAAGGTCCCTGAGAATGGGCTCATGACATTCATGTTTTATAAATGTGGCATAAAGGCTCACGCTGGCTGCCACGTGGCCCAATACCAGTTCGATGCTACATTCAAAGAACCATCATTCCAGCATGCAAGCATACTTAAAGGCAATTGAAATGTTTACCACTGTCCCTCAAGACAAACACCAAAGAAAAATTATTTTCAAAATGCATAGCAACACTTCTTAAAATCTTATTTTCCCATCTCTTTCTCTCCCTCTACCACATTCCCAGGAGTTTCCCAGGAGCAAAACTAGCATAAAGACCCAGGAGCAAAATGATTACTGACTTCACTATATCTGATTCTGATTTAGTTGGTTTAGAGTTGTGTCCGGGCATACGTATTTTTTAAAAATCTTGCTGGGCACAGTGGCACACAACTGTAGTCTCAGCTACTCAGGAGGCTGAGGCAGAAGAATCACTTGAGCCCGGGAGTTTGAGTCCAGCCTGGGCAACATAGCAAGACCCTGTCTCTGAAAAAAAAAAAAAAAAAAAAGCACAAACAAATCTCTCTCAGCTGAAGTCAGGGTTGATAACTAGTTGATCAAAAAATTGTGGTAGCCATCCTTCACAATGGACCTTAATATTCCCACCTCCTGGTGTTATTCATTGTGGAATCTGTCTTAGCTAGTCCTCAATTGGGTCTGGTATCCAGGCCCCACCTTGAGAGGCTAGTTCCACCTCCTACCCCACATATGGTTTTACACTTACTTTCAAGACTGGCCTAAAAATGTAAAATGTATTTGTTTTGACCTTGTTTCCAATGAAACAACTATTCTAAACATTCATTTAGGATGGTTAGGGAAATTTGAACACCAGCTAAATATTAGAAGATATTTGCTTCAAAATAACCCAGCTTGGAAATGAGATGATGGTGGCTGAGGCTGGTGATAGGCACAGAGGGCTTCATTATCAAATAGAAACAAGTGGAAAAAACAGAATTTGTCCATAATACAAATGTAAGGTAAACACAAAAATGTATTGAGTGCATAAAAAGAATCTATGGTCTCACAGGCATTAGATTATAATTTGAACATCAAAAATAAAAGTGACGGCCAGGTGCAGTGGCTGATACCTGTAATCCCAGCACTTTGGGAGACCGAGGTGGGTGGATCACTTGAGTCCAGGAATTTGAGACCAGCCTGAGCAACATAGTGAGACCCCCATCTCTAAAATAAATAAATGTAAATAAGTGACTAGAATTATTATAGAACATCAACTCGATTTGAGTCTATAAAGATTACTGGTGGAGGGGGGCAATGGGGAGAAGGAGGAAGAGAATATATTTGTGACCTAGATTATTTTCCTTAGTTTTGAGAGAATCTTCGGGTCTCCTGGGTCTTCTAGCCCAGTATTTATGTTTATTTTTTATTTACTTATTTATTTTTTATTTTTTTAGATGAGTCTCACTCTGTCACCAGACTGGAGTGCAGTGGTGCGATCTCAGGCCACTACAACTTCCGCCTCCCAGGTTCAAGCAATTCTGCTGTCTCAGCCCCCCAAGTAGCTGGGACAACAGGTACCTGCCACTTCACCCAGATAACTTTTTTTTTTGTTTGAGATAGAGTCTGGCTCTGTTGCCCAGGCTGGAGTGCAGTGGTGCCATCTCGGCTCATTGCAAGCTCCACCTCCCAGGTTCATGCCATTCTCCTCCCTCAGCCTCCCGAGTAGTTGGGACTACAGGCACCTGCCACCATGCCCGGCTAATTTTTTTGTGTTTTTAGTAAAGACGGGGTTTCACCGTGTTAGCCAGGATGGTCTCGATCTCCTGACCTAGTGATCTGCCCGCCTCAGCCTCCCAAAATGCTGGCATTACGGGCATGAGCCATTGTGCCCGGCCGCACCCAGCTAATTTTTGTATTTTTTGTAGAGATGGTGTTTCACCATATTGATCCAGGCTAGTCTCGAACTCCTGACCTCAGGTGATCCGCCCACCTTGGCATCCCAAAATACAAGGATTACAGGCATGAGCCACCACACCCTGCCTATTTTCCTTAGTTTTCAGAGAACCTTTGTGTCCCCTGGTTGTTCTAGCCCAGTATATCTCAAACTTTGCTGCACTGAGGACCTTGTTGAAATGCAGGTTCTCATCTGGGAGGCTCAGTGGGCCAGCAAATCTGCATTGGTTTAGGAAGCTCACCCTGAGTATCAAGCTTCAGTGAGGACCAGGCAGACCCTTGCCTACCAACCCACTCTCAGCTGGGCTTAACTCTGGCTCTCTCCTACCAGGGTTCCTCCCCTCAAAATAGGAGCTATTTTCAAAAAGTCTCTTGGTAAAAAAAGCCCTGTTTTAAAATTGGGGTGTTCAGGATTGGCCATCTGCTCACCATGGGGTTTTAAGACCTTTGCCCCGACCCCTGCAACAAACTTAGAGCTGACATCTTTACTTTTGAAGGCCCCACTCCACACCATATTAAATTCATTAAAATCAACCCCCATTACAGGCATATCTCAGGCATCATGCCCTCAGAACGGAGTTGCAGCTGACCACTTGACAATGTTGTAAAGCATTAAACATGCATTCATTTCAGCCTTGCAGTTTTCATATTTAGAAGCCAATTGTCTTAGGTCTAAAGCATTCATGTCGAAGCATTTTTATGGGCCCCAGACACTATGCTTCCCAGCCTTCATGGCCTCGGCAATGCTGGTTCCTACTGCCCCACCCCTGGGTTCTGGCCGGCTAGCCCATGCCACCTCACTACTCCCCCATTCAAGTGTGCCTTCCATGTGTGGTTTCCAAACTCATCTACACTTTAGGGTCACCCGGGAATTTTTTTTAAATCTTCCAAAACCCAGGCCACACCCAGGAACAATTAAACATCAACCTCTGGAATGGGACATAGCATCCGTTTTTTGTTTTGTTTTTGAGACAGGGCCTCACTCTGTTACCCAGGCTGGAGTGCAGTGGCACAATCATAGGTCATTACAGCCTCCAACTCCTGGGCTCAAGAAACCCTCCCACTTCAACCTCCACGGTAGCTGGGATCACAGGTGGGCACCACCACACCTCGCTGATTTTTAAATTTTTTATAGAGACAGTATCTCCCTATGTTCTCCAGGCTGGTCTCAAACTCCTGGGCTCAAGCGATACTCCCGCCTCAGCCTCCCAAACTGCTGGGATTATAGGCATGAGCCACCATGCCTGGACATCAGCATCTGTATTTTTTGGAGCACAGACGAGTTTGGGAACTACCGCGCTAGACTGAGCTCGGTTTCCTAGCCCTGTCTGACCGTAGGATTCGGCTGGGCTGCTTCTGAAAACAGAGCTCCCCAGGCTCCTTCCCAGGTAATTCTGATTCATTAGGTCTGGGGTGGGCCCCGTAATGTGCATTTTTTATGAGATCCCTCTGGGTGAATCAGGCTAAAGCCAGTTTGGGATCTGAGACCTTGGAGATCATTCCCCAGCTTCCCTCCTAACCCAGTTCCCAGCTTGGCCCACCTCACCCAGGCTGTGTCACGTCTGACTTCGCAGATTACACCTGAGAGGGAAGCCCCAGCCATCATGATGTGAGAACATTTTACAATGACGAGGATATGCCAAATACATTTTAAAACTCATTCAGGATTAGCGTTCACCTTAAACTTGACAGACTCTGAGAACGGGCTGGCCACGTGCTGTGCACAACCCTTAGTGCTCTTCAGTGACTAATATTTGGATAACTGATTGTTGGAAGCTCAGGAAGCCTCTCTCTCTCAGAGGGGTTGAAGTTAACTTCTTTATTTCTGAGGTAGGGAAGAAAATGAGGATGTTCTGCCTTTTGTTAGACTGAATACTGTCCTCCAAAAATTCACATTCACCAGGAATCCCAGAATGTGACCTTATTAGAAAATAGGGGCAGGGCATGGTGGCTCATGCTTGTAATCTTAGCACTTTGGGAGGCTGAGGCAGGAGGATCACTTGAGGTCAGGAGTTCGAGACCAGCCTGGCTAGGATGGCAAAACCCTGTCTCTACTAAAAACACAAAAATTAGCTAGGCATGGTGACGTGCACCTGTAATCCCTGCTACTTCACAGGCTGAGGCTGAAGAATCACTTGAACCCAGGAGGCAGAGTTGCAGCGAGCTGAGATTCTGTCACTGAACTCCAGCCTAGGCAACAGAGCAAGACTCCATCTCAAAAAAAAAAAAAAATGAAAAGAAATTAGGGTCACTGGAGATCTAATTACAAAGAGGTCATATTGGAATAGCATGGACCTTAAATCAAGTAATAATGGCATCCTCATGGGAAGAGAAGAAGAGACAGAGACACACAGGGGAGAAGGCCACATGAGAATGAAGGAAGAGAATGGAATGATGTGGCCACAAGCCAAGGATTGCCAGCAACCACCAGAAGCCAGAAGAGGCAAGTAAGGATTCATGCCTAGGGCCTTCATAGGGAGCACGGCCCTGCCCATTTCAGACATCAAGCTTCTGGAAATGGAGAGAATGACTTTCTGTTGTCCTGAGCCACCCATTTGGGGAACTTTGTTAGAACAGTCACAGCCAGGTCATGTGCTCCTGAATGCATCTCAGGCATTAATAAGCACTGTCTTGGCCGGTCTGGGTGGCTCACCCCTGTAATCCCAGCACTTTGGGAGGCTGAGGTGGGTAGATCACTTGAGGTCAGGAGTTCAAGACCAGCCTGACCAACATGGAGAAACCCCATCTCTACTAAAAATACAAAAATTAGCTGGGCGTGGTGTTGTGCACCTGTAATCCCAGCTGCTTGGGAGGCTGAGGCAATAGAATCACTTGAACCCTGGAGGTAGAGGTTGCAGTGAGCCAAGATTGTGCCATTGCACTCCAGCCTGGGCAACAAGAGCGAAACTCCGTCTCAAAAAAATAATAAGTACTATCTTGACTGTGGTCATCAAAAATATTTGATTAAGGGTTAGCTAGAAACCCTGCCCCTTTCACAGATGGATGGAAGGGCCAAAAGAAAATAGATTGTTTGCAGTGGGGCAAGAAGGATAAGAATCCTATGGAAAAAAAAAACAGAGGGATTTGTTTAGTGAGCGCTGGGGAGAGGCATTTGTTTTCTTGCTTAAAAAAGAAACACAGGTTGGGTGCGGTGGCTCAAGCCTTAATCCCAGGACTCTGGGAGTCCAAGATGGGTGGATCACCTATGGTCAGGAGTTCAAGACCAGCCTGGCCAACACTGTGAAACCCCATCTCCACTAAAAAGACAAAAACAAAAGAAAGAAAGAAATTAGCCAGGCATGGTGGCGAGCGCCTGCAATCCCAGCTACTTGGGTGGCTGAGGCAGAGAATCACTTGAACCTGGGAGGCAGAGGTTGCAGTAAGCCAAGATGGCATCGTTGCACTCCAGCCTAGGCAACAAGAGTGAAACTCTGTCTCAACCAAAAAAAAGAAAGAAAGAAAAAAAACCATAGTTTTAAGTCCACTCAGTGGAGTTTAAAAATACAATCCCATTGCACAGTGCTTTTGGAATCTTTTCTAAACTTCTGTTGCACATGATCTAATTTGATCTTCATAGCAACTCCCTGAGGTGGATAGGGCAGGCCTTTCTGAACACCTATTTTCTAGTTTGCATTAAAAGAACGGAATTGGCTGGGACCAGTGGCTCATGCCTATAATCCCAACACTTTGTGATACAGAAGGGAAGTGCTCAGAAGGGAAGAATATGGTCCCTTTAAATGATATGGAAGTGAGGAAGGGAAGTACTGGGTAGAGGAGGGTGTGGTCCCTGGCTAGGGCTCCACCCGAGGCCTGTGCCCACGGACCTAGGTGAGGACAGACATTTTTGTTTTCCTGCCCAAATGTTGCATTTCCCAAGACCACCCTGGCTGCCACACCCCCATTCTGTGCCTATAAAAACACTGAGACCCTAGCAGGCAGACACACAGGCAGCTGAACTTCGAGAGGAGCACATCAGCGGAGGAACACAAGGGTGCTGAACGTCAAGAGGAACTCACCAATGGGCACTGGCACACTGCAGGCCACTGACTGGAAGAACAACGCAGAGTTTGGCTGGGAGAGTCGGAGAAGAGTCAGGCCACTCACCCGACTCCAGGGGTAAACCACTCACCCGACTCCAGGGGTAAACCATCTCCCTTCTGACTCCCCCATCTGCTGAGAGATACTTCCACTCAATCAAACCTTGCACTTTCACGCCTGTAATCACAGCACTTTGGGAGGCCGAGGTGGGCAGATCACGAGGTCAGGAGATCCAGACCATCCTGGCTAACACAGTGAAACCCCATCTCTACTAAAAATGCAAAAAAATTAGCCCGGCGTGGTGGCGGGCACCTGTAGTCCCAGCTACTCAGGAGGCTGAGGCAGGAGAATGGCGTGAACCCAGGAGGCGGAGGTTGCAGTGAGCTGAGATCGCACCACTTCCGGTACACCAAGGCAAGAACCCCAGGACAAAGAGAGCCCTCTGTCCTTGCAATAAGGCGGGGGTCTAATTAAGCCGACTAACACAAGCTACCTACAGACAGCTAAACTAAAAGAGCACTCTGTAACACACGCCCACTGGGGCTTCAACTATAAACATTCACCCCTGGACACTGCCATGGGGCTCCCTGCCTGTCTCACTGTGGCCTCGTACCACATTAGAATTTGGTCTGGAAATCAAGTTATGGGAACAAGAAATCATAAGCCATATTATACTATTAACCTAAATTCCAATCTGACAATTTCTTTGCAAAGTTGTGTAAAACCCCCTTATATGCTAGTTGTAGGAAACATAGCTATTAAACCAGATTCCCAAACTATAACCTGTGAAAATTGTAGATTGTTTACTTGCATTGATTCAACTTTTGATTGGCAGCATGGTATTCTGTTAGTAAGGGCAAGAGAAGGCGTGTGGATCCCTGTGTCCATGGATCGACGGTGGGATGCTTCTCCATCCATACATATCTTAACAGAAGTATTAAAAGGAGTTCTAACTAGATCTAAAAGATTCATTTTTACTTTGATTGCAGTGATTATGGGTCTTATTGCAGTCACAGATACTGCTGGGCCTGCTGGAATTGCTTTACACTCCTCTGTTCAAACTGCACAATATGTGAATAATTGGCAAAAGAATTCCTCAAAATTGTGGAATTCTCAGACTCAAATAGATTAAAAATTGGCAAATCAAATTAATGATCTTAGACAAACTGTTATTTGGATGGGAGATAGGCTCATGAGCTTGGAATATCTTTTTCAGTTACAGTGTGACTGGAATACGTCAGATTTTTGTATTATACCTCGACCCTATAATGAATCTGAACATCACTGGGACATGGTTAGACGCCGTCTACAAGGAAGAGAAGATAATCTTACCTTAGATATTTCTTTGGGTTTAGCAACTCACAGCTCTCAACTATGACATAATATTACTTCTGTGGTCAAAACACTTAGACCTGGATTTCACAGGATTCTTGTGCTTGCCTGGCTGCTAGGGAAGTTTTCATCATCTTCCTTATCTCAAGGTTCAAAACCCAGGGCCTCCATGCTCTTGCTATGGAGGCCGTTCACTGGCTGGAGGCGTCTGGGAATGTTCTCCTTTTCTGTCATTTTTCTTATTCGTGGTTTTTTGTCTCATTGGTGTTTATCTGCAGAACTTTGTTTCCTTCTGCTCAATTCATAATCAGAGTGCTTTTCCTTCTGGCTGAATTCCTAAGTGTTTGTGCAAAAAGAGGTTGGCGCAGAGCCAGGCGACTGACGACACCCGGCTCATCTGGCAAGTGGATATCAAATTGTTGTATCTCGTTCTGCCATTCACAGCTCCTGCTGTGGGGCTGGGTCATCTGCCAGCTCTCTAAGGAGCTGGCGGGAAACCGCTGCAATCAGAGCGAACCCAAGGCCCGGGTCAGCCCGCCTCGGCACAGCACTCCAGCTGGCCCCCAGTGCCTTTTGGGGACACATCTCCATTGCCAGGCAGGGCTGTGGGAGGGCCACCTGCCTCCTGTCCATCACAGGGAAAACCTACCCTTATCCCGCGTCCCTTCCAGGCAGGCTGTGTGGGGATTGCTGCATTCACCTTTAATATGGCTAAAATGTTTTCCTTCAATGACAGTAATGCTGCCAGAACCCATCAAGACACCCAGGAACTGATGTGCCTTGGCAGATGATGCTGGAAAGATGGGATTCCCAGCAGCCTTTGCATCTGTTGTTCACAGCCCACGAGCATCTCCACTGTCCAGCAGGTCAGGGCACGGTCTCTCTCTCTCTCTCTCACTCATAGCCTCTCTCACTCTCTCTCATGGTCTCTCTCTCTCATAGTCTCTCTCACGGTCAGGGCAGAAAGAGAGAGAGTCCATCTGGAGCAGACTCGGATTTTTAATGAGTGTCCCTGATAATTTAACATGATCGATGGCCGAGGTATTTCACCAAGCTCAGGAGTCCCAGTTCTCAGAGAGAGGCAGCCAGCCATGACTGTAAGACCTGGGCACACCGTACAAACCAGACAGCAGGTCTCACCCCTCCCCAGAGAGCTTCAGAGAGTATCAAAGAATGAAACAGCAGAGGGATGGTCTGGGTGGGGTCATCGTGGCTGACAAGGGTCTGTGACAGCACCTTGTTAGGCTACTCCCAAGAGGAAATTTGGAGAGAGGGTGGGAGGGCAGCTCTCAGTGCAAGCTAAGTCTCATGGAAAGTTACTTCCAAATTTTGGAGGATTGTGAGCAAGATGGGACCAGCAACTTCTACCTAAAAGAATGTTCATAGCAAGATAACTCATCCTAATATTGGTCCAAGCTGGGTCTTTATTATGCATCATAAAGGCTCTGAGAATAACAATGTAACCTCCAAAAGGGTTGCAGCCTTTGAGGAATCTCAGGCAACTCGCTTCCTTCTGCTCAGTGACTCCCCTGGAGCACAGCAAAGCAAGGAAACACTTAGAGCCAAGCTTGAGTTCTGAATTTCAAATACAGGGAGTCCATCTCTTTCTACCCAATTGTTCCCTAGAATCAGTAACTAAGTCCTTCCCCTTAACTGCACGTACTTCCTACCAAAGCACAAGCGCAATGGGCTGTCCATGAGCCTCCCCCAAACATGTGCTCCTTGTGACATAAATTCTGTCAGCCAAAGAGACCAGACAAAATGTAAAACCAAAGTGAAGGCTTTCCCTGAATTATAGATTCTAAAGAGTTTTGGACCCTCTACAAAACCCAAGAGTTAGGCATTGCCTGTAAGAAGCACCAGCTCTTGTTTTAAAGAGGCATTTAAGAATAATAGCCATGCTGATGTCACACTACGCTAAGGGAGAATAATGAACCTAATAAAACTAGCAATTTTCCAATTGCTTTTGCTGCTGGAAACACTGATTATGCTAACTAAAGGGTAGAATAGTAAATAGCCACTCTTTTACATCCAATTAAGTGTTCAGATTATTTCTCAGAAGTATTTGTTGAAAATAGCACTTCTGATAATCATGGGTCCCAAATAAACAGAGTCAAGTGTGGTGTGGTACATGTGTGAGTGTGTGTGTGTGTGTGTGTGTGTGCGCACATGTCTTTCTGGAGCTCATTTTATGGAGATCCAGCATAGCTCCCCAAATTCCTATGAGACCAAATAAGTAAAATCACAATTTCCTAAGACTACAGCTTGGGATATCTTTGGAAAAGTTGTGTATTGACAACACAGCATATGGAAACTATTTCACGTTGGCAATATCAGTGATTTAACATTGCAAACATTAGAAATACAACTGGTTCTTCAGAGCCACCTAAGTCCCTCTGTAGGGGTGGGTTGCCCCTACACACCCACAAAGGATTAAGTGCTGTGCTTTTAGATATGCATACACATAAACATCTCAATGTTTTACAAAGCAGTATTGCTGCCCGCAGGTCCCACCTCCAGCCCTAAGGCGGTTTTTCCCTATCTCAGTAGATGGAGCATACAATCGGGTTTTATACCGAGACATTCCATTGCCCAGGGACAGGCAGGAGACAGATGCCTTCCTCTTGTCTCAACTGCAAGAGGCATTCCTTCCTCTTTTACTAATCCTCCTCAGCACAGACCCTTTACGGGTGTCGGGCTGGGGGATGGTCAGGTCTTTCCCTTCCTATGAGGCCATATTTCAGACTATCACATGGGGAGAAACCTTGGACAACACCTGGCTTTCCTAGGCAGAGGTCCCTGCGGCCTTCCGCAGTTTTTGTGTCCCTGGGTACTTGAGATTAGGGAGTGGTGATGACTCTTAAGGAGCATGCTGCCTTCAAGCATCTGTTTAACAAAGCACATCTTGCACCGCCCTTAATCCATTTAACTCTGAGTTGACACAACACATGTTTCAGAGAGCACGGGGTTGGGGGTAAGGTCACAGAATCTCAAGGCAGAAGAATTTTTCTTAGTACATAACAAAATGGAGTCTCCTATGTCTACTTCTTTCTACACAGACACAGTAACAATCTGATCTCTCTTGCTTTTCCCCACACCCTCATAATGGCAATATTAGTTTCTTCTAAATAATAAATTAGCCAGTCAGACTATGTTCTAGAGCATGTTAGAAGTTTCATCCTTCTAGTCAATGTCACAGTTCAAGGCAAAGTCGATTTATATGTAAGTTAAACAAAGTGCTGTCACTAAAAATTGAGAATTATGTCTAATGCCAATCAGAAATGGAATAAATAAGTGTTAGAGGATTTGCAAGTGAAAGCAACCATAGAAATGCTATCATCAGGAAGGAAAATGTATTACCTGCAGAGGTTACAGATAAGACGCTAGAACCCAGAAGAGAAAGAATCTCTGTAAATATTTCCATTAAGTTAATCAAGAGTGGCTGGGTACGGTGGCTCATGCCTGTAATCCCAGGACTTTGGGAGGCCAAAGCGGGTGGATCACGAGGTCAGGAGTTCGAGACCAGCCTGGCCAACATGGTGAAACCCTGTCTCTGTTAAAAATACAAGAAATTAGCCGGGCGTGGTGGTATACACCTGTAATACCAGCTACATAGGAGGCTGAGGCAGGAGAATTGCTTTAATCCAGAAGGCAGAGGCTGCAGCTAGGTGAGTTCACACCATTGCACTCCAGCCTGGGTAACAGATCACGACTCCAATTTGAAAAAAAAAGAAAGAAAGAAAGAAAGAAAGTAATCAGGATGAGAATAGGTTGAGTTTTCCACCCACAAAGGGAGATGAGATTCATGCATTCTTTCAACATGCATTCCATCAATAGTGAGCACCTGCTCTGAGCTAGGCCTGTTCTAGGTCCCAGGAAATGGGTAACCAACCAGACATGGCCCCTGATTTGGAGCTCACATTTTAGAGCAGCTAAATGGACAATAAACAAGTAAGCAAATTAAGATCATCTTAAATTTGGGGAAGTTCTTTAGAGAAGCACTTCCATAAAGCTGAATTGCAACATAGACTATGACTGCCAGGTGGTAGGGAAGGTAATATCTCACCTGCTTGTGGATAGCAGAGCTTCTGAGGCCTTGCAAAGTATTTAGTACTAAGATTTCTGTCTTAGGTCAAGTTCCCTAAAAGCAGAACCTGAGGCAGGGATTGAGTGCATGTAATTCATTCAGGAAGAACTCTCAGGAGATAGGAGTAAGGAAAACAGGATATGACAGGGAAGGAGCTAAGTGAGATGTGGTCTCAGCTGGACACCAGCTCCAGTCTGATCTCACAGGGAGCTCCAGAGGATGAACTGCACCACCATATTATCCCAGCCTAAGGTCTTTTGTTCTCCTGTGTCAGCCGGTCCCTGGCCAAGGGCTGCAGACTCTCTTGGGGCCCCAGCAGACTGGAGGAGAAGGAACATGGTCTGCGGTCTACTCTTTTGTGCATACCCACCCACCTCTTCCCCAGCTGACACTGCTGGAGGAGGAGAGGGAGAAATGTCATCTCCTCCTATGGCAACCTGTGGGATAGCAATGGCCCTTTTCCTGTTGGGTGTAATCTGCTGCCATCTCTTGCTGTCTGCAGCCTGACACAGAAGGGTGAAGGTCACCAGGTTCCACTGATAGGGGTCTTTGTCTCAAGCAGCAACCCTAGGACCGAGGGTCCCTTGCAAGATTCAGCCACATTTCATGACTGTCTGCAAGACGCCCCATGCCTCTGATGGAAGGAACGCAGTGCCCCATGCTGCACCCATTTCTTCCAGACTGGGGTCCCTGATCTCAATTTCCCTCTGCAGTCCCCAACTCTGGGGTCTGCAGACACATTTCAGATCCATCCTTATTACCTCCCAGGAGGCAGAAGCCAGAGGAAATAATCCTTGCCCCAATCCACCTGACCATGCCACATCTTTCTCCTTCTCCAGGAAAAATCAAGCTTGTTGAATACTTACCAATGTGCCCACATGCATTTAGTCCCCACAACCACTTCATGGGGCAGCATTATCATCCCCAAGTTACAGATGAGGAAACTGAGGAGAGCATTTATATAACATGCCTCTAAGTAGTGGACAAAGGATCTAACCAGGCAGTGCGGCACCAGAGCACACTTTTTTGTTCTTTAGGGAGATGGGGTCTCTCTCTGTCCCTCAAACTGGAGTGCAGTGGCCTGATCATAGCTCACTGCAGCCTTGAACTCCCAGGCTCCAGCAATCTTTCCGCTTCAGCCTCCCGAGTAGCTGGGACTACAGGCATTCACCACCAACCCAGCTAATTTTTAAAAAACATTTTTCTGGAGATAGGGTCTGATCCCAAACTCCTGACTTCAAGCGATCCTCCTGCCTCAGCCTCCCAAAGTGCTGGGATTACAGTCGTAAGCCCCCGCGCCCAGCCCAGAGCACACTTTTATTTTTTTTTTTTGAGACGGAGTCTCACTCTGTCACCCAGGCTGGAGTGCAGTGGCAAGATCTCGGCCCAGAGCACACTTTTAACCACCATATCATTCCGCCTCTGGGTATGTCAATCAAGCTCTGTAGCTGATCAGATGTCTGTAGAGAGAAGGAGACATCAGTCTCCCCTTCTTCCAAACACACCCAAATTTCACAAGTGATTTTCTCAGATCCCTCAGCATCAGGAATGGGGATGAGCAGTGCAGCCTGTCCTCTTCCCAACAGCCCAGCAGATATCCCAAGATTACATCTCATTGGCTCTGACTAGGACATGAGCCCAAAGCTGAACCGGTTGCTGTAGCCATGGCATGCAGCATCCTCAGTCCTCTGGCCAGGCCAGAGCCACATCCCACCTCTGGATCCTCGAGTTGAGCCAATACATCTTGAACCAGGCATGGACTGAAGCTCAAGGGGGAGTCAGAGTAATGTGACCCAGCCCACCATGTAGTGGGTGCTGAGCAGGCAAGCATTCATCACCCACTGCACACACCAGGGAAGGCTTGTGGTGGCTTAGTCCCACCTGGGGGCAAAGGAAAGAGTGCCTGCTCCTTGCCAAAATGTGATGCCCAACACTGTATCTTAAAGCTAGCTGGCTTTGTAATCCCAGCTACTTGGGAGGCTGAGGCAGGAGAATCACTTGAATCCAGAAGACAGAGGTTGCAGTGAGCCAAGATCACGCCATTGCACTCCAGCCTGGGTGACAAGAGAGAAATTCTGTCTCAAAAAAAAAAAAAAAAAAAAGCTAGTCGGCTTAATCCTCGCAAAGGTGCCATCTACTTTTTGGCATTCTACAGGTAGAAACACTGAGACACTGGAAAATTTTAAAACTCACCACCAGCCATGGGTGGTGTCTCACGCCTGTAATCACAGCACTTTGAGAGGCTGAGGCAGAATTACTTGAACGCAGGAGTTCAGGACCAGCCTGGGCAAATTAGCAAGACCTCGTCTCTACAAACACTAAAAAAAAAAAAAAAAAATTAGGGCTAGGCGCGGTGGCTCACACATGAAATCCCAGCACTTTGGGAGGTCAAGGCAAATGGATCACTTCAGCCCAGGGGTTCGAAACCAGCCTGGCCAACACGACAAAACTCTGTCTCAACTAAAAATACAAAACTTAGCTGGGCATAGTGGCACGTGTCTATAATCCCAGCTACTTGGGAGGCTGAGGCACGAGAATTGCTTGAACCCAGGAGTCAGAAGTTGCAGTGAGCTGAGATCGTGCCACTGCACTCCAGCCTAGGTGAGAGAGTGACACCGTGTCTCAAAAAAAAAAAAAAAATAGGTATGGTGGTACATGCCTGTGGCCCCAGCTACTCAAGAGGCTGAGGTGGGAGGATCGCTTAAGCCCAGGAGTTCAAGGGTGCAATGAGCTATGATTGTACCACTGCACCACTATATATACACATACATATATGTATATAGGTATGTCTATATATACGCATATATACATGTATATGTGTGTGTATATATATATGTATATATATATAAAACACACATGCACAGATTCACCAACAACAACTCAGAAATTACTGTCTCCCTCTATTCTAAGGAATTATTTTTCATTTTGCCATCTCTAAAGTTGGAATACACCTTACAATCATTGGAATGTCACAGTCTCGTTGGCAGCATTTTTCTGCTTAGTAGCCCATAAAATAATAGCACATCTTGTAACTAACAGTGTTGTAGATGCTATGAGATCCTGGGGAAGCCCAGAATCTAACTCCACTCTGTCTGACCCCAAAGACCACATATTTTCTATGTCTTTGGACTGGGGCACAGATGTAGACAACTCGAGCTTTGCTGATTGTGAGAAAGGTATGAGAAATGGCCCTGAAGGAATTTTCTTCTTGTACTTGCAGTGGAACAAAGCATCATCACCCCACTATTCCAGGGGAGGTGCTAAATACGAGGGTGAGGCTGTCAAGCGGTGCCTGGTGGAGTCCTACACTCACCCAAACAGCAACGAGACAGAGCGGAGGGAGAACATCGATACCGTCATGAACTGGTTCACCAAGGAAGACTTTGACATTGTGACTCTGTGCTACAGAGAGCCAGATAACGTGAGACATCGATTCAGGCCAGAGGCAGAGAACAGGAAGTTGATGATTCAGCAACTCGACAGGACCATCGGGTATCTGGTGGGAGCCACTGAGAAGCACAGCCTGCAGAGCACCTCAGCGTCATCATCACATGAGACCATGGGATGACCACCGTGAAGAAGAGACCCAATGTCAACAAGATCCCTTGTCCAACTACATCAAGTTCAGAGACTTGGTCAAGTTTGATATTGTGGGCTACGGTGGCTTTGGGCTGCCCCTACCCAAATTGGGGCAAGCGGAAGCCCTTTACCAGGCACTGAAGAATGCGCACCCTCACCTCCACGTCTACAAGAAGGAGGAGTTTCCAGAACACTTCCATCTCGCTAAACATGACCAAGTTCTGCCAATCGTGATGTATGCCAACTCTAGTTTCAGTATCAATGGGATAAGTTCATTCTAAAATGAATAAAGTCACCTTGGATCTAGGAGAAAACCATTAGGGAAGGGTGGTTCTGCAAAAATCAAACATGAGTGCACAGCCAGGCACGGTGGCTCACGCCTATAATCCCAGCACTTTGGGAGGCTGAGGCAGGTGTATCACTTGAGGTCAGGAGTTTGAGACCAGCCTGGCCAACATGGTGAAGCCCCATCTCTACTAAAAATACAAAACTTAGCCAGGCGTGGTGGCGTGCATCTGTAGTTCCAGCTACTCTGGAGGCTGAGGCAGGAGAATCACTTGAACCTGGGAGACAGAGGTTGCAGTGAGCCAAGATCATGCTACTGCACTCCAGTCTGGGCAACAGAGTGAGACCCTGTCTCAAAAAAATATAATATAATATAATATAATATAATATAATATAATATAATATAATATATTATAATATAATATAATATAATATAATTATAATATAATATATAATAAAACAAAACAAAACAAAATAAAATAAGTAAACACACTACGAGTTGTAGTCCACAGGGTCCTAAATGTTCCCCACCCCCCGCCCAACCAATGCTGCCCCAAATTACCATTATACAAGATTAATGACCAATTCAACTGGACAAGGCTGATTTAAAAATAAAAATAAGGCTGGCCATGGTGGTTCACACCTGTAATCTCAGTGCTTTGGGAGGTAAAGACAGGAGGATTGCTTAAGGCCAGGGGTTCAAGACCAGCCCGGGCAACATAGGGAGACCCCATCTCTACAAAAAAAAAACAAATAAATAAATAGCCAGACATGGCTATGCATGCCTGTAGTCCCAGCTACTCAGGAGGCTGAGGTGGCAGGATTTCTTGAGCCCAGGAGGTCAAGGCTGCAGTAAGCTGTGATCGCACCACTGCACTCCAGCTTGAACAACAGAGTAAGACCCCGTCTCTAAAAAATAAATAAACAAATAATAAAAAATAAACACCAACTTCATTATTCAAAATTGTGCATAGCACTTCACTAAACATTGAATAGCAGTTCTTTCATTTTGCCTTCCCAACAACCCTATAAAATAGATGCTCTTAGTTCCACCATTTTAAAGAAGAAATCAAAACCTAGAGAGAAGTGACTTGAGATTAAAAATGTAAGGTTGGGCTGGGTGCAGCGGCTCACACCTGTAATCCCAGCACTTTAGAAGGCTAAGGTAGGTAGATTGCTTGAGCCCAGGAGTTTGAGACCAGCCTAGGCAACATAGTGAAACACCAACTCTACAAAAAATGCAAAAAAATGTAGCTGGGCGTAGTGGCACGTGCCTGTGGTCCCAGCAACTCAGGAGGCTGAGGTGGGAGAATTGCTTGAGCCCAGGAGTGTTGAGGCTGCAGTGAGCCATGATCATGCCACTGTGAGATAGGAGGCAGGACTTGACTCCACAGGCAGGGCTTGGACACCAGAACAATTGAGGACTAGCTAAAACAGGGCTGGGGCAGAAGCAGCTTTCCATCAGACATGCCCACCAGTGTGCCATGTGAGTTTACTATTGCCATGGTAACACCCGGGAGTTACTGCTCCTTTCCATGGCAATGACCCAATGACTCAAAAGTTACTACCAATTTTCTAGAAATTCCTGCATAAACTGCCGTTTAATCTGCATGTAATTAAAAGTGGGTATAAATGTGATTGCAAACTCTCTGCCGCTACTCTCTGCCTCCAGGGTAGCCCTGCCCTACAGGAGAAGTCACAGGGCTGTAACGCTGCCTCTTCAATAAAGCTGTCTTCTTCTATACCTCCAGCTTGCCCTTGAATTCTTTCCTGGGCAAAGGCAAGAACCCTCATGTGCTATTGAGAGGTGACAGCGTTCTGGCAGCCCTGGAGCTCACTCTCGACACCTCCTCTGCCTGGGCTCCCAATTTGGCAGCACTTGAGGAACCCTTCAGCCCACCGCTGTACTGTGGGAGCCCATTCCTGGGATGGCCGAGGCTGGAGCCGACTCCCTCAGCTTGCGGGGAGGTGTAGAGGGAGAGGCGCGGTTGGGAACCGGGGCTGGGTGCGACGCTTGTGAGCCAGCGCGAATGCCAGATGGGCATGGGCTTGGTGGGCCCCGCACTCAGAGCGGCCAGTCGACCCCGCTGACCCTGAGTAGTGAGGGGCTTAGCACCTGGGCCAGCAGATGCTGTGCTCGATTTCTTACCGGGCCTTAGCTTCCTCTCCACAAGGCAGGGCTCGGGACCTGCAGCGCGCCATGCCTGAGCCTCCCCTCCACCCGCCGTGGGATCCTGCGCAGCCCGAGCCTCCCCAGTAAGCACCGCCCCCTGCTCCACTGCGCCCAGTCCCATCAACCACCTAAGGGCTGAGGAGTGCTGGCACTGGGCGCGGGACTGGCAGGTAGCTCCACCTGCGGCCCCAGTGCAGGATCCACTTGGTGAAGCCAGCTGGGCTCCTGAGTCTGGTGGGGACTTGGAGAACCTTTATGTCTAGCTGAGGGATTGTAAATACACCAATCGGCACTCTGTATCTAGCTCAAGGTTTGTAAACACACCAATCAGCACCCTGTGTCTAGCTCAGCGTTTGTGAATGCACCAATGGACACTCTCTATCTAGCTAATGTAGTAGGGACTTGGAGAACTTTTGTGTCTATCTCAGGGATTGTAAACGCACCAATCAGCACCCTGTCAAAACGGACTAATCAGCTCTCTGTAAAGCAGACCAATTGGCTCTCTGTAAAATGGACCAATCAGCAGGATGTGGGTGGGGCAAGATAAGATAATAAAAGCAAGCTGTCCCAGCCAGCAGTGGCAACCCACTGGGTTCCCTTTCCACACTGTGGCAGCTTTGTTCTTTTGCTCTTTGCAATAAATCTTGCTGCTGCTGACACTTTGGGTCCACACTGCCTTTATGAGCTGTAACACTCACCTTGAAGGTCTACAGCTTCACTCCTGAAGCCAGTGAGACTATGAACCCACTGGGAGGAAGAAACAACTCCAGACACGCAGCCTTAAGAGCTGTAGCACTCACCTTGAAGGTCTGCAGCTTCATCCCTGAAGCCAGCGAGACCAGGAGCCCACCAGAAGGAAGAAACTCTGAACATATCCGAGCATCAGAAGGAAAAAACTCCGGACACGCCGCCTTTAAGAACTAGGACGCTCACCGCGAGGGTCCGTGGCTTCATTCTTGAAGTCAGTGAGACCAAGAACCCACCAGTTCCAGAAACACTATGCTCCGCTTGGGGGCTCCCCTGCCCTGTATCAACTGCGCTCTGGCCTGGGTGGCAGAGAGAGAAACACTATCTTAAAAAAAAGAAAGAAATGTAAGGTTAAGTGCTGCCCCCAAGCCTGCGTGGGTGATCATTATACAGAGTACACAAAGATCACCAAAAAATTCACCACAAAGGCCTCCCGCCACTAGTTCTCATTTGCCCATATCAAAAAATATGCAAGCCTGTTCATACAAAGACACATACAGATGCTCGTAGCAAAATTATTCATAATTGTCAAAAGGTGGCAACAACACAAATGCCTATCAACAACAGATGAATGGGCAAACCAGTAGAGTCTACCCGTGTGACGGAACATTAATCAGCCAAAATGTGGAATGAAGGGCTGATTCATGCTACAACCTGGATACACGTTGAAACCATTAGGCTAAGTGAAAGAAGCCAGACAAATAGTAGATGATTCTATTTTATATATATATATATACACACACACACACATATATATATACACACACACATATATATATATATGTCCAGAATATGAAAATCCAAAGAAACAAAGTAGATTAATGGTTGCCAGGAGCTAGGGGTGTGGATAGTCAGGGGGAAATAAGGGGTGACTGCTAATGGCTACAGGGTTTCTTCTGGAGTAATTAAAATTTCTAAAACTGATGGTGGTGATGGCTGCACAACTCTTTGAATATATTAAAAACCACTGAATTATGCACTTTATTTATTTATTTAGAGACAGGGTCTGGCTCTGTTGCCGAGGATGGAGGGCAGTGGTGCAATCTCAACTCAGTGCACCCTCCACCTCCCGGGCTCAAACCATCCTCCCACTTCAGCCTCCTGAGTAGCTGGGACTACAGACAGGCCCACCATGCCCAGCTAATTTTTTTGTATTTTTGGTTGAGACAGGGTTTTGCCATGTTGCTCGGGCCCATCTCAAACTCTTGGGTTCAAGTGATCCTCCCACCTCAGCCTCCCAAAGTGCTGGGATTACAAGTGTGAGCCACCATGCCCGGCCAAATTGAACACTTTAAATGGGTAAATTGTATGGTGTGTGAATTACCTTTCAGTAAGGCTGTTTTTAAAAAGCAGCTTTAAGGGCCAGGCATAAGGGCCATGCCTGTAATCCCAGCACTTTGAGAGGCCAAGGCAGGAGGATCACTTGAGCCCAGGAGTTCAAGACCAGCCTAGACAATATGGCAAAACCTGGTCTCTACAAAAAATTTAAAAATTAGTCTTGGCATGGTGGCTCACACCTGTAACCCCAGCACTTTGGGAGGCCGAGGTAGGTGGATCACTTGAGGTCAGGAGTTCAAGACCAGCCTGGCCAACACGGTGAAACCCTGTCGCTATTAAAAATATTTTTTAAAAATTCGCCAGGCATGGTGGTGGGTGCCGAGGCTGAGGCAGGAGAATCGCTTGAACCCGAGAGATGGAGGTTGCGGTGAGCCGAGATTACCCCACTGCACTCCAACCTGCTGGGTGACAGAGCAAAACTCCGTTTCAAAAAAAAAAAAAATTAAAAATTAGCCAGCTGTGGTGTCTCGTGTTTGTAGTCCCAGCTACTCAGGAGGCTAAAGTGGGAGGATTGCTCGAGCCCAGGAGGTTGAGGCTGCAGTGAGCCAAGATTGTATCACTGCACTCTGGCATCAGCAACAGAACAAGACCCTGTTTCACAATTTTAAAAACAATTAAAAAACAAGCCTAAGGAAAACACAAAAACCAATGCTAACAGTGAGACATAAATGAGGTGGTCTATTTTTTGTTAACTACCAACTAACAATTCATGGCAGAAACAAAGTTGAAATTATGCTATAGCCGGGCACCGTGGCTCACGCCAGTAATCCCAACAGTTTGGGAGGCTGAGGCGGGTGGATCACCTGAGGTCAAGAGTTTGAGACCAGCCCGGTCAACATGGTGAAACCCCGTCTCTACCAAAAATACAAAAATTAGCCAGGCGTGGTAGCGGGTGCCTATAATCCCAGCTACTCAGGAGGCGGAGGCAGGAGAATCGCTTGAACCCTGGCGGGGCGGAGGTTGCAGTGAGCCAAGATCGCACCATTGCACTCCAGCCTTGGCGACAGAGCGAAACTCCATCTCAAAAAATGAATAATTAATTAAATAAATGATGCTATAAACCTCATGTGAGGGAAGACTGCCCCAGGTACAGCTTGAAGATCCCTTGCTGTGAATAGGAGCCAAATGCGATAATTCTGTTTGCAACTTGCTTCATGTTAGCTTGTTGCAACTCCGGAGTGTAACAAGTATGAGAAAACTTATGGGGTTACTGTTTAATATTGGTGGAAATATTCACATTAAAATACAACAGTTTATCACCTAAGGTATATTTTATCCCTCAAGTGGCCCGGAACACTGTGATTACTGCACACCAATCGCACGCCCATAGCTAAGGCCTTGCCAAGGAGAAATTCCACAGTCACCTGGCCTATTTGTAAACCTGGTTTATGATGATTTGTAACAGGATATCTTGACAGTAGCATGAGGACATTTAACAAGACAAGAACATTCCCCACTGACCAACCAGATAGTTTGAGGGAGCAGGATGCTGTGCTCAGTTTAATCTTCTGCTGAACCGACCATTAGGCAGAAAATCCTTTGGGTCAATGCCTCTCACTGAATCCACTTCTCATCCTGTCCACCTGCCTGCTTTGCAGTGCAGAGTAAAGTGGGCCTTCCTTGACTCTCTTCAGGGGCCAATGTGCTTGAGGCCATCATGAGGACATTCATTCTTTTTTTTTTTGGAGAGAGTCTCGCTCTGTCGCCCAGGCTGGAATGCAGTGGTGTGATCTCAGCTCCCCACTGCAACCTCTGCCTCCCAGGTTTAAGTGATTCTCCTGCCTCAGCCCCCTGAGTAGTTGGGATTACAGGCACGTGTCACCAGGCCCAGCTAATTTTTCTGTTTTCTGTAGAGACAGGGTTTCACCATGTTGGCCATGCTGGTGTCAAACTCGTGACTTCAAGTGATCCACCTGCCTCGGCCTCCCAAAGCGCTGGTATTACAGGTGTGAGCCAACGTGCCTGGCCGAGGGCTTTCATTCTTGATGGACTGCTCCGTAGCCTCAGAGACAGTCGGACTGGTTTCTTCAACCAGAGCGGAGCAGACAGGCAATTTCTGTATCCACCAGGCCAAATATTAGACCAACCCTTCAATGTACAGAGAGCATCACATTTCTTATATGCTAGAATATCTGTTGGTCTAAAATATAAATAAATAGTATTGTAGCCAGCCACAGTGGCTCACACCTATAATTCCAGAGCTTTGTGGGGCTGAGGCAGGAGGTTCACTTGAGGTCAAGAGTTTGAGACCAGCCTGGACAACATAGCGAAACCGCCCCCCACCCCCACCGCCACATGCCATCTCTACAAAAATTAAAATAATCAGCTGGGCATAGTAGTGTGGGCCTGTAGTCCCAACTACTTGGGAAGCTGATGTGGTGGGATTGCTTGAGCCCAGGAATTTGAGGCTGCAGTGGGCTGTGACTGCATCACTGTACTCCAGCTAGACCTTGTCTCAAAAAAAAAAAAAAAAAAAAACAGTTGCAATTGATATTACTTTATCATTTGAAAAGAGGGACAGGCAAGAAAGGTATTTGGCATTTACCAAGCAATTACCCAGAATCCTCATCCCATCCTACCCCCACCCTTCCCCTAAAAATGTATGTATGTGTATTTATGCCATAAAAAATACATCTATTTGGCTCTGGAACCAGATTGCTTGGGTTCCATTACTGATCTAGCATTTTCTCCTGTTGACTCAGTGCAGACAAGCTCTGTAACTCAGTTTCCCCAGCTGTAAAATGGGGAATGGCGCCTTTACTGGGCTGCCACGAGGGTAAAGGAGGGAACGTACATTTATGAAGCATTCAGAACAATTCATGACACATAGTAAGCTCTATATATTTGAGCTTATTATTACTGTCAGTACGATTATCATCATCTTGCTGTTTCCAATGGGTACGCTTTCTACATTCTCTTTCTTAAAGACCTTTAAATCCTTGGTATTCTCTCCACCACCACAGAGAGCAGTGTTCTTGTAGTTTAAATTCTCAAAGACTTCATGGATCCAACAAGCATGACATTAACTAAGGGACAGTTTTCTTTCAGTGGATTGAATCTAAAATGGCTTTATTGTTATTATTTTTCAGAGAATTAAAATGTGTTTCAACAAAGGCAGCCATGGCTTTGATAATGTCCTCATGGATATGAAGACATTCAGAGCTTTCGGGCCAGATTTCAAGAGGAATGGCCTGGCCGAGCCTTTTAACGACATCCACATCTACCCATTCATGTGTAAGCTCCTGGGAGTCACCCCCAAACCCACAACGGCTCCCTGGCAGTCACCCAGGAAATGCTCGTGAACTCTTACGACCAGCAGCCAGGTGAGACACAAAAGCAGCTGCCAGAAAACTGTCAGCAGAGTCTGCTCTGTCCTGAGATAGAAAAGAAACAAAAAGTGGTCTCATGGTGGGGAGGAGGGAATTCAAGCAGAACAATCCTGATTCCCAGCAGCTTTGGAGCCCTAGGAACAAGATGTCAACAGCTCCAAACAGATAGCACGGGAGGTAGGGAATCCCTCGACCTGCTGGTAACATTTGACATAGTGCCTTTTAGGCAAAGGGAAGGTGCTCTATAGAGAAAGTCGGGCTGTAATCCTTCCGGTCCTAAGGAAATCACTGTGTACAGTCTGCCCCCAAGATGCCCCTTCCAGATATGGAAATCAGCCCTCCTTCAATAGCACAGAAAGCTCTTCATAGGGGAGGAGAAATACCCTGTTCACTCGATGCTGAAAAAAGGAGAGGGGAGAGTCTGAAACGAGACTGCAAATTCTCAAGACTTCAAACCCCTTCAATCTGGGTAATACAAAGGAAGAATAAAATCATCTCAGAATTTGCTGTTGCCTTCTTTAGTGGGTTGTTTACAAACACTGGCTATCTTTCCTTTTGCCGGGAGAGACTTGGATACTGTCCAGTGATCTAACGAGCGCTTAAAGCAATTACATGCAAAAAGGTGTAATGGGCTGGGCACAGTGACTCATAATTGGGACTTTGGGAGGATGAGGTAGGAGGATCACTTGGGGCCAGGAACTTGAGACTACCCTGGGCAACATAGTGAGACCCTGTCTCCACAATAAATTAGCTGGATATAGTGTCATATGCCTGTAGTCCCAGCTACTGGGGAGGCTGAGGCGGGAGGATCGCTGGAACCCAGGAGTTGGAGGCTGCAGTGAGCTGTGATTGTACTACGGCACTCTGATTCCTGCCTTAAAAAAAAAAAAAAAAAAGGAAAAGAGGGGATGGCAGGAGTGATATACATCCTTTCTCTTCTTGTAAGTCACTGCCCATGATCTCCTTGTGAACATACAGAAAGCAGTCCCTTTAGTAGAAAACTAATTAAATGAATGACCAATTCACCAAATTGTGGAGGATTTTTCTTCTTTTTAAGTTCTGGAGTTCTGCTACAACTATTTTGTAGCCCCTCCCCTATCCCATATCCCACTGGGAGCCTGGGATAAGCTGCATCTGACTGTCAGTTCCTGATAAGCAGGACATCCCACAAACAGATTTTCAGCGAATTGGCTTTCAGCAAATTGATTATTTGGCAAAGTGGTCATTAGGCAAATGGGTCATTTGGCGAAGAGGTCATTTAGTAAATCGGCTTTCAATGACTTGCCCTATGAGATTTCTCCAGAGTGAGCATTTTCTTGGGTTCAATGTGCACTTCATTTCCATAATGAATACTCACTGGCGGCTAGATGGGAAACTTCCCAGGAAAGCAGGAGCAGCAAGAACAGCCTCTTAATAATCAGGCAATTAAAAACCCTCTGGTTTCTTAACAGGAGGGAGGTACACAGGGCATCTGCTCTGCAAGGCACAGTGATTGGGCTCAGCATTGTCACAGGAGCTCTTGCGGATCTGTTTGCTGCTAGTGTGACATACACAGCCATTCGTCGGAAAAAGGACTGAGTGGTCTTTGGGTCTCCCGTAGGTGATCATCATATGTCGTGATAACCCATGACAACTCCTTGCCACATGCCACGGGAGGTCCAGCACCCGAAGAACCCAGCAGCCAGGGCCGGCTTCATGGGCTTGCAACCTGGACAGTCCCACAGGGACACAGAAGAGTCCCCACTGTGGTTTAATAATCTTCCATCACCATCTTGAAATTCTTTATTTTTTAACAAGGGTGGCCAGGGATAGTGGCTCATGCCTGTAATCCTAGCACTTTGGGAGGCCAAGGCAGGCAGACGGCTTGAGCCCAAGGAGTTTGAGACCAGCCTGGGCCACATAGAAAGACCCCATCTCTACAGAAAATACAAAAATTAGCCAAGCGTGTAGTCCCAGCTACTTGGAGGCTGAGATGGGAAAATTACCTGAGCCCAGGGAGGTCGAGGCTGTAGGAGCTGAGATTGTACCACTGCACTCCAGCCATGATGACACAGCGGGATCTTGTCTAAAAAAATAACTGCAAGACCGGGCACGGTGGCTTATGCCTGTAATCCCAGCACTTTGGGGGGCTGAGGCAAGCGGATCACTTGAGGTCAGGATTTTGAGATCAGCCAGGCCAATGTGGTGAAATCCCATCTCTACTAAAAATACAAAAATTAGCTGGACAAGGTGGTGCATGCCTGTAATCCCAGCTATTCAGGAAGCTGAGGCAGGAGAATAGCTTCAACCTGGGAGGAGGAAGTTGGAGAGAGCCGAGATAGCGCCATTGTACTCTGGCCTGGGGCACAAGAGTGAAAGTCCATCTCCAGAAAAAAAAAAAAAAAAAAAAAACCCACAACAACAACGAGGTCCCCGCATGTGGCTGAAAACAACAGAAATGTATTGTCTCGCAGGCCTGGATGCTAGAAGCCCAAAATCAAGGTGTCGGCCGGACTTCACTTCCTCTGAAACATTTAAGAGAGAAACTTCCTTGCCTCTTCTCGCTTCTGGTGGCCGCTGGCAATGCTTGGTGTTCCTTGTAGATGCATCGCTCCAATCTCTCCTCCCTCATCACATGGCTGCCTTCTCCCTGTGTCTCTGTCTTCACCTGACATTCTCCTCTATTATTTTTTTGAGATGGAGTTTCCCTCTGTCACCCAGGCTGAAGTGCAATGGCACAATCTTGGCTCACTGCAACCTCCGCCTCCTAGGTTCCGGTGATTCTTCCACCTCAGCCTACTGAGTAGCTGGGATTACAGGCGCCCGCCACCACGCAGTGCTAATTTTGTGTTGTTAGTAGAGATGGAGTTTCACCATGTTGGCCAGGCTGGTCTCAAACTCCTGACCTCAAGTGATCCGCCCACCTCACCCTCCCAAAGTGTGCTGAGATTACAGGCATGAGCCACCATGCCCGGCCCTCATTCTCTCCTTTTATAAGGACACCAGTCGTTGCATCTGCCTCCTCACCAGCAGCCCCCAATCCAGCATGACTCATCATTACTTGATTACATCTACAAATACCCTATTTCCAAATAAGGTCACATTCCTGGGTACGGAGGATTAAGATTTCCAATTTTTTCCCTGACTCAATTGTTTTTGAGTCAGGGCCTCACCCTATCACCCAGGCTGGAGTACAGCTATGTGATTATAGCTCACTGCAGCCTCAAACTCCTGGGCTCAAGGGATCCCCTGACCTCAGCCTTCCAAGTGGCTGAGACTACAGGCGCACACCACCATGCCCAAATAATTATTTTTTTTTTTTTGTACAGATTAGGTCTCACTCTGTTGACCAGGCTGGTCTCCTGACCTCAAGTTATCGTCTTGCCTTGGTCTCCCAAAGCACTGAGATTAAAGGCGTTATCCCATGCCTGGCCCTCTTTCTATACCTCAGTCATTGTATCATTAGCCTGAGCTGCCCATATTCTTTATTCTGCCCATCCCTGACCAATCTCCTCCTTTAACATAACTTCCACCTCAATATCATGGGGCCTACTGGGCACTGCAAACAGCCTAAGGAAAGTGGAAACTTTACTTGACCTTAAACTATTACAAAGTCCACATTGAACGTAATTTATATTTGAACTATAAAATTTTCTGTAAGTTGAAACACGACCTATAAAGGTCTCTACACCCTGAAGCAACGTTTTAGAAAGAAATCAACTGGTCCTTTTCTGCAGAAACCATTAACCATAGGAGAGATAAAGGAAAAACTTCAATGTACTGATTGAACTTCCATGCCCATAGCTTAATTTCTAAAAGGCAACCATTCCATACTGTTAAACTGCCTTAGGTTGTTATTACTGTTATTAAAGAGACCCTCAAAGCCAGAAGTTGAACCTTGACTGTAGTTCTTGCACGTACACGCACACTCTTGCAACTGAAACCACTCAGATTGTCCTAATGCTGTTTCCCATAGCAACACCACCTGGAATTTTACGTTTGGTTTTAAGCATCAGTCCTAATCTTCACTTGCACTCGAACACACCGCACCTGTGAGAGCCACGTGACATTAAAAAAATCCCTTCAGTGAGGCCGGGCATGGTGGCTCACACCTGTAATCCCAGCCCTTTGGGAGGCCAAGACAGATGGATCATGAGGTCAAGAGATCGAGACCATCCTGGCCAACATGGTGAACCCCTGTCTCTACTAAAAATACAAAAATTAGCTGGGCGTGGTGACGCGTGCCTGTAGTCCCAGCTACTCGGGAGGTTGAGGCAGGAGAATCGCTTGAGCCCGGGAGGCACAAGTTGCAGGAGCCAAGATCATGCCACTGCACTCCAGCCTGGCAACAGAGGGAGACTGTCTGAAACAAATCCCTTCAGTGCCTTGATCCTTCCAGATTCAGATCCAAGATAGATGACATTTGTCCCTCATCAGAGCCCGCACACCAAGATAAAGATTTCTTCTGGCTGGGCGCGGTGGTTCACGCCTGTAATCCCAGCACTTTGGAAGGCAGAGGCGGGCGGATCACCTGAGGTCAGGAATTTGAGACCAGCCTGGCCAACGTGTTCAAACCCTGTCTCCACTAAAAATACAAAAATGGCCCGGCATGGTGGCTCACGCCTGTAATCCCAGCTACTCGGGAGGCTGAGGCAGGAGAATCGCTTGAACCCGGGAGGTGGAGGTTGCAGTGAGCCGAGATCGCGCCATTGCACTCCAGCCTGGGCAAAAAGAGAGCGAAACTCCGTCTCAAAAAAATACAAAAGAAGAAAAGATTTCTTCTCTGTGCATGGCTCAGCTCTGTGGTCTGCTAGGGTCCTTCCTCAATCCGCTTCCAATCTATGGAATCAGGAAACACTCAACCAACCTAGATTTATTAATATTTTAGTATAACATAATACAGTGTTACTTTTTATAGCATTGACCGTATATGTCCTTTTGCTCCTTGGAGGAAAGGCAATTAATAGCTATTATGTGAGTTAATAAAATAAGCCCAGGATTTATGATCGTAACTAACCTGTTCCCGTTGGTTTTCCTTGTCTCCTGCAGGCAGAGAGCTGATCAAAACAGCAAAAGCAAAGCAGTGCCTCTGGCCCAGTTCTGAAGCCAACCTTCCTTAACCACCCAGACCCATCCCTGGTTAGGACTTGCTGTGGATTCTCAGGTGACTCCATCTCAGGATACAGGGACTGAGAGGGTGTATGCAACATCTCAGACCCAGAAACTGTTGATTCTGTCTAAAAACACAGCAATAACCACATCCCACCCTCTTGATTTAAATGAAAGTGTTTGGGGGAATAAAAGATGAACCTTTTTTTTTTCTTTGTCAGATCTTGCGCTCATTTGGTTCTGGTGGGGAACAACAGCTGTGAGAGAACACGTGTATTCAATTAGAATTAATTCCCCTCTCTTATTCTCACAGCTGAGCAGGGCTCAAGTGCCTCTCATCTGAAAGAGGTAATAAGATTTAATCTGTCTCCTCATCTACCTTCTGCAAGTATACTTAAAAAATTAGCTCTCGGGACTCTTCCAAATGGAGTTTTATGAGGGATTTGCTAAGGTAAACGTTTTAGACTTTGAACACAGTTCAGATTTCAGGGGCAGTACTGAAATCTGAACTGTGTTGCTAACTGCCCTGCCTTTCAACTCAAGACACAATAACTTTGAACTAAAATAATTATATTTTTGTTGTTTTCCACTCTGACCCCACGTCTATATCACCACCACCCCCAATCCCGCCCCCCAGGAGCTAACTCCTCCTTCCTGTCCCTGCAAGATCAAAACTCCTCCTGGAAGCCCCGCTAGCTCTGTCTGCTCGCCTTCGTGGCAGATATCACTATTGTACTTTTATACTCATTTGTGTGATAAGTACTTCAATGTCCACTTCTTCCACGAGCCCCTGAGCCCCTGGAGGGCCTGGACCACACCTAGTTTTTCTCACTGTTACATATCCCTTGCCAGACACATGGTAGACGCTTAATAAGTATTTGGTGAACGAATGGCTTGTTTGGTGACAGTCCAAAGGCTAGGGGACAGAGGGAAAGCTCCCTCCTATCGGGCCCCAGACGGGTGGCGCTGATGGAGAGGAGGCTAGGATAAGGCCTCCAGGACCGAAGCGCGCACCCATAAGGCCCCTGCCAAAAAGACCTTCCTGAAGGCGGAGGAACTGTGAGAGTGCCTACGTTGGCCCAAGGCCTGACCCGACGATCCCGGGGACCCTAGCCCTAACGGCCCCGCCTCCTGGGCCCCAAACCCGGACTCGGCCCCGCCCGAAGCTCCGGATCCTGGGGCCCGACCATGGCCCCGAGTCGGCAGACCGTGGACTCGCTCCTGGGCCTGCCTCAAACCCTCCGCAGGTAACGCCTCCCGAACTTGAGCCACACTCCAATCCCCTCCTCAAACCCCTCCCCGTTTCTCACACCTTGGACCCCTCGCTCCGTCTCGGCCCAGCCCCAAGCCCAGCTCCCTCTCCGCCCCTGAGCCCAGCCCCGACCCGCCTCCCAGTCTCTTGGTCCCTCCCGACACCGGCCCCTCCCTAAGCTCCGCCTCCCAGGGCCCGCCTCCTGAGCGCAGCCCGCAGCCCGGACTCGGCCCCGCCTCCCGGACCCTGGGCCCCTCCCCACGTCGGCCCGTCCTAAGCTCCGCCTCCCAGAGTCCGAGCAGCGCCTGGCCACGTGCTACGACATAGCCAACGCCCCGCCCTGGCCCCGCCTCCTGAGCGCTTCTCCTGGTCTGGTCTTAGCCCCGCCCCAAGACCTGTCTCCTGGACTCTGCTCCGAGTCTCGCCTCCTGAACCCAATCATTGTTTATCCCCACCCTAACGCCCGCCTCCGGGAATCTTATCCTGCCCCCATGCAAGGCCCCGCCTCCAGGACGCCTCCAACCTGGACGCTTCCGAAGCCCCACTTCCAGGATCGCCCTGTCCTGGCCCCGCCCCAGGACCCACCAACCTGAACTCTCCCGAGGACCTGCCCCAACGACACTTATCCTGGCCCTACCCCAGGCCTCGCCCTCATAATGCTCATCCTAGCCCCACCCCAAGCCCCGGCCTCATAACTCTCATCCTGGCCCCGCCCTAGAGCCACCCCCACGACTCTACCTCCAGGCCCCGCCCCCTCTCTGCCCCGGTGCACTGCCCTGGGCCCGCCCCCTCTTCAGTCCAGGCCCGGCTTCCGCCCGGTCTCCCGGCAAGGCTGAGGCCCCGCCCCCGTCATGGCGCCCGAGGAGAACGCGGGGAGCGAACTCTTGCTGCAGAGTTTCAAGCGCCGCTTCCTGGCAGCGCGCGCCCTGCGCTCCTTCCGCTGGCAGGTGGGCGGCGGGGCTAGCGGAGAGGTCCGCGGGGCTCGCGGGAGTCCAGGGGCAGACGGGATGGGTCTCCGTGCTGAAGCCCCCGGCGCTCCCGCCACGTGAGTGCCTGGGCTCTCGCCGGTCAGGTCCGCGCGACCCGGTCCCCGTCCCTGGGGCCTGGCCAGAGTCGCTCGCACCCTTCTTGCCCCGCGGGCTGGCGGCGTAAGCTGGGGGCCTCTCCACCGTCTTGGGAGGCACACGCGCACTCGTTGTGGGGTACAGTTCACGATCATTTTCACGACTTTTTAAAGACAGTAATCCTTCTGGTCACTGGGACACAGCTGCCCTCGCCCATTCTAAAAAGTCAGCGCCCTCAGGACCGCGGGTAACCACGTCCTACTGAGCGCGGTGACCAGGTCACAGGCTGTCCCTCGTGCCTCAGTGTTCTCATCTGTATGTCGAGCACTGCACAGAATTAGCTCATGCGCTGAGGCTTTCACACCTGTGATGGAAGAGACAGAGAAGGGGGTGGCCTCTCCTCTCCCTGGAGACCTGCCATTCTCAGCACAGGCCCATGGCAGGCAGCAGCCTCCCTTCTGCCAGTAGAGGGGCTTAATGCACCTGGCCCCATTTGTAATTCATGTGCGGTGAGCTCACTGGGATGAGTCAGTTTGGATATATATTCCTCCCTGGGTCTGCCCCATTTTATGGGTGTTGCTTAATCATTTGGGTTATTCCATTGACATAAAATATTTAGCACTCAGAGATCATTTCTGGTCAGGAGAAATTTGTGCATTTTTAACCCAAAATAGAAACCTTCATAAAAGCATCATAGGTCTCCATTCAATATTGACTATAATTGTTCACATGCCCGCGCTGCATGCTAACTTGGGCTCACCCTCAACACCCACGAGGTGGGTACTATTATTATCACTCACATTTAACCAGAGGGATTGTTTGATTAGGGTGCAGTAGTTGAGAGTTCACACCCAGGAGACAGCCTGCCTGCTTCGAATCCTGGCCCAAGCCCTGGCCCTGTGTGACCTTGGGCAAGTGACTGCATCTCTCTGTGCTGTTGTTTTCTTATTAATAAAATGAGGGATATAATGATACCTACCTCTTAGGGTTGTCGTCAGGGTTGAGTACAAAAGCCTGTGGATCAGTGCCTGGCTCATGATAAATGCATGTCGGTGTTAGCTAGTGTTTTTATTCAGTCTCAAAATGTTTAATAAATGCCTTCCGTGAGCCAGCCACCATGGATCAGCAGTACCCATGACAGATGAGGCTCTGCTTGCATGGGAGAGCCAGAGAATTAACAAATAAATGAATAAACAAGAAAAGACCAGATGAGAGTGGCTTTAAAGCCAATAAAACAGGGAAATGGTGAATGGAGCAACTGGGGAGAAGAGTCACCAAAGTCGGGGAATCAGGGAAGCCTTCCCCAAAGAGGTGGCATTTGAACTGGGGCCTGAGTGGTGAAGCAGCCAGCCATGGGAAGGGCTTGGGGAACAGGATATGCAAAGGCCTTGTGGTGGAAACAAGCCAGCTGTGGTTGAGGAACAACAGCAAGGCAGCCAGTGTGGCTGGAGTGGAGTGAGCAGGGTGGGCCAGAGGCGAGGGAGAACAGGCCAGAGAGAGGGATTAGGACCAGGTCTTGTAGGGTCTTTTATGGCATGGAAGGAGCTCTGAAGCAATGAAGTGCCTTGCCCTGTGTCACATATCAGCCGAGACAGTCTGGCTAACTCTGGAGCCAAAGTTCGCTGCTGGGCTTGAGGTCCCTGTAAGAGGACAATGTAACCCAGGCTGGTATGGGCACATTCTGCATTTCCACTTAAACTCAGATGGCAAGCCCATCAAACTTTGGTGCCATGGCTGCCCTGGTAATTCCTGGCTGACCAGTGCAACCAGGGAGCTGGCCCATGACGTGGGTGGCCGCTAAGTAGCCAGGACTAATGTGGCCAAGAGTCAGTCTTCTAACCTTCTTCCTGTGACTCATCCAGGTGCACCCTGCGACATCTGAAGGTCAGGCTTTCAGCTGCTGTGGCTTCCACTTCCAACTGGCTCCACATCCCCAGGGAGAGATCACACAGCCCTTTGCCAACTCATTCTATTGCGTGTTTAATGTTCCTGTGAATGCACCCTTGAGATTTCTCTCTCTCCTCTCCACACAGAGCTTAGAAGCAAAGTTAAGAGACTCATCAGATTCTGAGCTGCTGCGGGATATTTTGCAGAAGGTAAGAATTCCAGAGTCCCTGGGACTCATGACCCTGCCTCCTGAATCTCTCCGGAAGACCTGAGAGAAGAAGCACAGGTGTGCTTGTACCCTTTAAAAACACCCCTGTTCAAGGAACAAAACCATTGAGTCAGCACTGCAGGTGGGTGTCGGCACCTCCAACAGCTCCAGCTCTTTCATTTTCTATATAAGACTTAGACAAAGATATCAGAATATACAAAATTCTGCATGAGAGGGGGGAATCTAGGGAAAGTTTTTTAAACCCCCCACAGCAAAAACAGAGATGACAGGTGCAAAACAGCTTCTAACATTTGGTAGATGCTCAGAGACTTTCTTTTTTGCATTCGTGAGGCCTGTCCTGCCCACTCCTGTCTCTTCTAGACCTAAATGGGCCCTTACTTTGCCCAGGGTGGGGTTTGGACTCAAGAGCATCTGCATGTAGGTGAGAGGCAGGATCACCACCCGGCCCAGCCACAGCCTGACCTTGGCCTTGAGGGCCAAGTGCAGATCACCCTGCATCCTGGGTCTTCACCTTCGAAGAGCCATGAGCCCTTCTGAAAAGACAAAGCAATAGACTCCCTCCCAGAAAGAAGTGCACCAGAAGAATACATTTTCCATACAAACTCTGGAGGCAGACATTGTCCACCCCCACCCACCCAGCCCATCCTAGGAGCCCCAGTGAAGAATTCCTGTGCTAGAGGTGAACCAAGATTATCCATGTGGAAAAGATGCAGCCACAGCAGGGAAGACTTTTGGGGCAATACAGTAGGTCAGGGCTTCGAGCATGGAGATACCTGAAGTTGTCTTGCACCCTGCTCTGAGTTTCACCCTGAGCATCACTCTCGTAGGTGGTGAAGCATGAAATGTAGGAATAGCTGCTTTAAAACCCAGCACAAGGCTGGGTGCACTGGCTCACATCTGTAATCCCAGGACTTTGGGAAGCTGAGGTGGACAGATCACCTAAGGTCAGGAGTTCAAGACGGGCCTGGCCAACATGGCAAAAACACATCTCTACTAAAAAAACAAAAATTAGCTGGGCGTGGTGGTGCACGCCTATAGTCCCAGCTACTCGGGAGGCTGAGGCAGGAGAATCGCTTGAACCCAGGAGGCAGAGGCTGCGGTGAGCCAAGATTGGGCCACTGCACTCCAGCCTGGGCAACAGAGCGAGACTCTGTGTCAGAAAAAATGAAAAACCAGCACCAGCCTGAAGAGCCTGTGTATTGCGTGGGGTACTTTGCTGCCCTTGGGCAGAATCTGCATCCCTCCCAGCCAGCAGGCACTGCAGACTGTCTCCTCCCTCTCCCTCCAGGCTCCTGTTTTCCTACCATCCCCTGTCCTGCTGCACTAGTCCCTCTGCCCTCCTTTCCAAGTGCCAGGCTGTGGCCACCTCAGAGCTTGCACCAGCTGTTGCCACTGCCTGGAACTTGCTCGTCCTGCACTTGACTTCTCTTGGCTTTAGCTGGAGTGTCACCCTGAGCGTCCCCTCCCCTCCATCCTGTCCCCAGGGACACACGCTGAAAGAGAGCAGTTGCCGAGTGGGCCTTCCCTCCTCTTCCATAGAGCCAGACAGTTGGCGACTGTCTTTACTGCAAACGCTGGTTCACACTGGCTCCCCTGGGAGGGAGGTGGTTTGGGCCCACGTGCCCTGTGTTCCTGCTCAGAATGGGCATTAGAAATGCTGCCATAGCCTGTGCCACTGCAGTGGAAGCATTTTTAGGAAACGGCTTATAGCTTAAGACAAACTTCAGATGCATGGGGCCAGAACGCTGTGTCCATCTGCATCTTTGCTGAGGGATCCGGTAGCCTGGAGTTTGCCCTCTGCCATGTTGGCTTGAGGCTCATAGGCGACTTAAGACGGGCTCTCGAGCAACCAATGTTCTGTCCCTTGCAGTAGACTGTGAAGCATCCTGTGTGTGTGAAGCACCCGCCGTCAGTCAAGTATGCCCGGTGCTTTCTCTCAGAACTCATCAAAAAGGTCAGTTATGGGCAGTGTCCGCCCAGTAGCAGGACAGCATAGCCACCTGCGTGCTGCAGACCTCATCCTTCCCAGGCCCTGGGCCTGCTTTGCAAACCCCAGTATGGCAGGGGCCTCCCCAGGCAACTGGCTGCAGCCGCGTGTGACCCATGGGAGACAGTGCAGGGCGGGAAGAAGGGAAGGCCAGCGTCTCTCCCTCACTCTGCCTCCTGGGGTTTCCGCAGCAGCTGCTTCTCTGGGGCCCCAGCTCCTAGCATATGGATTCTCATTCCTACCAGGCTGGTCCAGCCCACAGCACTGGAACCCTCACTCACACCCTCTGTCCTGCCCGCCGAAGGGTTTGGAGTTTCCTGCTCTTGTCCATCTCTGGGTTGCCCCACGGGCCCCTGTTGGAAGGTTTAGCTCTTGCCATACCTTTGGAACTACTTCCGCTGGTGAATTCTCTGCATTGATCCTGCTGGAATGAGCTCTTTCCTGACTGATACAGGATGGATTTTATTTTTTACTTATTTATTTTTTTGAGACAGAGTCTCACTGTGTTGCCCAGGCTGGATTACCATGGCACAGTCTTGGCTCCCTGAAACCTCTGCCTCCTGGGTCCCAGCAAGTCTCGTGCCTAGCCTCCTAAGAAGCTGAAACTATAGGCACATGCCACCATGCCTGGCTAATTTTTTTATTTTTAGTAGAGACAGAGTTTCACCATGTTGGCCAGGCTGGTCTCAAACTCCTGACCTCAGGTGATCCGCCTGCCTCGGCCTCCCAATATGCTGGGATTACAGGCATGAGCCACCACACCTGGCCTAGGATGGATTTTAAAGATGAGCCCGAACATGCAGGGTTTGACATAAGGATGTCGAGAGGCCATTCCTCAGTAGGCAGTAGCAGATCTTCTGTGTGAAAGGGCCACACTTTTAGCAAATAAACAATCCCCTGCTTCTCCAATACCTTCTTTCTCCCTAGTCCTCCCCAAAAGGGTGCATCTGTGGTCACCAGTAGGTCTGCCCTGTGCCACCAGGAGAGGGCAGCAGTCACCCAGTGTACCCTGCTGCTGCCCTGTGAATCTTAGGATGGGGCCAGCCGTGGAGAAGCAGCCTGCTGACAGCCACAGCCTGCAGCATGGGCCGCCCTCACAGTTCTGCCTGGGCTCACTTAAAAGCACCTTTTGTTTTCCTCCTCTCTGTCATGGTCATGTGGCAGCTCTCACAGAATCCTTGTCTCCTGCCCTAGACTACACCCAACCCTACACTTTCAACACCTCTCTTTGAAGGCCCTCCCATCCAGGTTTCCCTACCAAGTGAATTTTTTTTTTAGAGACAAGGTCTCTTGCCCAGGCTGTCCTTGAACTCCTGGGCTCAAGCAGTCCTCCCATGTCAGCCTCTAGAGTAGCTGGGACTATTCGGCACACACCACCACGCCCAACGAAGTGAATATTTTATATGGCAGCTGGCCGGTATTACACCATTCTATCCCATATCTCCCCTCCAAACTTGGTGAAAATCATCTGGCCATTTTTACAGATTAGAACGAAAGCAAACAAGCTCTCACTCTGTCTGCCCCCAGCACGAGGCTGTCCACACAGAGCCTTTGGATGAGCTGTACGAGGTGCTGGTGGAGACCCTGATGGCCAAGGAGTCCACCCAGGGCCACCGGAGCTATTTGCTGGTATGAGAAGGACACCCTCCTCCCCCTCACAGCCCAGATACCCTTCCCGCACAGACAAAGTGAAAACGTGGGTGTGGGTTCAAATCCTGACTCACCCAGTCTGCAGTCTTAGACATGAGGTTCGTCAACCTTCTTTAGCCTCAGTTTCCCTGTCTGTAAATCAAGCACTTCAACAACAACAGCATGTCTTATAGGGTTGTGAGGCATTTGTCCAATAGGTGACACACTCTACCTGCTTCACAAGGACCTGGTGCCCAGTCCTCAAAGAATAGTTGACAGGTCCGGGTGTGGTGGCTCACACCTGTAATCCCAGCACTTTGGGAGGCTGAGGCGGGTGGATCCGAGGTCAGGAGTTCAAGACCAGCCTGGCCAATATGGTGAAACCCTGTCTCTACTAAAAATACAAAAATTAGGCCGGGCGTGGTGGCTCATGCCTGTAATCCCAGCACTTTGGGAGGCTGAGGCGGGTGGATCACCTGAGATCAGGAGTTTGAGACCAGCCTGGCCAACATGGTGAAACTCTGCCTTTACTAAAAATACAAAAATTAGCTTGGTGTGGTAGTGGGCGCCTGTAATCCCAGCTACTCAGGAGGATGAGGCAGGAGAATCTCTTGAACCCAGGAGGTGGAGGTTGTAGTGAGCCAAGATCGCGCTATTGCACTCCCACCTGGGCAACGAGAGTGAAACTGTCAAAAAGAAGTAGAAAAATTAGCCAGACATGGTGACACATGCCTGTAGTCGCACCTACTTGGGCAGCTGAGGCAGGAGAATTGCTTGAACCCAGGAGGCAGAGGTTGCAGTGAGCCAAGATTGTGCCACTGACTCCAGCCTGGGGAACAGAGCTCAAAAAAAATAAGATAAAACATAGATACAGAAAACCACAAAGGAAAAACATAGCATATTGAATCATCACAAGGCAGCCACCCCTTCATAGCCACACCCGGCCCCTGGCCACAACTGACCTGTGCTCCATCGCCAGAATTCCATTGTCTCAGGAATGTTCAATGAATGGAATCCTGTGTGGCCTGAGATGAGTGTCTTTCATGCCACGTGACACCCTTGAGGCCTGTGCAAGCTGTTGGCATGTCAACAGTTAGCTGCTTCTCATTGCTGAGTGGCGATTTGTCCTGTCATGGTTTATTCAGCCATGTGGTGGATGGCTGCTTGTCTTCTAAGCCACTTGCCTTCTGATCGCTGGACTGACTCTCTCGCCTTCTCTTGGTGCTGCCCTCGGGAGGCTCAGTCACACTCTCCAAGAGCACAGCCATCATCTCCCACGGCATCACAGTCCTGGTCACATGGGATGCCGCCCTCTACCTTGCAGAATGGGCCATCGAGAACCCAGCAGCCTTCACTGATAGGTGACCTCAGGGCACAGGGCAGGGCACCGAGGCAGGCTTACCCTGGTGCAGTCGCAGACATGACCCCCTTTCCTCCCACCAGGACTGTCCTAGAGCTTGGCAGTGGTGCTGGCCTCACAGGCCTGGCCATCTGCAAGATGTGCCACCCCCGGGCATACATCTTCAGGGACTGTCACAGCTGGGTCCTCTAGCAGCTCTGAGGGAATGTCCTTCTCAATGGCCTCTCATTAGGTGCAGATATCACTGCCAACTTAGACAGCCCCAGGGTGACAGTGGCCCAGCTGGACTGGGACGTCGCGACGGTCTGTCAGCTCTCTGCCATCCAGCCAGATGTTGTCATTGCAGCAGGTAATGCCCAGCCCCGGGCATCCTGTGCAGGCGGTGTCCTTGCAGCTCTAACCAGCTCTTGGCTCTGGGAAAAGGGAACAATGGATGCTGTTGGGCATGGACATGATGGGGCTTCCAGAAGAGTTACTCTGGGCCTCCAGGGTGACATCAAAGGACAGGGGTGCCTCTTAAGCTGACCTTCAAGCCACAGCCCTCTTGTTGGAGACAGGCATACTCCCGTTACAGTCGTCACCACATGGCTCTGTCCCAGAGCCATGCCTGTGTGTTTCAGAGACCACAGGAGGAAAACAACCACTTCTGGGATAAGGACAGGGCCCTTGAGAGAAGGTGGTGTTTGGCTGGGCCACGGAAAACCCCTCACCCCTGCCAGCACGCTCAGTCTCCTCTCTGGTCGAACAGAGCTCTGCCTGTGGTCCTGGGTCCCAGCCCTGAAAATCACAGGTCCAGCAGTGGCCAGGGACACAGGCCCACCCCTGCAAGCCAGCAGACAAATCCGCAGACACCTGAAACACGAAGTTCATCGCAGGGTCAGGCTTTGTGTCATTCACAGCCCTCTAGATAGGCCGAGAACCAGAGCACGTTTTTTAAGGAACACCAGTGAGTCTGGAGATTTTTTTCTTTTGCTTCAGTCTTTTGCAGCTTTCTCTATTAAGGGTTCTCCTTTTTCACCCAAGTAATTGCCTTTCCATCTAATGGCCCAAATGATCAAATGGCATCTACTAGTCTCATATGACCGCTGCCTCTCTGGCCTCGCCCTTCTGCTGAGGTCAGCATGACCTGGAACTGTCCGCTGGTCCCTTTCAGTAACCTGAAGCTTTCACCGTAGACGTGCTGTATTGCCCAGAAGCCATCGTGTCGCTGGTCGGGGTCCTGCGGAGGCTGGCTGCCTGCCGGGAGCACCAGCGGGCTCCTCAATTCTACATGGCCCTTACCGTCTGCAACCCAGAGATGTGCCAGCTGTTCACCACCGAGCTATGTGAGCCCCCACGCCCACCCGGGCCTGCATGGTCCCCAAGCTGTCCCTACAGGACTCCAGTGGAAGTGAAAGAACTGGGGGCCGGGGAAAAGCTAGGATGCCCCACACTCCCACACCATGCGGGGAACTAGGGCAGAGGCCGGTGAGAAGGGTGGGCTCGGGTCGTGGGGGGATTGTGGCAGGAGGAGGGCAGCTCAGCACAGGGAGGGAGGATCTGAGCCCAGCAGCCCTACTGTGTGCTTCAGAGCAGGGTTCCCTAAGCCCTTGGGCCTCGGTTTCCTCATCTATAAAATAGAGGTGGCAGGAGGGGCAGTCGGGGTCAGGTTTGGACACAGCTGTGGCCTGCAGGACGCTGGAGCACAGGCTGTACAGGCGGATCCACCACGCCACTGTCCTGAGCACCCAGTCAATGGAAGATGAGCAGGGTGACTATAGAGAAGGGGAACTGGCCCCGTAGTGGGCCAGCCACTGTCCTCAGACCTGACATTTGTCAGCCCCCGCACCTGTGAGAGTGTGATATCATTGTCCCATCTCACCGACAAAGACACTAGGACACACAGAGGACAAGCAACCCCCGAGCTCCCACAGACTGCTGCCCGGCCACCTGGCTCTTGTGCCTCCACTCTACACCCAAGCCCCCCATTGCCACCAGCCTTTGCCCCAGCTCCCCCTGAGCACAGCCCCTCCTGGCAGCCATGTGCACAGATGTACCCGCAGCAGCCTCTGCCTGCACACAGAGACACGGACAAGCCAGTGCCTGTCCACGTGGGGCAGCCCGTTAACTACAGAGCCAACAAACAAGCCAGGACACGAAGACATACTGGGTTCCACGACAGAGTCCTGCACAACCTCACACAGGAGGCTGGCCGGGCGCGGGGCTCAGGCCTGTCATCCCAGCACTTTAGGTGGCTAAGGTAGGAGGACTACTTGACCCCAGGTGTTCAAGACCAACCTGGGCCACATAGTGGGACCCCATCTTCACAAAACTTACAGAAACTAGCCAGATGTGGTTGCACACGCCCGTAGTCCCAGCTACTTGGGAAGCTGAGGTGGGAGGATGGCTTGAGCCCACGAGGTGGAGGCTGCAGTGAGCCCTGATCTCACCACTGCACTCCAGCGTGGGCAACAGAGCAAGACCCTGTCTCAAAAAAGCAAAAAAGCAAAAAAAAAAAAAAAAAAAAAAAAAAAGGAAGTCTTTCTTCAGATACTTACGTGAAAAAAAACCTGCCATATCTTTTAAGTGAAAAAAACAGTGCCAAGCAGCACACATAGTATAAGCCCCCACCAACCTTTTTTTTTTTTTTTGAGACAGAGTCTGGCCTTGTATTGCCCAGGCTGGAGTGCAGTGGTGCCATCTCGGCCCACTGCAACCTCCCACCTCCCAGGTTCAAGCTATCCTCTCATCTCAGCCTCCTGAGTAGCTGGGACTACAGGTGCGTGCTACCACGCCTGGCTAATTTTTGTATTGTTTCTAGAGTTGAGGTTTCGCCATGTTGGCCAGGCTGATCTTGAACTCCTGACCTCAAGTGATCTGCTGCCTCAGCATCCCAAAGTGTTAGGAATACGGGCGTGAGCTACTGCACCCAGCCCCATTTTTGTTTAAAAACTAATAATAATCACCCACACGTGGTTATGAGTACCTATATTCCAACTACTCAGGAGGCTGAGGTGGGAGGATGGCTTAAGCCCAGGAGTTTGTGGCCACCTTGAGCAACATAGCAAGACTTCATCTCAAAAAAAAATTATCACAATAATCATTTTCACATAAGTATACCTATAGGAGAAAACCTAGAACATATATATAGCAGGCTTGTCCAACCTGTGGCCCTACACAAATCTGTAAACTTTCTTAAAACAATATGAGATTTTTTTGTGATTTTTTTCTTTTAGCTCATCAGCTATTGCTAGCATTAGTGTATTTTATGTGTGGCCCAAGGCGATTCTTCTTCTTCCAATGTGGCGCATGTAGGCCAAAAGATTGGACATCGTTGATATACACGTTAACAGGTGCCATCCTTGGATGGCAGGATTATAGAGATTGCTACATGTTCATGTCTATACTACTTCATTTTTATAAATACGCATTTTCCACTCGTAACAAAAAACCGTGATTGAAAATCATCCCGGGTCACAGTGTCTCATGCCTGTAATCCCAACACTGTAAGAGGCTGAGGCTTTGGGAAGCTGAGGTGAGCAGATCACCTGAGGTCAAGAGTTCAAGACCAGCCTGGCCAACACGGTGAAACCCCATCTCTACTAAACACCCAAAAATTAGCCAGGCGTGGTGGTGCACGCCTATAATCCCAGCTACTCAGGAGGCTGAGGCAGGAGAATCACTTGAACCTGGGAGGCGTTGCAGTGAGCTGAGATTGCGCCACTGCACTCCAGCTGGGGAACAGAGTAAAACTCCATCTAAAAAATAATAATAAAAGAGGCTAAGGCAGGAGCATCACTTGAGGCCATGCGTTCAGGACCCCATCTCTACAAAATAAAAAAATTACTGGCATGGTGGCATGCACCTGTCATCCCAGCTACTCAGGAAGTGGGAGGATTGCTAGAGCCCAGGAGTCGAGGCTGTGGTGAGCAATGACTGTGCCACTGCACTCCAGCCTGGGTGAAAGAACAAGATCGTAGCTCAAAAAAAAAAAAAAAAGAATCATTCTGGATAATGGCTCTTCAGACATCTGTGCTTATAAGAACACCAGCCCCTTCTAAGCTCTGTGTGTGTGTGTGTGTGTGTGTGTGTGTGTGTGTGTGTGTGTGTGTGTGTGTTTTGAGATAGAGTCTCACTCTGTCACTCAGGCTGGAGTGCAGTGGCACAATCTCGGCTCACTGCAACCTCCGCCTCCTGGGTTCAAGCAATTCTCCTGCCTCAGCCTCCCAAGTAGCTGGGATTACAGGCACCCGCCATCGTGCCTGGCTAATTTTTGTATTTTTGTAGAGATGGAGTTCCACCACGTTGGCCAGGCTGGTCTCGAACACCTGACCTCAAGTGATCCGCCGGCGTTGGCCTCCCAAAGTGTTGGGATTACAGGCATGAGCCACTGTGCCCGGCCACTTTCTAAGCTTTGTGAAGAGTGGACTGACTAAGCAGCCAGGTAGATGTGGGTTCAGATCTCTGCTTCTGTCCTGCTGTGCCAAGTGCTGGGGCAGACACAGGCAGAGAGTGGACAGCAGCATGGTGCCTGCTGCTAGCCATTTCTATGCAAAACCAGATTTCTGGTCCCATCCTGGAGGCCAATTCTAGGTACCTGGGTGGGCCTGGGAACCTGTGAACAAAGTATACTGACTTAGACACCCCCCACCCCGCCAGGCCTGTCCTAGCAGCCCCACACAATACGCTCATGTCCTGTCCCCAAACACCGCCATCCTCAAACACGTGCTCTGTTTCCAGGCTGGACTGGGATCAGATGGGAAGCGGAAGCTCATCATGACCAGAAACTGTTTCCCTACAGAGAGCACTTGGAGATGGCAAAGCTGAACCTCACACTGTAGGACTCACACATGACTCCAACGGGATTGTGAGAATTAAGTCACTCTCGTGGGAAGAATTTTTATATGGGAAAGCGGATAAAACTTTCATTGGACTGGAATGTTTGGAGAATGTTAAATTCCAAATCAGGAACCACAAACTGCGCTCTAATAAGACATCGGCTATCTAAGCATGTGGGTTCCCCCTTTCTGCCAGCAGTTCTGGTTCTTAAGAAAATCACCATAAATCAGACATGAAAATTCTGGCTCCAAAAATAGCATTTTCATTGTGCAAATAAAAACGTGTGTATCAAGTATGACATTCCCCCAACGTGGACACACTTGGTTCCTCACAAAGCCAAGCCCGCTGCAGCTGCCACATCCCTGGACACACTCGTTTCCTCACAAAGCCAAGCCCGCTGCAGCTGCCACATCCCTGGACACACTCGGTTCCTCACAAAGCCAAGCCCGCTGCAGCTGCCACATCCCTGGACACACTCGTTTCCTCACAAAGCCAAGCCCGCTGCAGCTGCCACATCCCTGGACACACTCGTTTCCTCACAAAGCCAAGCCCGCTGCAGCTGCCACATCCCTGGACACACTCGGTTCCTCAAAAAGCCAAGCCGGCTGCAGCTGCCACATCCCTGGGTTTATGATGCAGCAGGTGCTTTTTTCAAGACAGGAATCAAAGTGTTAGGAACATGGCAGAAAGGTGACACCTGGAGACCAAATGCAGGGTAAGGAGTACTGCAGAGGTCACAGGGAAGTCACAGAACAGTAATACGCTAGCAGGGGCATGGGGCGTGAAGAACAGAAGACAGGAAGCGTTTCAGAGACTCCAAAGAAGAAATCAGGGCCAACCACAGCTTCCCGAGTCATTCACCAGGTGGCACCACTGCCTTCATTTCAGCTTCCGGCCACTGGGAGGCGCTGCTCGAAAGGGTTTGCCCTGAGACACCAAGAAGAAGCTGCGGGAAGGACAGCAGGGGCCCTGGGGTTTTAGCCTCTGGCCCAGGAGTTATGTGTCCATAACCAAAGGGAGCACAGTCTGCACCCAGCTCTCATCCCATCAGAGCTGCTGCGACTCCCGCAGGTTCTTCCAGAACTGGTTTAGCTTGCCTGCAGGATCAGGAAAGTTTGAGAAAAGCATCTGCAAAATACTAAAGAGCAGAGCTTACTTCATTGCCTGTCCCCACCCCATCCCAGGTCACCACCTGGCTGAACCCAGGTCCCCGACCCAACAACAACCCCTCCCAAGTCCCTAACTCCCTCACTTGGACTTGAGACCCTTCACAACCCAGCAGCGCTCCGCCTCCAACTTGACATCATGCTTTCTGGAAACTTCCCCGTGTGTCCCACTTTCCCACACTTGGTGCGCTGGAGCACCTTCCGGCCTCTACATGCTGTACGTTCCCCTGTGAGCACCCTCCTCTCAGCCTCTGGCCAACACAGTCCCACCCATCTGTGGGTAACAAGGGGGTGTGGGTGTTCTTTTCAGCCTTGCTAAACTGTCTGAATCAAGGATCACAAACTACAGCCTGCAGGCCAAATCCAGCCCACAGCCTGTGTTTGTAAATAAAGCTTTATTGGAACAAAGCCACACCCCTTAATCTACAGATGATCTGTGGCTACTCTCACACCACAACAGAGTACCATGGTTCTGACAGAGACTGGGGAACCCAGTCTAAATGACTTCTGACCTGGACCTTTACTGAAAATCCTCCCAATCATTCTGTTGACAAGAATGATGTATTACTTTTTGCAATAAGAAACAAGTAACCTTTGCAGAATTCCACCCATCTTTCAAGGCTGGTCCCAGAAGTTCCCTTTGCCCACGCACCTACCTGATCCTGATCACTTCCTAAACTGCAGCCTGGCCCACCCGGCTCCAGCATCATTTGTGGAGTGTCAGCTCCATAAATCCAGAGGGCAGGTGGGGTTGTGTCCTAACTTTCCCGAGCCTACTGTACTGAAATGGGACAGCAGAGTAGGCCAGCCTCTGTGACTTCTGCTCCCTCACTAGCTTTTCCACCAGACCCCCCATGGTACAACCCTGGCTGTGGGAAGCAGGGATCAGGGATTGTGGCTCGGTGCCAGTCTCCAGAACCCTGCCCACCCTGGCGTGGTGGCAGACATGGCTACCTGCAGCTGAGCTGCCAGTTCCTCTGAGTCCTCAAAGACCAGGCCATTTTCTTCATGTTTCACCAGCTCATGTAAGCTGCAGAGAGAACCAAGGGAGCCTGAGAGCTGCCTGGAGAAGACACCAGACCCCTGGGGTGTCCAGCTTGTCTCCCACCCACCCACGCTCAAGCCAGGCTGGGGGTTGGAACAGGATGTGTGGTTTCTGGGAGCTGGTTCTTAGATTTGGCATCTGAAGGGTATAAAGGCCTGGGGGTGCACATCAAAATGGCCAAACCGATTTGAGGAGGGAGCCTTAAGGAAGGTTTGTACCTTCTGTGCTGGATGCTCTTCAAGTACTGAAGAATTATTTTTGCATGTTTTTCTTAATTCCATGGCCATGGAACAAGTAAACGCAACCCCCTGGGGACTGGTTCAGCACATAAAAGATGACTTTTCTAGGACACCAGATTTGATCCCGACATTCCCTGAGCTCAGCTCACACGAGGGGCTCGCACCCCTGAATCCCATCCAGGAGCCGGCTCCTGAGCAGGGGCCAAGGGCTCAACTTGTGCTGGGGCTACTGCTTCTAGAATCTCCTCTAACGCCACCCTTCCAAACACCCGTCTATGCTGGGTGGAGTGAGGCCACAGCATGACATTCATTTAACTGATTCAAACCCACCATGTGAGCTTGGCCAAAAAGGACATGGTGGGAGAGAAAAACAAAGAAAACCATGTAAGCCTGCAGGCAATTCCCTCCAATTCTACTCTAGGAGCAAAAGCCCTGAGTGGAGTTCTAGTATTTAAGGTGCTTTCTTTTTTCACATTAGGCTGGTGCAAAAGTTATTGCATTTTTAATGGCAAAAACCGTGATTACTTTTGTACCAACCTAAATATAACATGAGCTCTAAATGGAAGCGACTACTTCAGTGAGTCTCAGCCCAGCCACAGTAACCGCAGGGCTCCTCCTCATGGCCTCCAGTGTGTGCTGGACTGACCGAGGGGCAGGGCCTCACTGTGGGCAGCTCACTCTACACTGCTTCCCCCTCAGCGGTGGATCTGTGAAGCTATCCCCAGAAAGATTCGGGTTCTGCTCCTACCACTTGAAGTTCACAGCACACGCAGGCAAACAGCTCCTGAACATGTCCACCACCTTCATGGGCAGGTCCAGGCCACTGGAGGATGTGTCCAGACAGACACCCAGGTCCACCGACCCTGCTAGGCAAGAGGGGTGGGTTAGAGCGCTGGTCTCTGCCCTGGGAACAAAAATCCTCCCAGCAGAGTGAGACAACATCCCCCAAGGGGAGTGAAAATTGGATAAGGCCCCCGACATCCCCAAGCACAAGTGGCTTAAGCTGGCCACGCAGCCACACGGCCTGGCTGGGACATCTGAAAATGTAAGTTGACACATTTTCTACATAACCACAATTTGTTTTTTGTTGTCGTTGTTTTGTTTTGTTTTGTTTTGTTTTGTTTTGTTTTGTTTTGAGACAGAGTCTCACTCTGTCACCCAGGCTGGAGTGCAGTGGCACAATCTCAGCTCCCTGCAACCTCCACCTCCCAGGTTTACCTCCTGTCTGTAATCCCAGCATTTTGGGAGGCCAAGGCGGGTGGATCACCTGAGGTCAGGAGTTCAAGACCAGCCTGGCCAACATGGTGAAACCGCATCTCTACTAAAAAAAAATACAAAATTAGCGAAGCGTCATGGCAGGTGCCTGTAATCCCAGCTACTCAAGAGGCTGAGGCAGGAAAATCGCTTGAACCTGGGAAGGCAGAGGATGCAGTGAGCCAAGATCGCGCCATTGCACTCCAGCCTGGGCTACAAGAGCGAAACTCCGTCTCAAAATAATAATAATAATAATAATAAACCACATCACACCCACCACAAACCAGCTGTCAGTGTGAAAATAAAGCCAAATAGCTTAACATTTCTAAAGACTAGCTGGGGCCAGGCATGATGGGTCAGGCCTGGAATCCCAGCACTTAGGGAGGCCAAGGCGAGAGGATCACTTGAGGTCAGGAGTTCAAGACCAGCCTGGCCAACATGGTGAAACCCTGTCTCTACTAAAAATACAAAAATAAGCCAGGTGTTGTGGCGGGCTCCCATAATCCTGTAATCTACTTGGGAGGCTGAGGTGGGAGAATCGCTTGAACCCAGGAGGCGGAGGTTGCATGAACTGAGATCGTGCACTCCAGCCTAGGCAACGGAGCAAGACTGTCTAAAAGACAGTCTTGTCTTTTAGCTGGAGAATCCTGCCAGGAAAAGACCCTCAGCCGCCAAGTGCTCTGCTCACTCGAAGCTGGAAGATGCGGCTCTAGAGACGCATCAGGACCAAGCCACGACTCCCAACTTGGAGAAATCAACGGGGAAAGAGACGGAGACAAAGAAGAACCATCTCACTGGGAGAGGCGATGCTGTTTGACACATCGTCCCTGTACCTCCCAAAGCCACTGTCCTCCCACACCTGGGCAACAGTGGCCTCAACCCCAGGCCCAGCCCTCCTGCAGGAAGGAAGAGGACTGAATGGAGGGCGTGGCAGGATGAAAGGACGTGGCCTCCTCAAACCCATTGGTAAAGGGCCTCTGGGGCCACCTGGCTAAGAGGGGCTGGCAGACCAGGAAGTGGCCTCCTCCCGGGAGTTGAGCCAGAGCCCAGGTCCTGTCCCCAAGTGGCCTCCAGAGCCACCTTTTCAGAAAAAGTACATCCTGCCCACCCCTGCTCCCCCTGCTTAAGGCCCCACCTCCTCCCTGAGCCTCCTGCTGGCCTCTCACCTAGAAGCGGGGGTAGTCCTCGGCCCTCCAGCCAAGGGGTGCAGACCTGGATGTGCTGGAAATGCTTCTGGTGGATGAGGCGACTGTAATACTCCCTCAGAGGCCCTTTGCCTTCACAGAGAAGAGCACACACTGCCATGGACCCGTCTCTGTCCCTGCCACATGACCCCAGGCTCAAGACACTCCCCCCTAGGAGGGATCCTTTTCCCAGAAGCTCCACCCCTTGGCAGCTCCAGTCAGGCCCCATCTGACTGGGAGGGGAACAACACACACTGGAGCCTGTCTGGGGGTGAGTGGGGAGGGAGTGCATCAGGATAAATAGCTAATGCATGTGGGCTGAATACCTAGGTGATGGGTTGATAGGTACAGCAAACCACCATGGCACACATTTACCTATGTAACAAACCTGCACATCCTGCACATGTATCCCAGAACTTAAAATGAAATAAAATAAAATTTTAAAAAACTTTATTTTGTCTAAAATTCCAAAATGCAGGGATTACAGGCGTAAGCCACCGTGCCTGGCCCTGTTTTAACATATCTGAACAAGATTTAAGACATCAGTTTGAAAAGAGCCCCTCTATGGCAGCAACATGAATTCTGTCAAACCTGAAGCAAGAACAAACATCAAATTTACGGTGAAGCTGGGGTACAAAAAATGGTGAAATAAATTATTCTTTATGAAAAGTGTACGGGAAAAATAACCTGAAGAATCAGTCATTTACAAATGGATACCTTATTCTAAGAAGAGATAATACAATGTTGAAGATGAAGTCAACAGAGGAGGGACATCCATACCAATTTTTGAGAAAAAAAATCGTTTCTATGCCCTAATTGAGGAGGATTGACAATTAGCAAGAGATACTATAGCCAACACCACAGGCATCTCAATTGGTTCAGCTTACACAATACTGACTATAACGTGAAAGTTGAGAAATTTTACATTTGATGAGTCCCAAATACCCTTGTGCCTAGATCAGCAGTGGACAAAAGCAGAGCTATTAGTAACTATTTTGAGCAAGCGGAATCAGATCCTGAAGCATTATTTTGAAGAATTATAACAGGGAGTGAAACTGGCTTTATCAATAAGATCCTGAAGACAAAGCACAATTCAAGCAATGGCTACCAAGAGGTAGAAGTGGTCCAGTCAAAGCAAAAGCAAACTTCTCAAAAGCAAAAGCCATGGAGGTTTTGGGGATGCTCAAGGCATTTTGCTGGTTGACTTTCTGTAAGATCAAAGCACCATAACATCTGCTTACTAGGAGAGTTCTTAGAGAAAATTAGCAAATACTTTTGCAGAAAAGCGCCCTGTAAAGCTTCACTAGAGAGTCCCTCTGCACCACAACAACACTTCTGTTCCTTCCTCTCATCAAACATGGGTAATTTTGCAAGAGTTTTCATGGGAAATTATTAGGCATCAACATTACAGTCCTGATTTGGTTTCTTCTGACATTTTTTCCCTAATCTTAAAATAACTGTAAAGGGCACCCATTTTTCTTTAGTTAATAATAGAAGACTGCATTGACACGGTTAAATTCCCATTACCCTCAGTTCTTTAGCAATGGAATGAATGGCTGGGATCATCGCTTAATGGAGTGTCTGGACCTCAGTAGAGCTTAAATTGAGAAATAAAGTTTATATTTATATTTTTATTGTTAATTCCATTTTTCACTGACATTTTTAAATCCCATCACAATTCACGTTTGTCTCAAAGGTATTTAAATTTAGAAATCATATCAAGTGTGAAATAAAGAAAATTGTATATAGAGAGAGAGAACAGAATCTATAAATATGCATGTTTGTGTACATACATCCATATACATACATATGTGTGTGCATGCAGTAATTTTATTCTCCTAAAGCAATGCCTCTGCCTTCCACCCTCACTGCACATGTCCTAGTCCTGTGATGTCCCTGGAACTGAGCACCTGATTTCCTTCTCTGCCTCCCACATGAACAGGGAATAGAAATGGAAACCACGCTCTGTGGTTGCTGTTGTGAAAATCCATGTTCCCCACAGGCTGAGTTTGGCATCTTACATTCTAGTTCCCATTGTAAAAAAGCAAGCAACAAACAAAAACTACAAAAGAAAAAATGAAATAGTTGAAAGTCTAGAGCCACAGAGGTTCCAGATCCACCCACCGCCAACGGTGACCTCCACAGCCCTCCAGGCCTGAGGGCAGTTATGCCTGAACAGCCTGCCTCTTCACCATCCACGCAGGAAAGTGACTTTAAACTTCAATAGCTATTACTCTGTTCCACAAGGAACCAGGTCAACATTCAAAGTCGGTGGTCTGACAACTCTAAGCTTTGGCCGGAAAGTGTTGGAAACATTTAACGTGCAGTGGATGAAGCAGCCCGGCCCCACTGCACACAACACACTCACAGGGACTCAAAGGAAGAGACTCAGGATCCGCTGGGTGGAAGTGAGGACAGACCCAGAAACACAGGGGGTGGGAGGGGGTCAAACCAGGAAGGCTCAGGACCTGACCTCCTCCTAGGCCCTGCCCCTCTAGAACTCACAGTTTTTTCTGACCCAGAAGTGGATTTCACTGATGGAAAAGAAGTTCAGTATTTCTGGTCCAGCCCAGTAAGCTGCTCCCATTGCCCAGCCTTCCACACCCCTGCAGACGTCACAATCCCTGAACCCACTAACCTGACAAGGGAGCTATGCATCACCTGGAGACAGTCCTAGGCCTGCACTCCTGTGATGGGGTCCAGGGTCTGTGTCCATTTCTGGTTAAAATTGCTGTAAGGCTGGTGGCTGTCTTGGCCTTCCCTGCTTCCTTTCTGTTCTCTTCTCCCCTCCTCACCCCATGTGAAGTTTTTACTCAGGAGATGGATTCTCACCCCTCTTGGAACATCAAGGATAGTGCCAGAACACTGCACCATCCCCTTGACCCTGGGATTCTGTAGACCTCAGTCTTCTCCTGAGGTCCCCTCCCTCCCTACCTCATTTTTTTCCATACTTCTGGGGCCTGGGCCTGCTACACCTCAGGCTTCCTCTTCACAGTAACAGAGTGAGGGAGCCCCCTTCATCCTTGGGCTCTGGCCACAGCTCACCTGCTGCAGGACACTCAGCAGCTTTCAGTAGTTCATCCAGACATCCAGTTGGAAGTGGGATTTCCTGGAAGGAAAGCAGGAACCCAGAATTACACTGAATTCTAACACCAGGGCCCAGATTCCCCTTCTGCATGGGACACTAAGCTGCAAACACTACATAGGCACTTAATGCTCAGCTGTCCTTCTAACATCTGGTCCAGTTGTGTCCCTCCTCCTTGGAATATCTCAGAAAATGTATCTCCACCTACAGTTGTTTGAAAGCATCATCCTATGTGATTCCAGACCATCAGGGGGTGCAATGGGTCCTCACCAGTATTTCCACTCTGCTTGGAAGACTTAGAAAATCCTGAGGCTGCTCAGAGGGTCAGATTCCCATCTCTGTGTTTCTGTAAAACTTCAGTCTTCCCCAGACAAGTGAGGAGACAGAAAATGTCTAGTCTCTGGCACATCTTTTGCAAGCAATGGCGGCTCCCAGGAATCAAAACTATCAACGAATATATTTTTGAGATTCTGGTCAAAAGAAGTCATCCTGCAATTTCAGGTAGGATGAAGTGGTTCTGTGGCTCCTGAGGTGATTTTGAAAAGATCTTGACTCTCAGAAGGACCAAGGAGGACATTTCTGGCATTTCCAGACCAGGAAGAGTGACTGATGGACCTCCAGTGTTACTTGGAAAACTTTTTGTCGGACAGCTTTGTAATAAGAGGATCTTGCTTTGGCTTTCAGGCCTTCACATAGGTTGTTTAGATCATGGAAGTGTTTCTGCATTTCTGCATAGGCTCAGGATGCCTTCTCAAGTCGTCCCTGCAATTATGAGACAGTTGCTTTCTCCAGAGGTCACTTAGAATAATACAAGAGGCTTCACTCTCAAAGGGACACCAGACAATATAGCCACAGTCCAGCCACGATTATCTGTATTTACATACCTGTAAAGTAACACTCCTAGTTATCTCCATTAACTTGGACATCTTTCATGAATAGGGAAACTCTAGTGATTGTTATATAACAGCTGCCACAAAAATTAATCAATAAAAAGAAATGATAAATGAAAAATAATTAATAATCATGATAATGAATTCAATGACCTAAATAGTATGAATTTTAATACTGGTGACAATATAAACATAAGGATACAAAAATTAATGTGGAGCTTCCCCTAAATATATGAAAACTTCACAAATTGTGTCCTCCTTGTGTAATTTGGAGTCAGAGTCAAAGAATTTCTCTATGAAATGTGTTCCATGATGGCAAACATCAAAAACAGCAGGTGAAAGAAAAGCAAGCCGCAGGAGACCATGGGCTAATATGAACATTTGTGTGCAAACCTCTCTCATCAAGAACTACCAGCCAGAGGTGAAGGGACTGTGATTTGTGTCCTGCCCACCACTGGGCACACAAAAGCTTTCAGTAGTGCAACCAGATGGCTGGTTTGGCCTGGCTCCCTGCAAGGAAGACACGTCTCTGATCCCCACCAGCCCATCAGTCCTGGAACTCAGAATCCTACATGCAGTAAACATGAAGCTCCAACTCCATAGCTGACTTTACCTCCTTACTGTCCTTCTGCCATCTGGTGTTGCAGGTGCTCTCCAGATCTGGACTTCTTGGCTCCCTTACCTTTACCAAGTGAATTCAGGATGTATCATTCTCAGTCTTCTCCTGCCAGTCCAAAGTGAAACTCACCAATACAGGCATACCCTGGATGGGCTTCCTTGGAATATTTAGAAAACAATGAGCTTGCTCGGGGGTGGTGTGAGTTCTAGGAGTAGAGTTACAGCCTCCCATGGAAACCTGAGAGGACTTAGAATATTCCCAAAGGCCTAAGCAGTCCAATCTGTCCTGGAAACATCAGGAATGATATACTGGGTCTTCCTGAGGCTCCAAAATTTTTCTAAATAAACTCAGAGGTTACAGAACCATTTTTCTCTTGGGAACTGAAGTGGAGTTATTTGCCTTCTGCCAGCATCTCACTTTTTTTTTCTCTAAGTTAGCTTTTGAGCCCAGAAGTAGATATTCCTTGTATTTGATTTACACAGGGAGCTTCCTAGAATGCCCGTGCCTCTGGATATTTTCTGCATTCACTCAGGTATCGACAAAATGCTGCAGTTCTACTGAAAATCTCTGAGATGACCATTTGATCACCTGAGTAACTTTAGAATGTGTCTTCTATGGAAGCCCTGGAGCCTCCCTTCTGGTATTTCATACATTGCTGGTACCAAGTACCCAGGGTAATACCCTCCGTCAGACATTGTTGGCAATTCCAGTATGGAGATGACACTAACGTGATGGGGCTCAAGAATCAGATGGTAGAAGACCAGCTGGGAGGTGAAGTCTCAGTAGGCTAGGGGCTTAATGTTCGATGCACACCAGACTTCTGAGACTCAGGAGGCGGGTGTGGATCTGTCTGCCCAGTGCCTCTCATTTACAGCCTGGACACGCTATTTCTTGAGGTGAACTACTGAAGGCTTTTGTACGACGTGTGTCAGGCAAGACTCTGGCCAGACCCTTTGCCATAGTCCATTTGTAATGTATTTCCACATGGCACAGGTATCTCCACTTTTGCCTATGCTCTCATGTGGCTCAGAATTATTCTCCCTACTGCCACTCTTCTTTGCCAACACAGAAGATATTTCAAGATGTAGCCCTAAGCTTCTCCATCTAATCAATAACATGAGGGCTCATATGGGAACATTGTCACAGGCTTACAGGAATATGTTCTTAAATATCTGCATTTTTATTACTCTCTTCATTAAATTGACATTTATATCATCACCATTATGATTGTTATTAATGTTATTATTATATTGGTACAGTTCTTTATCATGGATACATTTTTGGTCGTTTTTATGCAATGTTGAATAATTTTTTTATGTTCCTGAAGACTGTTGAATTTGCTGAAGATGATTAAAAGACAACCTTAAAACATAAATACCACAGCAACCCCAGGACTCCTACTGTACTGCCTGGTGTCCTGTAGAAGAATGGGCTTCCTGAATTATTCTTTTATTTTTCAGGCAAGTACCTATTCATACCAGCATAGGAGACTGATGAAGTGCACCCTCATCTTGTCATGGGCTCAGAAAGAATTCGTACATATGCTTTATGTGATAGCAACTCTATGTGTAGGCCTGTGAGCCCTAGAATGCACTTTCTTTCAGCAACTAGTCCACCTAACAGTTTTCTAAGTCAAATCCCCTCTCCATGCTTGGATAGGTCATGAATAGCTTTCTGTTACCCACCTAAGATGAAGGGATATTGCTAAATCAGGTTTGTGGCCAAGAAACTTTTACCTGGAGTGGCAGGAGAGGGCCTACCTGTTCACCAGTGTCTGCAACACTTTCTTTTGTCTTCCTTTTTATTTATTTATTTATTTATTTATTTATTTTATTTTTATTTTTATTTTATTTTTGAGATAGAGTCTCGCTCCGTCGCTCAGGCTGGAGTCCAGTGTCACGATCTTGGCTCACTGCAACCTCTGACTCCCAGGTTCAAGCGATTCTCCTGCCTCAGCCTCCTGAGTAGCTGGGATTACAGGTGTGTGTCACCACGCCCGGCTAATTTTTGTATTTTTAGTAGAGAGGGGGTTTCACCATGTTAGTCAGACTGGTCTCAAACTCCTAACCTCATGATCCGCCTGCCTTGGCCTCCCAAAGTGCTGGGATTACAGGCATAAGCCACCGCACCTGGCCTCTGCAACATTTTCTAAGTCAGTATAGAAGCTCTTTGAACCACCTTTTCAGTCAAAGAACTCATGAAAAAGTCTCCAAGAACTTGTGACCTTCTGGAAATTGTCAAAATCTCTACAGGTGTCCAGAGTCATCTAGATCCGTATTGCAAGCCACTGACTGGGTTCCACCATTATTAAAGCAAATGCAAAATATGCCATGCCCACCAAAAAAAATCCAGAAGCCATGGTATTTAGCTGTTTCCATCTTTCTTGCCTCCTGCAGGTGTGAGAGTACTGAGTATCATGCCCTCCTACAGCCTCTGGAGGACATGCCAGTGCCTAGAGGTACCAGGAGAGAGGGGTCATGAAAGAGCAGATGACAGCCAGGTGGCTGGGAATGACATTGTCCTGGGGCTTATTGCTTGTCATGAACTCTGCCACTGGGCAACATGTGCAGGTGTGGACCCGTGCCTTCTCTGGATCCCTGCCCCATCAGCCAGCTGTCTTATCTCCTGAAAGCTGGTAGGTGTTGGTCAGCATGGTGTTCCAGGACCAGGGTTATATTAACATTCTCTCTTAGGCTGAAACACCAGAAGTTAACACAGGAGTCCCCAGGTGTGCACATACTAACCTCCAGATTGTTTTTCTTCTCGTTCTAGATGTTCATCCTTGCTTTTTGGGACTTGAAATAACCCTACACAGACAAATATTTATGCCTATTATCCACTTATGGAAAACCTATATGTCCCAAGCCCATAGGGTTAGTATTATTATCAGTATTAAAACCATTAGTACTAGTATCATGATGATCATTATTCCTGTTAATATCCATCAATATTTGTATTACTGCCATTGTTAATATGGATTTTTCATTATTGTACAGCAATGAATATAGTTTATCCATTCACAAATGGTGTTCAGTTACCAAAGATGACTAAAAGGCATGTTCTACAGACATATACACACACAGCTGTCCTGGAGACACAGCTTTGCCACCAATTGCTCTTTCGTAAGATAGGATCCCCCAATACCCACTAGTTTTTCAGGACTCGACCTGAGCTAGCTCAACTAGACCTGGAAAAGTTTCCTATGCTCAAATGTACTTGGAAAAATTTAAAAGTCTCTTCAGAGGCCCAGTAATAGCTTTTGGCAGCTTCTAAGACCAGGGAGGGTTTCTTGGCCATTCAGAGCCATTCAAATATGCTAAGTAAACTCAAGGATCCAGAAACCCCACCTGCAGTCATGAAATACCAGTGAATGGCCTCTTTGAGTCTCTTCAAGGTTTTCAAAGATGACTGCCTGGGAAGGCTGACCAGGAAGTCACCCAAGCCCAACCTTCTGCAGGATGTTCTATGTCAGCCAGGGACCCAGTGAATTGCCATTGAACAGAAGGGAGGAACAGAAACAGCATGCCTGAGCTTCTGGAAACATTCTAAATGTCCTTGTTGGCCCAGCAAAGACTGGTACTACCATATGAGGCACAGACTTGGCAACCTACCTACTCCAGAAACCACAGAAGCTTTAAAGGTTCCCAGGAAGTCCCAGGAAGGGCAGCCACGGCCCTTTAGAGCCATCAGATTTTATTCTAAGTCTACGTGGGAGACAGTGCGCTTAGCTTCATAAAAACACCAGTGGAGGTGCTAACACTTGCCCCAGTATCCAGTCTTTTCTACCTCATCTCAGAGCCAGGCAGCCACTATTTCCCAAAGCTGCTGTGCAATGAAAGGGGAATATTCTAAGTGCTCTCCTGTGCCCACGAAATTCTGTGGCTGCGCTGAAAGGTAGGAGTTGTCCTCCGGAATGCTCTTCAGAAATCTGACACTGGTCAAGATTAAAGAAGCTCAATTCAACGTCATACAAAACCAATCCCCCCCCCAAAAAAAAATGCATAGTAAGACAAAATGAACACACCTGCTAATAATCATAAATGACAATAATAACAACAATGATGATCTTAGTGATAATGCCACCAACACTGTTAATGGCAATAACAATAAACCTGAGGTAATGAGTGTTAGGGTCCCGATTCACCGATGTGAAGGATGGCGACAATTTCTGGCCTCACAGAAATAAAGGAAAAGTAAACACCTGGAGGAGGAGGAGGTGAACCTGGAGCTCCCGCCGGCCTCTGGGCGCTCCTTGGTGGAAGGAGAGGGACTTGGTCCTGAGCCTGCCCCGGATCTACCTACACCAGAACCCCGGAGTCCCCCCGAATGGGCTCAGTCCCACCCAGGCCAGACGCCCCAGAGCCCCGTAGCCCGGGTCCTCCAGCCCTCGCTGCCGCTGCTTCTCGCGGAGCCGGGCCCGCCCCCCGCGCCACCTCAGCCTCTGCGGGGCTCTGGGAGGGCAGCGCCGAGGATGCTCCGGGCCCATCGACGGCATCCGGGCCCAGCTGGGGTATCCGGCCTCAGGCGGATACTGACGCCCTGAGGGCGCGGAATAGGGCGGCCTGCGCAGGGCCCGCCGTCTCGGGCCTTGCAAAAAGAGCGGCCTCTCCAACGCCCCTACCGGAACCTCCCCGGAGGCCCCAGCCCCAAAGCCAGGGCGATTGCGCCTCCCTAACTATGGGTGAAGAAAAATCAGGTCCTCCCTGGAGACCCGGCCCGCCGAGGGAGGCAGACTGCTCATGCGCCCTGCATGGCCGGAAAGATGGGTTTCATTGCCCTCTGCCGGCCATGAGGTGGCAGCACAGGACGTTTGGCCTTAGCGGTAGACCTGAGTCTGAATCACTGAAATTCAGGTGTGGATTATTCAGTACTTTCCTTTTGGAAGATCAAATGGAAATTGAGTACGATATCTTGTGCTTTAATTAAAGAAGATGGAAATAAAGAAGCAAATACAAAAATCAGTATACAAAAGTCGATTGATTCCCTCTATGTGGAGGGAAGACGAGCTTGAATAAGAGAAGCATTCTGTGTTACGCTTTAATAATGGCTGGAGATCTGCCACCATGCATTTGTCAAATCCCATAGAATTTCACAGCACAAATAGTACATCTTAATGTGGCTCAGGAGTACATATAATGTCAGCTACAGTTTGTGGGTAAATTACATATTTAATTAAATAGATTAAACAATAAATAATTATATGAGCTCTGTCTGCCTGGACACAGTCCTTGCCTCTCCAACCAGTTTGCCAAGGGCTTGAATTTCTTGCTCATTATCCTCACAGTTGACATAAACCCTGGCTGCAGAGTAAAATCAATCATTTGTGGAGTTTTTAAAGTATAATGATGTGTCAATTTCAACCATGGATAAGGCCATTTAGCCTTAGTAAGGCCGATCGTATTAAGATTGTGCCTGTTTGGCAAAATTTCAAGTCATCCCACTTGATATTCAGGAAACATTTTCTCTTGAGTTTTAGGTTCAGTGGTGAGGCTCCTTCACGGACAATACATTTTCCAATTCTGAGGACAAGGCAGAGGAGGGCCCCTCTGTGAGAACTTTCATTTTGCTTCGGGAAAAGTACATTGAATCAAATATAGGAAAGACTTGCAAGGTAGCTGACAGGTTCGGCTGTTTTATCATGCTGGTGTTTTATCTTCTGGACTGCAGTAAAAGGAGCACAGCTGTGTCTATCTCTGTGTAATAACTCAGGACTTACCTGAATAAAATGTGGGGTGTTATGAGATGAACTTCTACTTCCAGTTAGAGAGGCTCCAGGGACAAAATTTCAAGAGCCTTCTGAGGGATAGAAGAGAAGAGCTCCCTTATTCTCTGATCCCAGGTAACTGCTCAGAGACAGAGGAAAGGGCTGGGGACACCCAAATGCATATACTAAGTGTCTTTGATACAGCCTCCATTTCCCTGCTAAATCTATGCAATGACACACTGAGAAATCTAGCAAGTGGGGCTGAAGATCCCTGGTGTGTCAACTCGAGGGTTGGATGGAAACAAGTGATTTTAGTGGACGTTGAAGTAAAGGGAGGTGAGCTGTGAGGAAAGAGCTGTTGAAGACTGGGGAGACTCAGAAGTTGGGGTAGAATCTCGACCAAGAATCTCACCCAAGGGGTGCAGATGCAAATCGATTTGTTAGGGCTGCATAAATGAAACAAGGGCTTTGCCAACATACTAAGTTTTTTCAACAACAGATTGTATTCTTTCAATATTTGTAAGTATTGATCTTTTGGAAAAGTTTAATGAGATTTCTTATATAATTCTGCATTCAATTTTTTCCCTGGTCACTTTGCTATTATGCATCTACATGCCACATTTTTATGAATAGATATTTTCTCAAATTTCTGAATTATTTTGCTAAAGTATGTGTTAAGAGTTTTTTCTAGAGGTCCACCTTCTTGACTCACTTTTCTGATAAGAAATCTATCAGGTTTCTTCACAGTGATTTTCAAGTTTGATAGCTCCTCAATGTGAGAAACTTAGTGTCAACTAAGAAATGAATTACCACTAAAGAATTTTCTCCTTTCAAGATGCTAACCATGTTTTGTCCAGTGAGAAATCTCACATGTGCCACAAGTGTTGCTCTATGAAGAAAGGATTTCTCATGATTTTTCATTGCATAACTTCTCCAGTAAGACGTATTTGGTATTCCAAGAGAATTCATTGCCCTTGGAAAGACTTTCCCTTCTTATTTAGCTTATGAAGGCTTTCCTCTCTTATTTTCCATTTTAGCAGCATTTTATCACTGTGTTTTCTTGTGAACATCAGGCCTGGTGCTTGGCTGAATGTTTATTCACAGAAAATACAAATAAAGGGTTCATCCAAGTAAAGTTTTCTCATGTTATTTGACAATAAATTGCAAATAAAAACATTTTAACACTGAATGCAGAGTTAGAGATTCTCTACTTGAAAGTCCCACATGTTTTAAGTTAAAGCTGTTGCTGAAGACTTTTAGTTGATTATGTTGACAGTTTCAGCTCTCTCATGTCATTTATGCTCAGATCACTAACAAGTCTTTGGTACATACATGTCATACAATTTCTCTTCCATATGAATTTATTGATGTGGACTGAAGAATAAAGGTAACTGAAGTATCTTCCATGTTGATTACAGTATTTCTTCAAAATGTTAGTCCTTTGGCATGTTCAGATGCTACAACTACAGCTGAAGTCTCTTCCACATTCCTTACCTTCGTCATTCCTAACACCGTGTCATCTAAAGTCAGAATATGTTCTGAAGATGTTTATAATTTTCTCTCCAGCGTGAATTTTCTGATGTTATTTAAGATTAGTACATTGACTGAAGGCTTTCCCACATAAATGGCATTCATATGGCTTTTCTCCAGTGTGTGTTCTCTCATGTCATCTAAGGTCGGAAGACAGACTGAAGGCCTTCCCACATAGAAGACAAGCATGTGGTTTCTCTCCAGTGTGAATTATTTTGTTTCCTCTAAAGCCAGAGCTTTGACTAAAGGCTTTCCCACTGTTATCACATTCATACCACTTTTCTCCAAGGTGAGTTCTCTCATGTCTTCGAAGGTTAAAGGATTGAATAAAGGCTTTCCCACATTGATGACACTTATATGGTCTCTCTCCTGTGTGAGTTTTCTCATGTCTTCTAAGGTGAGAACACTGAGTGAAGGCTTTTCTACATAGATGACATGTATATGGCCTCTCTCCAGTGTGAGTCATCTTGGGCCGTCTAAGGTGAAAGCAATTAGTATAGGCCTTTTCACATAGATTACATTGATATGATTTACCTTTAGTATGAATTTGTTTATGTGGTTTAGGGGACAAAAGATTACTAAGGGATTTTCCACACTGTTTGCTGACATAGGGTTTCTTTCCACTATGAGTTAACAAACACTGAATTATTGTGGAACTGTGAGTGCAATCTTCTCCCGAATCATTACATTCAAAAGGATCCTCCAGAATGAGAGAGTTCTCCTTTGGGACAAAGATTAAAAGCTCTTAATGGTTTACCCACATATATCTATACATTCATTTCACTACCTTTGAATCCTAGACCAACCATTCAGTGGTAGACCCCAGTTGAAATCTTTCCAATGTTTCTTGTGTGAAAGGAAATTAAATTTTGGGACCCCAAACTCATTTAACCAAAGGGAAAAATCAAGCTGGGAACTGGGTCACACAAACCTGCCTCCCCCTTCTGGTTCCTAAATAATATGGCTACAAGATGAAAAGCTACATGCCTCCCCCATATTTTGCCCACGAGGAAATTCCTCATGAGCTGTTAAAATTACACCATGGCAATGCAAACTGATAACTTGTCTTTACAGGTGCAGTCATCCCCAGTTCACCAGACACAAATGCATATCTGATTGTTTCCCTGCCCCATTTTGCCTATGTTGTCTTATGTAAAATGCAGCTTTCCTGCATTATTCCTCTGCCTCATTTGTTTATGTCATCTTATGTAAAAAAATCCAGATTCACTGAGCCAGAAAAATGCATGAATGACTATTTATTCTACCCACCTTTTACATGAAAATTGTGTACTTCTCAATATCCCACCCTTTCCCCTTTAAATTTGGAGCCTTCAAAATCATCTTTGGAGAAAGGCATACACCTGTCCCCTGGGTGCATGTCCTTAACTTTGGCAAATAAATCTCCTAAAATGATTGAGACTTGTCTTGTCATTTTTCTCGATTGACATTTGCATATACATTATCTCCTGCAGACACAGATATGTTCTCTTCTGTAACATCTCAACTGCAGGGTTATTGTATAATTGTGATGATATCAATATCTTTCAATGTCTGGGCATGAGCAAAGTATATGCACTTGTTCTGTTTTAGAGATCTCATGTTATGGTTTAGAACACAGGTCAATGTATTCACTAAATTCAAAGTATCCAATTTTTTTTTGCTTAGAAAGCACTTAATGCCAGCCTAATTACACTCAGATGATTGTGCTTCATTATGAACTTAACCCATTACCATGTCTTTAACTTAGATGAGTGGTGTACACAGCTATAAAACTTACCATTGTCATACTGGTGGGTGCATCTTTTCTGATGATAGGATGCATGGATATCATGTGTGTTTTCTTAAGGGCACTTTCCCTGTCTGAAACAATTGAAAAATAAATTGTTACATTGGTATTATGGTAATAAAATTGTTTGAAAAGCCCCAAGGCCCATTTACTTTTTTTCAAAAATTGACACTTAGATGTGGCAAGTGTGTCAAATGAAGAAACTACTTGAATAGAAGAAATAGATTGTACAATGTCAGCAATTAGAAAAGATTTTTAAAATTAAAATGTGAAAAGAGTTAAAATGGAGATGAGATATCAGGCAGGTAAATAGAGGGATAGTCTTCACAGGGGTATCAGGAAAAGAGTCAGCATATGAAAGTTTAACCCCAGCCAAGTACATGAATTATCCTTTTCCCAAAAGTAAAAGAAAAGAAAAAAAAAGAGGACACAAGAGTAGCATCTGACACATGAACAAAATGATAATAACATCTAAGGAATTCTGCTCCAGTAGCCTAACCTACATTTTAGAAATTATCACTCATTTAATAAAACCACTAATTAATATTCAACTGATATTATTCATTGACAAAGCACCTCCTCCTATTAGAGCACAGGACCCTGTTGCTTACCTGGATTCTGGTCTTGAAGAAATTCTCTTCCTTCCTGCCACAGCTCTTTTCCTTGCTCCAGCTGCAAAATTATATAGGATTTGCTTATCTGGTACCCTGTTAGTGGAAAGAATACATGTGTTTTGAGTTCACTGTCAATAAATGTGCATTATCACCAAGTGTAAGGCAGGCTATCAAGGAAGAATAAAAACAGTGAAGGTCAGCTCAGGCCACAAGACCTAGAACACAGAAAACTCCCCAGGATTTTTCTGACCCAACGTGAGACTAGAAAATAAATCCAAACCAAAGGTCCATCAGGAAAAGGAAATTCAAAACAGTCAGGACCTATGAATGCTGAGTCCATGCCTAAGTTCCAAGACACAATGCATAATACACAATCTTTCCAGAAAGAGAGTAATTAAATCTCTGCACAGTGTGTTTATTATTATTCTCACGCACAACAAAAAAATCATTCGATTTACAAAAATAATTGGTGTTCTATATGGAAAAGATATTGCTATTGTTTTCACTAATTGGTCTCAGCCTAAGCATAGACTAAAGCAGAAGAGTTATTTAGAAAATATTGAATTTAATACATTGAAAATATTCATCAAGTTCCCAGGTCTGTTATGAGTATTAGAGACTGAGTACCAAAGAAACCATGAAATCCTTGTCAAGACTACATTCTAATTGAGTGACAAACTAAATAAAATAAAATAAAAAGAAAGATATTTATTTGAGATAGATTTAGAGAGTTCAAACTTTTTTCAGATGAGATCTGTGAGAGAAGCAGAGAAGAGATTAGAGTGAGTTATGGGGAAGCTGTTCTAACACTTATTGAATGAATGAGCGAATGTGTGTCTACATATGTACGTGAATGTTGAGGGACTCACCGAGGGACACCAGGTGACTGATATTTTCCAGCATCACATCTCTGTACAGCTTTCTCTTGGATGTGTCCATCATGGCCCACTCTTCCTGGGTGAAGTCAATAGCTACATCTTCAAAAGTCACTTTCTTCTAAAACATCACAGACATTTTAGTTTAGACAGAGAAATCCCTTTCAATGTCCGGAAGAGGAAGGCTGAGATGACATAGCTAGAAGCTGGGTATGCAGAATACTCAGTGTTTTGAGTTCCAGCCAGTTCATTCTCAGTAGTAAGCTGGTATCTGCATTTCAGATTCACTCACAGAGATATACCCACTCTGAATCCATTAAACTTTACTATAAAGAAATATCGCATGAGGTGTGGCATAATATAACCCAGATATTTTTCAGTAATGTGTTAATCACCTCTACGTAACGAATTATAAAATTTTCACTTGAACATTCATAAATAAAATGAAATTTACCATGAATTTCAAGTAAATTACAGATTTGTCACAAGGCAAATAACCATGATTTACTACTTTTTAAGCACGACTGTGATGAAATAAATTATTTCTCTAGATGAACCACAGGTTTCTCACCAATCAAATGGTTAAAAGACCTATGATGTGTTTTGAATAATCTAATGAACTAATAGAAAATGTGTTTCCTATCTAGCAAATATTTATTAAATATAAGTCATTGGTCCCTTATTCATTAAAAAGTTAGAAAGTAATGACCCAGACTCCAGCATTCTTCAGAACTGAACAAGCTTTATGCAGAATATAGGATTCAATTCATACATATAGTCTCCCTAATGTTATATAATTCAGGTGTTCATGACAAGGCTTAAAGACAGTCTAGCAGCACAAGACAAGACCGCTGAGGCTGCTATACTGAGGAAATCTTAGTCTGATGATTCCTGTGATATGAAGCCTCCTGTTCTCAACTTTCTCTTGGCAATCCAAACATCAGTTATCATTGTTTCTCTTTTAAATTTACCTTGTCACTTCACTTGTTCAAAGATTAAAAAAGCCTCTTCATTTTTTTTTTCTAACTAGCCCTTATAAAGCGTTTCCACAGAACCCTAAATTGTACTCTATCTACTATATTCCTTCTTCTGAGTGTGCAACCATAATTAAATAATTATATTTCTTATATGTTACTTTCAGTTACCAGAAGGCAAAAAGGTTAATTACCAAAAGGTAAAATGAATAGGGATAAGAATAATAATAACTTCTTCAGTTGTCCTTTCACAAAGTTTTTAAAAGCTCAAATATATTTTATCAAACTCTTCTTTTCCCTCAACACTGCACAGCTCTTGCCCAAGTCCTATCACACTGGATTTATTGAACTCAGCTGCTAGAACATCAGACTCATTGTTGGGCTGTGATGTTCTGCTCTTCACTCATCTCTATCGCCTGTATTCATCACAATCCTAAGTCTATTTCAGCCAACAGTACAGTTAATGGGTCAATTATTTCCCTATGAGATTATAGGATGGATAGAAGAAAAAGAAATATATAAATGAAACCTCTCATATCTTTTTTGTAAATAGCCTTAATAGGGGCTGGAATAAAGTAGTGTAATATTAGAAATTATATTGATAATTTAGGAGTCTTTGACACACGATACCCAACCTAGAGTCCTGAGAAAACTTAATTGGAGGCCAGATACCGGAAAGCCTTCTGATTGCATTTGGAACACCCAGGCTGGGTGGATTTTACATAGTAAAAACAAACAAAAATAATAATAAAACTGAAACACCCATGCAAATTGGAGAAAACTGCCCATTTGCCAGCAATATGGGTATAATTTCAGTAGAAAGAGGCATCCCCTACTCACTAGTGAATGCATTGTCAGGAACTCAGTTTCTCTCTGTCTTCCTCTGGATTTCCACTTGCAGACACTTTAGGCACTAAGAAAAGCTGAGGTTGGAGAAAGAACATGTGAGACACCAGTCTTGTGCACAATTTTCAGATCAACCTGTGATGAAAAGCCAGACTTTCACTGAAGTGTGACACCAGCTGCACCACAGCCTAACCAACAGACACAAACATGCAGAGGCTTCTCCTCTTTTCCTGTGGTCAAAATTAGGAAGCCTATGACTATGGTTGCTAACCAAGAAGGAACACAGATATCTCGTGAATGAGAACATCAAAAGCATGGAGTTTTGTATGTTAATTGGCACAAGTCCAGATATTCAATTCCCTCACTGATTTTAAAACACAGGGATCCCTGACTCCATCCACATGTGGAATATGATTTCCACCTATAGATAAACACTGGGATTTCTCAGATTTTATTCTCCTAGCTTTATGCCCTAGCCGTGTTTCTCCAACACCCACCACAGCCTCCTGAAGACTTACTCCACTTTTACTTTCACTCAACTCTGACTTTTGTATTTCCCCTTGGAACTTGGAAATAATCAAGTAAGAATCTGTTCTACGGTCGAGTGTGGTGGCTCATGCCTGTAATCCCAGCACTTTGGGAGGCCAAGGCAGTTGGATCACCTGAGGTCAAGGGTTCAAGACTAGCCTGGCCAACATGGTGAAACCCCATCTCTACTAAAAATAAAAAAATTAGCTGGGTGTGGTGGTGCTTGCCTGTAATCCCAGCTACTCAGGAGGCTGAAGCAGGAGAATCTCTTGAACCCAGGAGGCAGAGATTACAGGGAGCCATGATCCCACCACTGAACTCCAACGAGGGCGACAGAGCGAGACTCTGTCTCAAAAAAAAAAAAATCTGTTTTAGGATGGGGATAATCAATTGAGGGATTTATTTCACTTAGAGGGTAAACACTCCCATCCTGCTAATCTAGCCCTTAAAATCTCCTGCATCAGAAATTAACAGGAGTACCTTGAGTCTTGGTGTTTCTTTCCTGTGTATACAGTCACAATCCTCTAGGATGCTCAGAAAATACAAAATGACGTAGGGGTGGGAGAAATTTAGCAGCTCAATCTGATATTTTACTAACGTGGTATCTAAAATTCTTGCAATCATGGTTTATATTAGTCTTTGTTAGTTGCAATATCTCTGATTATCATGATACATATTTGCTGAGAAATACTGATGTCCATGTACATATTCATACATAGATATGTAGGTATATAGGTGCATATGTTTATATGAATGTATGTGTTTGAGACAGGGGGAAACATGCATGTATTATTTCCCTGCCAAAAATATAAAAATAATTAAATATATTTTATGTACAAATGATAATTATGTGTCATAAACAAAAAATTTACTGACCCATTTGTACACGAAGTCCAGGAAAAATAAAAGGGTAACTTTGTATTAATTGTGACATTGTGCTTACAGATGTACATATACATCCTTATTTAACCCTCATAATAACCCTGCTGGTTACAGTTTATTTACAAATTTAATAAATGATCAACAGAGTTTGAAAAATATGACAAAATTACAAAATTAGAAAATGACCCAGCAATATTTTTAATTATATTCTGCCTGTCACTGCCTCTTCTTGCTTTTTGACAAAATTACTCCCCTAACCAAGGTTCTCTAAGATTCTGGGGACTCCAGTATTTAGACCCCAGTTCCCAAACATCATTGTGTCTATTTTTACTGCCACATTTAACGCACATTTACAGACTTCAACAAGCACTTTTCAATATCAACTTTTTTCTTATTCCTTGGACTATTTTCTACATCTGTTCATCAGGACTCCAGTAACATATGACTCCATCTGCCTGTCCGTTCCATGAATGTACCTGACAGTACATGTATTATGTAGTCTATAATTCAAGCAGAACAGATATTCCCTCAAAAAAATAAGATATTAGAGAAGGCCTACAAAGCTTCAGTGAAACCAGCTGTAACCCTTAATATTATTACCATGTAAGCTCTTCCTCGAATATCAAAATAAGATTTGGGCTTTAGAGAATATTTATGTGTAATTATAACCCAAACATGGATGAAAAGTAATTTAACTGGTCATATACAGACTGTGCCAGGGACAAAAAAGGACAAATATTATAAGAAAGTTAAAGCATACTTATTTCATAAAGGACTCTTGTGTGGAATCTATAAAAACTATTTCAAGATGTAGAGATTAAATATATTTTAAAACACATACATACACAAGCAATCTTTAGGAGAAACTTTTAGAAACTTATGTTATGGGTATAAAATTTTCATTAATTCATGGAAAAAAATGTATTGACAAACTTTTCACCAGAGCAGGAATAACAACTTATGTATTTGGTGACTTCAAGATGAGAGCCTGCACAGCTTAGTATCTCCCTCCAGATGTCTGTCTCTCTCTCTTTTTTTTTTTTTTTTTTTTTGGCGGAGTTTCACTCTTGTTGCCCAGGCTGGAGTGCAGTGGCGCGATCTCGGCTCACCGCAACCTCTACCTCCCGGGTTCAAGCAATTCTCCAGCCTCAGCCTCCTGAGTAGCTGGGATGACAGGCATGGGCCACCGTGCTCGGCTAATTTTGTATTTTTAATCGAGACGGGGTTTCTCCATTTTGGTCGGGCTGGTCTAAAACTCTTGACCTCAGGTGATCCGCCAGCCTCCGCCTCTCAAAGTGTTGGGATTACAGGCGTGAGCCACCGTACCTGGCCCAGATCTCTTAAAAAGTCATGAGGAAGGAGCCATTCTGCATCCTCAATATTACCTTAATATTTTAAGGGCAACCGTAAAAATTAAGAGGCCTACTTGTGACTTCCTAGCCCTTTCACGGCTATTTAGACACACCTTAGTGAAGTATTAGGAATGTATTATTAGGTCTCAAGTTCCTGGACAACAAAACCATGTTCTCCAACAGATCTTCAGTAAAAATAGCTGATGTCTATATTCTTTTGCCTGTCCTTTCCCTTCCTTTAATTCAGAACTGTAGTCTCGAAAAGTGCTATTATTTAGTAGATTCTCTCAATTGTCAACACCAGTGCTATACAATGTTGAATGACATCTCGAGTGCTAGGGAAACAGCAGCTGACATTCTAGCAATCAACAAATAGAAAAGCAAAGATCACCACAGAGTAAAAGAGAATAGATTTTTTTAAAGTATGAAACCAAAACGAATATATATCAGATTACACTATAAATGGAAAATCCTATTATCTTGACGGGATTGCAAGTCAGATTACACTATAAATGGAAAATCCTATTATCTTGACAGGATTGCAAGCCTCTCATGGCTTCCAACATCCAATATATTGAAAGCAGTTCAGGAATGGTGAAAGTGGAATGGAATTTAAAATTATTCTAAGGTTTTATGTGTGAAAGCACCATGCCCTGAAACAAAATATTTATTTTTAAAGTTCATAATGAACACTGCATACAAAGTTTGTGTAACAGGAGAGAAGAAAAATCTCACATTTTAAAAAAAGGAATATGCAACATATTTACATACAATAAAATAAAATTAAATTAAAATACAGCAATAGAAGACAGAATCTAACATCTGAAAATCAAGGGAGAAATCTATTTTAAATAAACTTGGCGCAATTTTTAAAGTACGTTATGAAAAACAATAATACCTGAATATAGTACGTAAAAGTACCAATACAATAAAGCTAAAACAATATCCATGGAAAAATTATTTGCTGTACATTATTTTAAAAAAATAATCTAAGTACTTACCTCAATAAGGTAAATGAATGAAATTTAAAAATTGCTTGAGAAAATCTGAAGGGAAATGAATATAGAGAAGAAGAATATAATTTAACTATAAACCACACAAATAGAATTTAAAAATAAGTGGTAGCCAACATGCCCGACACGATTTTCTGTGATGAAAGAAATTCTCTATATCTGCATTGTCCAATGCAGTAACTACCACACATATGCAGTTACAGAATTTCTAGTTTGGCCACGACTTTGGCTATTACTACTAAGGATATGCCATTTAGTTATTTAATTATAATTAAATTACAGTTTATAGTCACATGTGACTAGTAGTTACTATATTGGCCAATGCAGATCTAGAATCTTGGAGGAGGCAGTTAAAATAATGAGATATGGTCAAAACAGAAATGGAAAAGGCACACAAATAGTGAACACAGAATATGAGAATGGGAAGTAACAATTCACACAATAAAATGTAATAATGAGATGCTGCCTTGATGGGACAAATGTCTAATGATATACAAGGCTTGTCTTGTTACAGGTAGAAGAGCTTGAGCAGGGCAGGAGAGGGCTCTTCCCCTACCCACTAGAAATGTCAGGTGATGGCCTGTCAGTTATCACATTGCCTCTCTAAAAATGATAATTAGGCAGCACCAGAGAGAGGCCATTTCCTGATGGTCTACACCTGTTAACATCAAAAATGTGAATTAAATGCAGACCCCAGGAAGAAGCAACTTCTTGGGCATGCATGTGAAGAGACAAAAATGGCAAAGCATAATCTGGGGGCACACTCCACCGGAAAAGGAAAGAAAGCTTCAGATGGACATGCATATAACTCCCTAAACACACCGTGCATGCTCAATTTCAAAGGGTAAGGAAAGCACTGTGCATGCTGGAAACTCTCCCTAAAGGAAGAATCATGGGAAAGAGGCAAACCCGTCGCAGGATCAAGGTTAAAGGCTCTTCTCTTTTCTTTCTTGGACCTTCAGGCATCTGCTCGGGTCTCTTCCAAGAGAATTTTCCTCTCCTTCCTGTTCTAAAGCCTTTTTAAATAAACTTCCACTCCTGCTCTGAAACTTACTGCTCAGTCTCTTTTTCCGCTGTATGCCCTTCAGTCGAATTCTTTCTTCTGAGGAGGCAAGGACTGAAGTTGCTTATGGACCCATGCAGATATGCTGCCAGTAACTGGAATCTCTTCTACTGGTAACAGTATCATTGTAAGGGAATGAGGCCAGTTCACATCTCAGTGCTTGGAGAACTCACCAGAAATAAAAAGCTGGAGGATGCAGTGAACTTATCTACCTTCCAAGGCAAGTCTCACAAGCAAGCAGCAAGACTCTCTTTCCCCAAGGTCTTAAACTCTTCAGATGCTCCTTCTCTGGGAAAATGCATCCTCTGATTGGCTTCCCCTTATATATGAAAAAAATAATTAATAAACCTAATCACCACTACATTCCAAGAGACATGTCCTGATTGCACAGACACTGAATCTAATCAAAAACTTCATTCTGGAGACACTCCCTGTTCAATTTGATTGGATTTTTGAGACTACTACTAAAAACCCTCACATAAATTTGGAAACCAAAGAGTTAAGGCTATTTTGAAGGAAAAATGTGAAGATTAATTCCTTTTTTTTATTCATAAGTACTTTTGAGTGTATTATATGTACTAGAAAGCATTCGCAGTCAAGGGATACAGCAAGAAACCAGACAAACTAGAGTCTTATCTACATTCTAAAATTCTTTGGAGATAAACTGGACTTGAAAACAAATGGAAGGTGAATAGATATAAAAAGTTTCAATGTTCATCCTGATGTAAAAAAATAAAATATATTGCAGAAATGAAGTCAGGAAGTGTTATAGGGGTCATGTAGTGCTTGTAAGACCACTGGTATTGTCTGAAATTCAAGCAGGCTGCAGAAATTTGAGTAACTAAAAGGAAAGCAGATGCTAATAGAAGACAATGAAGAAAGGGCCTCAAAGATATTTCAGAGACCTTGGCTTGTGGCAGCCCCTCCCCTCAAAGGCCTGGAGGCCTAGGAGGGAAGAATGATTTTGTGGGCTGGGCCCAGTGCAGGTGCAGGACAGTGCTCACAGCATTCTAGGTCTCAGCCACTCCAGCTCCAGCCATGGCTAAAAGGGCCCCAGACATAGTTTGGGCCACTGCTTTAAAGGGTGCAAGCCACAAGCCTTGGCAATTTCCATGGGGTGTTAAACCTGCAGGTGCACAAAGTACAGGAGTACACTGCTGATAAAGATATACCTGAGACTGGGCAATTTACAAAAGAAAGAGGTTTAATTGGACTCACAGTTCCACATGGCTGGGGGGAGGCAGAAGGCAAAAGGCATGTCTTACATCACAGCAGGCAAGTGAGAGAATGACAGCCAAGCAAAATTGGTTTCCCCTTTTCAAACCATCAGAACGCATGAGACTTATTCACTACCACAAGAACAGCATGGGAGAAACTGCCCCCATGATTCAGTTATCACCACTGGGTCCCCCCACAACATGTGGAAATTATGGGAGTACAATTTGAGGTGAGATTTGGGTGGGGACACAGAGCCAAACCATATCAGAAGCCTTTGCCTGGATTTCTAAAGATGTATGGAAAAGCCTGTATGTCCAGTAGAAGTCTGCTGGGGTGGAGACTTCATGGTGAATGTCTACTACAGCAGTGCAGATGGAAAATGTGGGGTTGGAGTCCCCACAGAGTCCACACTGGGGCACTGCCTAGTGCAGCTCTGAGAAGACAGCCAACATCCTCCAGACCCTAGAATGGTAGATCCACTGACAGCTTGCACCCTGAGCCTGGAAAAGCTGCAGGCACTCAACACTGGCCCTTGACAGCAGCCATGGGGACTGACCCTTGTATCCAAAAGAAAATAAATTGTTCTACCATAAAGACGTGTGCACTCATATATTTATTATAGCATTATTTGCGATAGCAAAGACATGGAATCAACTTAGATGCCCATCAATGTTACAGTGGATAGAGAAAATGCAGTATATGTACACCATGGAATACTACACAACCATAAAAAAATTATGTCCTTTGCACCAACATGGATGCAGCTGGAGGCCATTATTCTAAAATAATGCAGGAAGAGAAAACCAAATACCATATGTTCTTAGTTATAAGTGAGAACAAAGCATTGGTTACACATGGAAGTAAAGATCGGAACAACAGATACTGGGGACTACTAGAGGGGGAAGGGAAGGTGGGGACAAAAGCCTGAAAAACTATCTATTGGGTATTATGTTTTCTATCTGGGTTACAAGATCATTCATACTCCTCAGCATCACACAATGTGCCAATGTAAAAACCTGCACATGCATCTCCTGAATCTAAAATAAAAGTTGAATTTTTTTTTAAATGGGCAAAGATCTGGCTAACACGGTGAAACCCTGTCTCCACTAAAAAAAAAAAAAAATACAAAAAATACAAAAAATTAGCTGGGCATGGTGGCGGGTGCCTGTAGTCCCAGCTACTTGGGAGGCTGAGGCAGGAGAATGGCATGAACCTGGGAGGTGGAGCTTGCAGTGAGCCAAGATCACGCCACTGCACTCCAGCCTGGGTGACAAAGCGAGACTCCATCTCAAAAAAAAAAAAAAAAAAAAGGGCAAAGATCTGAGTAGACATTTCCCAGAAGAACAGATACAAATGGCCAACAAATATATGAAAAAATTCTTACCGTCTCTAATCATCAGGGGGATGTAAATAAAAAAACCACCATGAAATATCATCTGATACCTCTTAGAATAGCTATTATCAAAAAGATGTATAACAAGTATTAGTGAGGATGTGGAGAAAAGATAACCCTTGTATACTTGTGGTGGAAATACAAATTACTATGTCCATTTCAGATAATAGTATGAAGGTTTCTCAAAAATTTTTTAAATAAAACTACCTGCTGATGAGGCTGTTGAGATATAAGAACACTTTTACACTGTTGGTGGGAATGTAAATTAGTTCAACTATTGTGGAAGACAGTATGGTGATTCCTCAAAGACCTACAACCAGAAATACCACTTGACCCAGCAATCCCATTACTGGGTATATACCAAAAGGAATATAAATCATTCTATTATAAAGATACATGCATACATATGTTCATTGCAGCACTATTCACAATAGCAAAGACATGGAATCAACCCAAATGTCCATCAGTGACAGACTGGATAAAGAAAATGTGGTACGTATACACCATGGAATACTATGCAGCCGTAAAAAGGAATGAGATCATGTTCTTTGCAGGAACATGAATGGAGCTGGAAGCCATTATCCTCAGCAAACTAACCCATGAACAGAAAACCAAACACTGCACGTTCTAACTTATAAGTGGGAGCAGAACAGTGAGAACACATGGATATTAGGAGGGGAACAACACACACTGGGGACTGTTGGGAGGCAGGTGGAGGAAGAGTATCAGGATAAATGGCTGATACATATATGCAATGGAATATTATTCAGTGTTACATAATAATGAAACCCTGTCATTTGTGACAACATGGATGGACTTGGAGGGCATTACGTTATATGAAATAGGCCAACCACAGAATGACAATTACTATATGATTTCACTTGTATTTGAAATCTAAAATAGAAAAACTCACAAAAGCAGAGAGTAGAATGGTGGTTGCCAGGGGCCGTGGTGCTGGGGAAATGGGTAGATGTGGTTACAGCACAAAGTTTCAGATATACCACATAAGTAAGTTCTGGAGGTCTCGTTTACAGCATAGTGCTTACAGCTAAGAATACTGTATTACACACTTAAAATTTGCTAAAAGGATAGATTTTGTATTCTTACCAATATTTGTTACCAAAAAAATAATAATAATAAAGGGGGGGGACTTAGGGAGGTGAAGGATATGTTTATAATCTTGATGGTAGTGATGTGTTCATGGTGTATACTTATCCCCAAACTCACTGAGATGTACACCTTAAATATGTACAGCTTTTTAAATGTAATCATAGCTCAACAAAGTCAGTTAAAAAAAAACAAGAGGGGTTGGTTAAAATACTTAAAAGGAGGGGTAGATGCTCCCTTGTTTTTCTCTCTTGGCTTTTTTCCTTCCTGCTGCCTGGAATTCAAAAATGATAGGTGGGGATTTGGCAGCCAAACTAGAGCCTCTTCTAAAGTATAGCAGAACAGAGAGCTGGAAGGGGCCTGCATCCCTAATGAATTTGGCAGGTATCTGTATTAGCCATGGTAGGTAGAACTATAGATTTAAGTGAGGGAGAAACCAACTTCTGCCTTGTTTAAGCCAGTTTGTTCAGACATTAATTTTATATACATATAGAGAACATATGCTCCTTTATGAGTAGGAAAAATGTTTATGCCATATGGTCCGTGATGGGTGTTCAACAATGTAGGATGAGGCTGATTATGATGACAATGGTGACAAATAGCATGAAATAATAAGCAATGAAAAAAAGATGGCCTAATAGTTCTGTATGGTTACTTTATTTAAAGATTCTGCTGCTAATATCATTCAATGTATTTGTATGCTGGTGGGAGTTTTATTAGATGTAGACTAAGAAAGTTTACATTATTTAATGAAAAATACTTGACCACCTCTCCCTCTCCCTCCCTCTCCCCCTCCCCCTCCCCTCCCCCTCTCCCTCTCCCTCTTTCCACGGTCTCCCTCTGATGCCGAGCCAAAGCTGGACTGTACTGCTCCATCTCCGCTCACTGCAACCTCCCTGCCTGATTCTCCTGCCTCAGCCTGCCGAGTGCCTGCGATTGCAGGCACGTGCAGCCACGCATGACTGGTTTTCGTATTTTTTTGGTGGAGACTGGGTTTCGCTCTGTTGGCCGGGCTGGTCTCCAACTCCTAACCACGAGTGATCTGCCAGCCTCAGCCTCCCGAGGCGCCGGGATTGCAGACAGAGTCTTGTTCACTCAGTGCTCAATGTTGCCCAGGCTGGAGTGCAGTGGCGTGATCTCGGCTCACTACAACCTCCACCTCCAAGCCGCCTGCCTTGGCCTCCCAAAGTGCCAAGATTGCAGCCTCTGCCCAGCCACCACCCCGTCTGGGAAGTGAGGAGTGTCTCTGTCTGGCCGCCCATCATCTGGGATGTGAGGAACCCCTCTGCCCGGCTGCCCAGTCTGGGAAGTGAGGAGTGCCTCTCCCCGGCCGCCATCCCGTCTAGGAAGTGAGGAGCGTCTCTGCCCAGCCGCCCATGTCTGAGATGTGGGGAGCACCTCTGCCCCGCCACCCCGTCTGGCATGTGAGGAGCACCTCTGCCCGGCAGCCGCCCCATCCGGGAAGTGAGGAGCGTCTCCGCCCGGCAGCCGGCCCGTCCGGGAGGTGGGGGGCAGCCCCCACCCATCCAGCCTCCCCGTCCGGGAGGGAGGCGGGGGGCAGCCCCGGGGGCAGCCCCCGCCCGGCCAGCCGCCCCGTCCGGGAGGGAGGTGGGGGGCCGCCTCCGCCCGGCCGCCGCCCCGTCTGGGAGGTGGGGGGCGCCTCTGCCCGGCCGCCCCTTCTGGGAAGTGAGGAGCCCCTCTGCCCGGCCGCCACCCCGTCTGGGAGGTGTACCCAACAGCTCATTGAGAATGGGCCATGATGACGATGGCGGTTTTGTCGAATAGAAAAGGGGGAAATGTGGGGAAAAGATAGAGAAATCAGATTGTTGCTGTGTCTGTGTAGAAAGAAGTAGATTTAGGAGACTCCATTTTGTTCTGTACTAAGAAAAATTCTTCTGCATTGGGATGCTGTTGATCTATGACCTTACCCCCAACCCGGTGCTCTCTGAAACATGTTTTGTGTCCACTCAGGGTTAAATGGATTAAGGGCGGTGCAAGATGTGCTTTGTTAAACAGATGCTTGAAGGCAGCATGCTCGTTAAGAGTCATCACCACTCCCTAATCTCAAGTAACCAGGGACACAAACACTGCGGAAGGCCGCAGGGTCCTCTGCCTAGGAAAACCAGAGACCTTTGTTCACTTGTTTATCTGCTGACCTTCCTTCCACTACTGTCCTATGACCCTGCCAAATCCCCCTCTGCAAGAAACACCCAAGAATGATCAATAAAAACAACAACAACAAACAACAAAAAATACTAGACCAATTTTAAAAAAAATAAAAATATCATGAGATGGAACTAAGCATCTGTATTGCAAAGTAACTCTCCCAGTTGATTTTCTGCATAGTAATGATTGAGAATCCCCTGATCTAGATCCAACAGATCTCGACCTTTATAGACGCTATCAAGGAAGCACCTAAGGAAGACAATTTTCCTGACTATATCCATACCTCCAGTTAGTAATAGATCTAGAGATCTAGAATCCAAATCCAGACCTCCTGCCTCCATGTGCGGTGGTCTTTCACTGTTGTTTTGTTCCACTTGGTGAAGAGGATTTGAGAATAAATAGCCACATGATTCAACTCCCTCCTCAGTTCTGAGTAATATAGTCTTGTCCTAGCAAGCAAGAAGCTCATACAGTAGTGGATGAGGCAAATATACATTCACTAATCTAACATACAAGGCAGTAAGTACTGTAACATAAACAAAGCACTTTGGACTTTCAGACCAGGAGAAAGTGGGGTGATTAATTCTTAGCAGGGCAAGTAAAGTCTGGGAAGTGTTCACTAACAAAATGTCTGGTCATTAATGAAACCAACTGGTTTCTCAACACAGTCTAATTTATTGTAACAATATAAATGGTTGTTTGTTCATAAACTTTCATCTTTTGCCAAAATGTTTGTAGCTTATGTCCCCATTTAACAAGGTTTTATGGCCAAAACTGTGCACCCACATCATACTAATGAACTGGCTGTCCAATAAAAAAAGGACTCTCAGTCTTCCCATAAAAGCAATTTTGCATGCATAGAACACGTCTATCTATGAATATGCCTAATGAGGTACACAAAGACTCTTATTATCCAAACAGAGACATTCCACTGGTGCTAGACAGCCACAGATGGAAGTTTTCTCTGCCTCCTGGAAATGAAGACAAACTTTTTTCTTTCTTCAGCCATGAGGATTGCTGTCCTCCTCTTCGCCATTTTCTTCTTTATGAGCCAAGTTCTACCAGGTAACAAAATAAACTTGGTAAGAGTAGAGTGCCTAACACCTTACAGGGATTCAATACTCAAAGAGAAATCACCATCACCTATAACCAGAAAAGGGGGTCTCATAGGAAATCTGGAAGACTCATTGGCTGAGAGGCCTGCAGCCATCTAATTCATTAATTCTCCATAGCAACTCAGTTAAATGAAGTCAATGGTGTTTCAAGTCTTTGAAACCCTCTTATTCCATCTCCAAATTAGGCAAGTTTACTAGCAGTTACTAGACATCAAAAATTAAAAATCAGGCATTATTCTACTAAATCTTGGTCTCCAAAGCTCCTCTAGTTTCCTTCAGCAACAGTTAGTTTTCCTAAGAACTGGCATAAGAGCTATGCCAAAGCTGTGGTAGGCTCAGACAGAAGGGATTGGTGGAAGAAGTCTCTTTGAAAATATTATTATAATCTAAGAAATCTTTAACCTATTGCTCCCCAATACTGTTGGTCACTGGGGCTTGACTTTTCCCCTTAAGGCTCCATCTCCATCCCTGGCTTTCCCTCTTCCTTCTCAGCATCTAGTCTTGTAATGTAGAATTTAAACACAGGAACCAGGGATGACCCCACACCAGGGCATAGCCTACTGCATTCAGCATGCAAACATTAATCACAGGTATAAGGCCCCTTGCACAGACATGCTTTGGAGAAGTGTGTCTAGGACTTCTTGGATTTGCCCATGGTGGTTACCAGACACCCAAAATAGATCCAAAAATTTTCTGGAACTCCTGAACATGTGTATTCAAGGATGAATAAGCAACTTATTGCCTCTATTTTTGCTGTTTTATAGAGAAAAAAATTAAGGCCCTGGAAACTGAAGTGCTTTTCTCAACAGTGGGGTAAATGTCAGAGTCAACACTTTGTTTTAATATCCTGGCTTTCCCTAATACATCCCACCCTGGAGTTCTGTTGTGCCGTTCCTTTGTGTGACTTCCTAAAGCCTGAAAAAAGGTGATACCATATCCAATTATATTAACTCGGTAGCACACAACATCGGGGACTGACTTATAAGATTATTATCCTTGTGGCATTACTGAATTCCTAGTACTTGTTAAATAGTCACCCTGGCTAAATACATGGGTTTGATTTTTTTAACCAGTTAAAAATATTTTAAAATATGTGTCTTACATATATAACCCCAGAAAATCAATGCTTTTAATCAAGGTTTAAAAATTCCAAATTTGGATAAACAAATTTTTTTTGTTGTTTTCATTGTCACTCAATCAAAATAGAAGCAACTAATTGGATAGAACAGCACAGGCAGAAGCATTACTCACAGTCAAAAATGGGATGCAACAAGACTGGAGAAGAAAACACAGGATGGTGCTAAAGAATGCAGCCTAATGAAAGGTGGCACCTCCTCTGGATGTCCTTAGGTAGACATTGAAGCAGAACTGCAAACTTTTTGTAGAAGGCTAGAGAAGAGAGGAGGACACAGAGAGAGGGCAAGAGTGGAAAATAGAATGAGGCTCAGAATACCAAGCCTTAGTGCCATCCCTATCATCTGTCTCACTCCATCACTGGGTGATCTTGAGCAAGTTTCTTTCTTTCCGTCAGCTTATTTCCTCATCTTTAAGGTAAGCGACTAGACAAGACAGCCTATGATGTTCATTGTAACTCTAGCTTTTGTTCCTAAAGCAAATAGCTGGAAAAGACATAGTGTCCACAATATGCAATACACAAGGTTTACAAGCAAAGAACAAATGAAAACAAAAGATTTTTAAAATCCCTAATGTTACTTGAATTCTTGTAAATGAACAATGGTACATCATAATTTTAAAAAGCCCTTTGTAATTTCAATTTTTTAAAATAATTTCAACCTTTATTTTAGATTCAGGGAGTGCATGTGCAGATTTGTTACATGGGTATATTGTGTGATATTGAGGTTTGGGGTATGAATAACTCTGTCACGCAGGTAGGGTGTACCTAAAGGGTAGCTTTTCAGACTTTACTCCCTCTCCCTCCCCTCCTGGTAAGTCCCAATCTCTCTTGTTCCCATTTTTATGTCCATGTGCACTTATTGCTCGGCCCCCCCTTATAACTGAGAATATGTGGTATTTGGCTTCCTGTTCCTGAGATAATTTGCTTAGAATAAAGTCCTCCAGCTGCATCCATGTTACTGAAAAAGACACAGTTTTGTTCTTTTTATGGCTGCATAGTATTCCATGACATATATGTACTACATTTGCTTTATTCAATCCACTGTTGATGAACACCTAGTTTGATTCCATACCTTTGCTACTGTGAATACCACTGTGATGAACATACAAATTTAGGTCTTTTTACAAGACTGATTTATTTTCCTTTGGATATACACCCAGTAGTGAGATTACTGGGTCAAATGGTAGTTCTGTATTAAGTTTCTTGAAAAGTGGTTTGAAAATATAATGCTCAATAGAATCAGGTATAGTAACATAGTACACATGATTCAAAGACCTGTGAACCGAGAGTAACAACAAATTTCTGCACAAACATATTGCAAGTTAGAAAACAGCTGTATTTTAATCAATTATTCCACAATCATTTACTGAATAGCTATTATAAGCCAAGACTTTAATCAGATTCTGGAATATACATACAGAGGAGAATAAGATATGATTCCTGCCCTCAAGAAATTCATTATCAAGAATTGAGGTCAGATGAGAAAACACCACCCGTAGTAGAATGCAAGAAGTACTACCACAGAGGGATGTTCAAGAGTGATTTATCACATATCACAAGACAGGTCAGTGGTTCATCCTCTACACTATACTAATCTCTTATGACTCTTCCAGCTGCAAAGGGCCAATTTTAGCACAAGGCCAGTGGGCTTGGGTACTACTATACGTAGTAGCTGACTACTTACAGATAAAAGGAAGAGATGGAAAGCTCAGGGATCAAAAAACTCAGATTTCAGCTTGTTTCTACTAAGTGACCAACATCTAGAATTATCATTGTCTTCAAAAAAGCATGACCTTTATTTCCCAATTTGCATTATAGATATAAATATGATATTGCATATATTTGGTCTTCACATCAAGCCACTAACTGCTTTGTGACCACTGAAAAGTTAAATGGAACCTAATGCATTTGGATTTCAGTTCAGTTAAATAGGCATTTATTGAATGTTTATTAAAATTGCTGTACTGATTGAAAGCTATTCTAGAATTGGCTTTTGTGTTCCAGAATAGAAAAAAAAAAGTGCTGGTTTTTATACCTCTCTTATTGCCAAGAAGTTGTCATGGAAAAGGTGCTCTGTGTTACATACAAAGGCTGCTCAGAATTAAAACACTTTTCAAACTAAATACCTCAGTGTGTGTGGCCTATCCCCAGAGCAGTGATATCTTAGGACATAAATGAAATACTATACAATGTTTTCAACAAGTATAGTTTTTCAGCCTTTAAGAAGACCTTGAATGTTTCACTCTTAATATATGCAATGGTTTCTAGAGAAAAATTGCAACCTCAAATACCCGTGCCAGAGATATAAGTAGTGAGTGAAGTCTCAGGGTGTAACAAGTACTGGCACAGATATATTTGTGTATTAAACACATAGGAATATTGTTCCCTTCCACAGGAAAAATATCCTCTCTAACAATTAAAGTATATTGTCTTTTAGGTCTATATTTCAGTTCTACTTTTGAAAGATACATCTATTATAATCTATCATATAGAGTGTGTGTTTGTGTGTGTGTGTGTGTGTCTGTGTGTGTAGAAATAAAAAGAGATGAACCAAAAGAGATTTTCTTCTCTTTCGCTCCAGGAAAATCCATAGTGCAAGACATTAAATTTTTTTAAAAGGCTGAAATCTCCCATCAGTGTTAGAAGATAATAAGGAAGAAATAAACTGAAACTTGCATGCTCTAGAACTTGTAAAGGGGAGCGGGCTACTCACCTCCAGCCTTTTGTCATGTAGGTGCACCCAATATTCTCAGATTTTTCAAGAACACCAAAAAATCCAAATCTTTGTGTGACAGCAGATTTTTAAGTGTTTAAGAAATCAAATCACACACACACACACACACACACACAAATCCACACAAGATTATTTTCAAGCACTGCCCCCTACATCCATGTAATTCAACACAAAGTAAAGAAAGACTGGTGAATGGTTACAATAACCCTCTTCTTCATGTAGCCAGGGGCAAATTCAAGGAGATCTGTGAACGTCCAAATGGCTCCTGTCGGGACTTTTGCCTTGAAACAGAAATCCATGTTGGGAGATGTTTAAATAGCCAACCCTGCTGCCTGCCTCTGGGGCATCAACCAAGAATTGAGAGCACTACACCCAAAAAGGACTGAAGCCTGTTGTTTTCTGGAGGTTTTATGTTCTCTTTTTTCTCTCTCCCTCTCTCTGTCTCCCTGTCTCCCTTTCCCTCTCTCCATTTTTCTCACAGGGATTTTTATTGAATCCTCAAAAAAGAATAAACCAAAACCAACCAGCACAAAACTCTTTTAAAAGTTTATATTACTGGCTGGGTGCGGTGACTCATGCCTGTAATCCTAGCACTTTGGGAGGCCAAGGTGGGTGGATCATGAGGTCAGGAGATCAAGACCATTCTGGCCAACATGGTGAAACCCTGTCTCTTTTAAAAATACAAAAATTTAGCCAGGCATGGTGGCAGGCACCTGTAATCCCAGCTACTCAGGAGGCTGAAGCAGAATCGCTTGAACCCATGAGGTGGAGGCTGCAGTGAGCCGAGATCCTGACACTGCACTCCAGCCTGGGAGACAGAGAAAGACACTGTCTCAAAAAAAAAAAAAGAAAGAAAGAAATAAGTTTATATTACATGTTATGACTTGATTACTGTTTGGTTTCCAGTATCTTTCTATCCCATCTAGATGAGCTCTTAGTTGAAAATGACCTGCAGCAGGGTGGGGGAACTTTCACCATACCTATTGCTTTTGTCTCGCACTGTAACCCTTCACCCTGAGTGTGGGAAGACCACTCCCCTTTTTTACTGGGAAAATGCACCATCCTATTCCATGCAGCCTTGCAGGGGTCTGTCTCTCCCTGATAAAGGTGCAGCACATGGGAAAATTACACAATCACGTCAACCAGACTTCACCAGAAATCTAAATTATAAAAAGAGGTGCACTCAGATTAAAGGCAATTTCTTCAGCACCCTTTTCAAAGGCAATTCCCTGGGTCTGTACCTGTATGCCTGGCCAAGATTCAGGGAATTCCTTTAGTCCCCAGCTTTTTCTGGGCATAATCATTCAGCATTTTCTTCCATCTTTTAAAACACTGCATTGGCTTCCTAAGGCTGCTATCAAAAATTACAACAAACTTAGTGGCTTAAAGCAACACAAATGCATTATCTGACAGTTCTATAGGCTGCAGGTTTCAGATGGATCTCAGCGGGCCAACATCAAGGTGTCAGCAGGGCTGAGCTTTCTTCTGGAAGCTCTGCAGTTTTCTTCCTGCACCTTTATCCCAGCAATGGCAGGTTAGTCCTGTGCACCATAGCTTCCTTCATCCATTTTCAAAGCCAGCAAAGGAGCGTTGAGTCCTCACATTCCATCATTCTGAATTCTTCTTCTCCCCACTGTTCCATTTTTTAGGACTCATGATTACATTGGGCCCACCTGGATGATCTAAGATAATCTCCCTATTTTAAGGTCAGCTGATTAACAGCCTTAATTTCACATGAAACCTCAATTTCCCTTTGCCTTACAAGGTGGCATATTCACAGGACCCAGGAGTTAGAATGTGGATAGCTTTGGTGGGAGACAGAGGGGACATTATTCTACCTACTACAGCCACTGAGTGCTTTTGCCACCTGTCACCATTTTGCTCCATTTAGACACAACTTTAGTTGCTTTGTGTGAAGAGATTCTCATTCATAGAGTTTTCATTTTTGTGTAAAGTAGTGGGGGGCCTCCCCTTGGTTATTGAAAGAGTATAGAATCAAGATATTTAAAAGTATATTAGCTGGATTTTATTTTTCACCATGCCTGATTTGGCCAAGAAAGAATGTTAAGTTATGTCACGTGGGCTACTTGAAATCTCAAAAAGTTCAAAACATTGGGTTCAAAATCTCAGAGACTGAGATATATTCCAACCAACTCGGCCCTGTGGAAGTGCCAAGTTTTCCTCAGTGCCACTCTTGAAACTACATCACCAACTGACCCTTTAATATATTTTTGCACTATATAACATTTATTTCTTAGAGTAAGTTCTTCCCTAGAAAAGAAGCAGTTTGGACACGTATATTAAGGCCGTCACATAGAATATTATCCTCTCATTGCTAGGAGGTGGCCTTCAAGATGGCTGACTAGAGGTACCAGGCACTGTGCCCTCCCAAAGAAAGACCAAACCAGCAAGTAGATAATCATACCTTGAAGAGGGCATAAAAGAGGGCACTAGAATTCAGCAGCAAAGTGACAAGGAATCTCTGAGGTATGGAAGGAAAGGAAAATGAAGCAGCAGCCCAGCCAGAATCAGCTTAAAGCCAGGACAGGCTCTCCAGTGTGGTGAAAAGGTAAAAAAGAGAGCCCCAGTGGTCCATATTCCCACTGTGGACACTGCAATCCTAGCCAAGGGACAGTCTCTCAGCCCTCGCAGGCCCTGAGACTACTATAGGGAGCTGCCTGGAATCTATGTGATGGTCATTGTCCCAGAGAAGGAGTTGGCACTGGATCATCTGCACCCACCCCCAGACACAGGCAGCTGTGGCACAGTGCCATTTTGAGAGCCCAGCCCCCAACAGACTACATCTTGCCCTGGGGCCCAACATCCCCTGCATCTCCACATCTCTGGACCCTCAGTGACATTCCCTCTTGTCCATCCAGAGGCCTGCAGAGTCACAATACCAGCTGAACTCACCAGTGTAGGCTGGTCCCCATCACTCTAGCCTACAAAGTGTCCTGCACTCCAGGGAACTGGCAGTGCCATTCACTAGGGAGGCTGCCCCCAGAACAAAGGGAGCTGAAGCAGGCACTCTTCACAAGTGGAGTGTCACCTTCCCAGGGCCACTGACACTGACAGCTATCCTGACCCCCAGGAGCAGGGCCACTGCACACCTGCAGGCATCCTCAGGGGATCTGGGGACTCGCCTGCCTGGGCACTATTCCAGGGCCAGAACACATGCCCATCCCACCCATTGCTGTCACTACCACTACCCAAGCTCGTTGTCCAGGAGGCTGGGGATCAACCCACACTGCTCTCTGTCATTGGCACCTGTGCATGCCTTCTTGTGACCTGAGTATGAGCCCACCCAGCCTGGTGGTGCCTGTGCACATTGTCTGGGAGCCTGGGGATTAATCCACTATGCCTATCACCATCAAGTGCCTGTGTGTCTCCTGAGAGCCTAAGGATAGGACTTCCTAGCCTGCCATCACCGCTGCCACCAGTGCCAACATATTTGCACCAGGTGAAAGCCTGAGGACTACTCTGTCCATCATGTTGCCATGACTGTTGGTGTCTGCACATGCCATCTGGGGTCCCAAGAGTTCACCTGCTATGACTACTGCAATTGCTGATGCTACACATGCCTCCCAGGGTCTTGAGGGCATGCCTATCTACCTAGCTCACCACTGTCACTGCTGGCACTTGAGAAAGCCACCTGACTCACGCCTGTAATCCTAGCACTTTGGAAAGCTGAGGGGGGCAGATCACCCGAGGTCGGGAGTTCGAGACCAGCCTGACCAACATGGAGAAACTCCATCTCTACTAAAAAAAAAAAAAAAAAAACACTACAAAATTAGCCGAGCGTGGAGGCCCATGCCTGTAGTCCCAGCTACTCAGGAGGCTGAGGCAGAAGAATTGCTTGAACCCGGGAGGCAGAGGTTGCAGTGAGCTGAGATCACGCCACTGCACTCCAGCCTGGGCAACAAGAGCAAAACTCCTTCTCAAAAACAAACAAACAAACAAAAAAAGCCACCTGAAGGCCCAAGGATGGCCTGCCTGAAACTTCAACCACTAGTGCCCACGTAAATCACCCACAAGTTCAAAGACCAATGCAACTGGTGCCCAAGGACCAAACTGCCTGGCCTGTCTTTCCCCAGCAAAATCTCACCACAGCCTCCATCAACAATGAAGGCTAAGACACTGAGGAGCTCACAGACATCAGTGATGCTGATTATAGCTGAAGAAATCATAGAAGTCTAAACTACTGAACCAACCCAGAACTAAAGGCAAAGTGTCTTACTGATTCAACAGTATAGATACAGCTACAGAAGTCAGTCGTTTACTACCAAAGCCAATCTATAAAATTAGAAGAAGCAACTGTTTTACCAGATATTCAAATATCAATGTAAGGACATAAGAAACATTAAAGAGCAAGGAAATATAGCATCTCTGAAGGAAAAACAATAATTCTCCAGCAACAGATTTCAACCAAACAAATCCATAAAATCAGTGAAAAGGAATTTAACAGCTGAAATTGAATAATTCAATAAATAAAATAATACAATTTGAGAACCTCAACAATAGACTAGATTAAGAAGATGAAAGAATTTCTAAACATAAAGATCGGTCTTCATATACAGGATTAAATGGATTAAAGACTTAAATGTGAAACACAAAACTATAAGAACCCTGGAAGACAACCTAGGCAATACCATTCAGGACATAGGCATGGGCGAAGATTTTATAACAATGACACCAAAAGCAATTGTGAAAAAAGCAAAAAATTGACGAATGGGATGTAATTAAACTAAAGAGCTTCTGGGCAGCAAAAAAAAACTATTAACAGAGTAAAAAGACAACCTGCAGAATGGGAGAAAATTTTTGCAAGCTATGCATTCGACAAAGGTCCAATATACAGCATCCACAAGGAACTTAAACAAATTTACAAAAAAAAAAAAAAAACCTTTAAAAAGTAGGCAAAGACATGAACAGACACTTCTCAAAAGAAGACATACATGCTGCCAACAATCATATGAAAAAAAAGCTCAAGGGTCATGAGGGATTATGACAGACAGGAGGCAGAACTAGATTGCAGCTCTGGACAGAGCAGCATGCGGAGGCTTGCATTGTGAGTTTTAGCTCCAGATGGACTGCAAGAACAGACTAGCAATCCTCACAGGACCCACAGACCCCCCGAAGGAAGCAGACTGCTCTTGCAGGACCTGGGAGACACCCCAAATACTTTTAAGTCCCCTAACCACGGAAATGGGAAAGGGAGACCCTCATCTCCTGAACACACACCCCCACTGGAGAAGCTGAAAGTCTGTTTGTGGGAGAAGTTCCTGACTTCACCTGGAGCTGAGTCAAGTTAGAGAGCTGAGCTGAGAGACATACAGGAGTAGAGGAAGTAGCAGAAAGGCACTGGAAGGCCGCTGGATCCCCAAGTAACCCATTCTTGCCTGGCACCACAGGCATCCATCAGGAGGGTGGCCAGAGGAGCAGGGGGTAAAACTTCACAGGGAGAAGGACTTCTCTAGCTGAACTTTATAAAAAATTGAATGCGGCGAGAAGCCTCCTGGCCAGAACTCAGGGGAGGGTGTGAATCCGGCTTGCAGACTTCACAGGCAGGGTAATAACTGAAGCGCATTTCTTTGTCAGTCGGGAGGCAGAAAGCCTCAGGTAAGTTTTCAAGCCAGATTTGCCTTCGGCCTGGAAACAGACTCCGAGCTATCGCAAGGGGCATTGTGGGAGTGAGACCAGCCTTTCAGTGTGCATGGAAGCTAGCTTTCCCCCACTTCCCTGACAACCTGCATGACTCAGCAGAGTCAGCCATAATCCTTCTAGGTACACAACTCCAGTGACCTGGGAATCTCACCTCCATCCCCTACAGCAGCCAAAGCAAGACCTCCCCAAGGAGAGTCTGAGCTCAGGCACGCCTAGCCCTGCCCCCACCTGATGGTCCTTCCATATCCACCCTGGTAGCAGAAGACAAAGAACATATGATCTTTGGAGTTCTGGAGCCCTGCCCACCACTGGTCTCTCTCCACAGTGTCCGGAATTGGTGGGTTCTTGGTCTCGCTGAGTTTAAGAATGAAGCCGCAGACCCTCCTGGTGAGTGTTAACAGTTCTTAAAGATTGTGTGTCCAGAGTTGCTCATTCCTCCCAGTGGGTTCATGGTCTGGCTGGCCTCAGAAGTGAAGCTGCAGACCTTCGCAGTGAGTGTTACAGCTCTTAAAGGCGGCGTGGACCCAAAGAGTGAGCAGCAGCAAGCTATACTGCAAAAAGCGAAAGAACAAAGTTCCCACATCATGGAAGGGGACCCAACCCTGTTGAGCTGTGGGCTCCGGTGGCCTGCTTTTATTCCCTTGTCTGGCCCCACCCACATCCTGCTGATTGGTCCATTTTACAGAGAGCTGATTGGCCCATTTTGACAGAGTGCTGACTAGTGCATTTACAAACCTTTAGCTAGACACAGAGTGCTGATTGGTGCATTTACAATCCTTTAGCTGGACACAAAAGTTCTTCAAGTCCCCCACCAGATTAGCTAGACACAAAGTGCTGATTGGTGCGTTTACAAACTTTTAGCTAGACACAGAGTGCTGATTGGTGCATTTACAGTCCTTTAGCTAGGCAGAAAAGTTCTCCAAGTCCCCAGCCAGCCCAGAAGCCCAGCTGGCTTCACCTCTTGATGGCACTTGCCAGACAGGACTTTGCAGCACCCAGCCCTGGCACTCCAGCTGCCTAGAGAGAGCTCATCTCCCAGTCAAGCCCAGCAGGCACCGGCCAGCCGCCCCAAGTGTGGGGCCTGCTGAGCCCGCACCCACCCCGAACCTGCACCAGCCCACAAGGGCCACACACAGCCCCGGCTCCCACCAGGGCCTCTCCCTCCACACCCTGCGAGCAGAGGGAGCCAGCTCCGGCCTTGACCAGCCCCAGAGAGGGGCCCTCACAGTGCAGCGGCAGGCTGAGTGGCTCCTGGAGTGCAACCAGAGTGGACGCCGAGGCCAAGGAGGCGCTGAGAGCCAGCGAGGACTGCTAGCATGTTGTCATCTCTCAACACTACTACAGCGGATGCTTTCTGGAAAGCGCCACCTCCCAGCAGGAGGCCCATCAGCACAAAAATAGAGCCGTAAACCACCAAAATGGTGGAGGCAGTTTGAAAAACAGGTTGGCAGTTCTTAAAGAATTAAAAATAGAGTTACCATATAACCCAGCAATTCCACTCTTAGGTATATACTTAAGAAAATAGTTTGTACCTAAGAGTTGAAAAATTCTCAGTGAATGCTCATAGCAGCATTATTCATAATAGCAAAAAAGCTGAAATAACCCAAATACCCATCAGCTGATAAATATATAAACACAATGTGTTATATTTATATAATACAGTATTATTTATTGATAGAAGGAATGAAATAGCTATATATCCTACAACTTGGATGACCTTGAAAAATTATGCTAAGTTATGGAAGGCAGACACAAATGGGTATATAATTTATAATTCCAGTTATGTAATGTCCAGAATAGTCAAATCTATAGGGATAGAAAACAAATTAGTAGTTTCTGGGGATTAGAGAAGGAGTTTCTTTTTGGGGTGATGGAAAGGTTTTGGAATTAAATAGCGGTGATGGCTGCACAACATTGTAAATATACTAACATCTATTAAATTAAACAAATCAAAATGGTTGAAATAGTGAATATTTTGTTATGTGAACATTATCTTAATACAAATTGTTTTGATAAATGTAATGTTTTGGAGTGTCCCTTTTTATTTGTTTTCTTAGAAGAGGTTGGATATAATTAAAATTTTTTAAATTTCTGAAATGTTGTTGAAAATATAAGTTAAGTGCCTTCTTTTTTAGGAGGTTATTGATTACAGAATTAGTTGCTTTATTGATTACAGAATTATTTGCTTTATTAATTCAGGAAAACATTCTTATTTTCTGTTTCACCTTGAGTTAATTTTGTCAAGTTTCTTTAATGGTTTTGCATATTTAAAGATGCTTCCTTTTTTCCTGTTATTTTTATTTGTGCATTTTATTTTCTTTGTAATTCATACTGCAAAGACTGAGATGTTTCTGTTTTCTATTATTATTTTCTTCTGAGATCAGATGAGATCAGGAGTGTTCATGATGGTATTGCCAAAGACTCACCATTATTATTTTCTAGTATCAGCATTTATGACTCTGAATTTCCTCTTTAATATTGTACCAATGGAATCCAAAAGTTTTAATAAGTAATATTTTAATTTCAATATATTTTATTCACTAAGATTTTTTTCTTTAATCAACTGGGTTTTAGAACCCTTTTTTTATAATTTCATATCAGTGTGACACTCTACTTTCTGTAGAGTGTCAGTTATTTGACTTTTGTTAAGATTTGGCATGTAGAACAAATCGTTATATGGTCAATATTTGTGCATATTCAATATGTCCTATTAAAATTGTATTCTGTAGTTGTTGAAGTTCTTTGTAATTATTCACTTCATAAAAATAGTAAATTTTTATTAACATCCAATGTATTATTAATGTTTAAAGTCGTCTTTTTCTTTGAATGGCTAAGAAAAATAAGTTATAATCTCCCTCTATAGTTCGGAATTTTTTCATTTTTCCTTGTAGGTTGCTCAATTTTTGTTTAATAAATTTGATGCTATGTTATTTAAGTGCACATATTTTGATGTATATATTTTCCTGGTACCACACTGTTTTGGTGACTATGATTTTATAGTACAGTTTGAAATCAGGTAGTGTGATGCCTCCAGATTTGTTCTTTTTGCTTAGTCTTGCTTTGGATATGTGGGCTCTTTTTTGGTTCCATATGAATTTTAGAATTGTTTTTTCTAACTCTGAAGAATGATGGTGGTGTTTTGATGACCACCATCAAGTAGTACAAGTAGGTTCTTGTACTACTTTTTTTTTATTTTTTCATTTTGCTTTAAGTTCTGGGATACAAGTGCAAAACGTGTAGGTTTGTTGCAAGGTTTACCTGTGCCCTGGTGGTTTGCTGCTCCTACCAACCCCTCATTTAGGTTTTAAGCTCCACATGCATGAGCTATTTATCCTAATGCTCTCCCTCCCCTCCTCCCCATCCCCTGACTGGCTCTGGTGTGTGTTATTCCCCTTCCTGTGTCCATGTGTTCTCATTGTTCAACTCCCACTTATGAGTGAGAACATGTGGTGTTAGTTTTTCTGTTCCGGTGTTAGTTTTTCTGTTCCTGTGTTAGTTTGCTGAGGATGATGGCTTCCAGCTTCATCCATGTCCCTGCAAATGACATGGTGTCATTCCTTTTTATGGCTGCATAGTATTCCATGGTGTATATTTACCACATTTTCTTTACCAGTCTATCACTGATAGGCATTTGTGTTGGTTACATGTCTTTGCTATTGTAAATAGTGCTGTAATAGACATACATGTGCTTGTGTCTTTACAGTAGAATGACTTATGATTCCTTTGGGTATATGCCCAGTAATGGGATTGCTGGGACAAATGGTATTTCTGGTTCTAGATCCTTGAAGAATCGCCACACTGTCTTCTACAATGGTTGATCTGATTTACATTCCCACCAACAGTGTAAAAGCATTCCTATTTCTCCAGAGCATCACCAGCATCTATTGCTTCTTGACTTTTTAATAATCACCATTCTGACTGGCATGACATAGTATCTCATTGTGGTTTTGATTTGCATTTCTTTAATAATCAGTGATGTTGATGTTCATATTCTTTGCCCACTTTTTAATGGCGTTGTTTTTTCTTGTAAATTTGTTTAAGCTCCTTGTAGATTCTGGATATTAGACCTTTGTCAGATGGGTGGATTGCAAAAATGTGCTCCCATTCTGTAGGTTTCCTGTTCACTCTGATGATAGTTTCTTTTGCTGTGCAGAAGCTCTTTAGCTTAATTAGATCCCATTTGTCAATTTTGACTTTTGTTGCAAATGCTTTTGGCATTTTCGTCATGAAGTCTTTGCCCATGCCTATGTCCTGAATGGTATCGCCTAGGTTTTCTCCTAGAATTTTTATGGTTTTGGGTTTTACATTTAAGTCTTTAATCCATCTCTTGAGTTAAATTTTGTATGAGATGTAAGGAAGGGGTCCAGTTTTAATTTTCTGAATATGGCTAGCCAGTTTTCCCATCACCATTTATTAAACAGGGAATCACATCGTCTGCAAACAGAGACAATATGACTTCCTCTCTTCCTATTTGAATACTTTTATTTCTTTCTCTTGCCCGATTGCCCTGGCCAGAAATTCCAATACTATGTTGAATAGGAGCGGTGAGAGAGGACATCCTTGTCTTGTGCTGGTTTTCCATCTCTGGTAGAATTCAGCTCTGAATCAGTCTGGTCCTGGACTTTTATTGGGTGTTAGACTCTTAATTCCTGTCTCAATTTCACAGCTTCTTATTGGTCTATTCAGGGATTCACCTTCTTCCTGGTTTAGTCTTGAGAGGGTGTATATGTCCAGGAATTTATCCATTTCTTCTAGGTTTTCTAGTTTATTTGCATAGAGATATTTATAGTATTCTGTAGTGATAGTTTGTATTTCTATAGGGTCAGTGGTGATATCCCCTTTATCATTTTTATTGTGTTTATTTGATTCTCCTCTCTTTTCTTCTTTATTAGTCTAGCTAGTGCTCTATTTTGTTAATTTCTTCAAGAAATCAATTTGTGGATTAATTGATTTCTTGAAGTGTTTTTTATATCTCTATCTCCTTCAGTTCTGCTCTGATCTTAGTTATTTCTTGCCTTCTGCTAGCTTTTGGATTTGTTTGCTGTTGCTTCTCTAGCTCTTCTAATTGTGATGTTAGGGTGTCATTTTTGAAATCTTTCTAGCTTTCTGATGTGGGCATTTAGTGCTATAAATTTCCCTCTTAACACTGCTTTAGCTGTGTCCTAGAGATTCTGGTACGTTGTCTTTGTTCTCATTGGTTTCAAATAACTTCTTGATTTCTGCCTTAATTTCATTATTTACGCAGGAGTCATTCAGGAGCAGGTTGTTCAATTTCCATGTAGTTGTGTGGTTTTGAGTGAGTTTCTTCATCCTGAGTTCTAATTTGATTGCACTGTGGTCTGAGAGACCGTTTGTTATATTTTCAGTTCTTTTGCATTTTCTGACTAGTGTTTTACTTCCAAATATGCAGTCGATTTTAGAATATGTGTCATGCGGCACTGATTAGAATATATATTATGTTGATTTGGGGTGGAGAGTTCTGTAGTTGTCTATTAAGTCCACTTGATCCAGAGCTGAGTTCAAGTCCTGCATATCTTTGTAAATTTTCTGTCTTGTTGATCTAATATTGACAGTGGGGTGTTAAAGTCTCCCATTATTATTTTGCAGGAGTCTAAGCCTCTTTGTAGGTGTCTAAGAATTTGTTTTATGAATCTAGGTGCTCCTGTATTGGGTGCATATACATTTAGGATAGTTAGCTCTTCTTGTTGAATTGATCCCTTTATCATTATGTAATGCTCTTCTTTGTCTTTTTTTATCTTTGTTGGTTTAAACTCTGTTTTGTCAGACACTAGGATTGCAACCCCTGTTTTTTTTTGCTGGGATTACAGGCATCGGCCACCATGCCCAGCTAATTTTCTATTTTTGGTACACACGGGATTTCTCCATGTTGGTCAGGCTGCTCTCGAACTCCTGACCTCAGGTGATCCACCCGCCTCGGCCTCCCAAAGTGCTGGGATTACAGGTGAGCAACTGGGCCCAACCTAAATCACATCTCATCTTTATACACTGTATGATCACCAACATAGGTTTATATTTATTGCTTTATGCATTGACTTTCTTTTTACTGTATTTAAGATATACAATATTATGTTTGTGTATATATACATATACATATATACTTAGGGCAATGATTGCCATAATCAAGCAAATTAACATATCCATCATCTCACATAGTTACTTTTTTGTGGTAAAAATATCTAAAATCTACTCTGGGCAAATTTCTGGAGTATGATACATTATTAACTACAGCTCTTGTGTTGTACATGAGATCTCTAGGCATATTTATTTTATATAGCTGAAACTTGTACCCTTTGGCTTTCATCTTCCATCTTCCACACGCCTCCCGCCTCTTTCTAACCTTTCTATTTCTTAGGGCTTTTGTGGGGCTTTTTTGTTTAGGGTCTACTTATAAATGAGATAGTGCAGTATTTTTCTTTCTGTGCCTGATTTATTATTAGCATAATGTCTTCTAGGTTCATCCATGTTGATGCAAATGAAAGAAACTTCTTTACAAAACTGAGTGATATTTTATTATGTATATAATTCCTTTATCCATCTGTTCATAAACACTTAGGTTTTTTCAATAGCTTGGGTATTGTGAGTAATGCTGCAATGTGATGTGCAGTTGTTTTTAAATCAGAAGAAAAGAGGACATTGCTTATATATACTAAAGTTACCTTTATTAAAGATACACACACGCACACACCAGCATTTTTACTCCTTTATGTGTTTGAAATTACTATATAATGTTCTTTCATTTCAGCCCAAATAACTCCTCATAGAATTTTTTATCATCCTACTGCATTCTTAAAAGAGGTCAGCTGTAAATTTACTGTGAATCACTAATAACTGATCTTCCCTTATCTGCAATTTTACTTTCCATGGCTTCAGTTACCTATGGTCAACTTTCACCTGAAAATATTAAATGGAAAATTTCAGAAATAAACAATTTTCAATTGCATGCCATTCGAGTAGCATGATGAAATCTCATGCTATCTGGCTTCATCCCACTTGGGATGTGAACCATTCCTTTGTCCAGAATATTCATCCTGTATATGCTACTGACCCATTAGTCAATTAGCACCTGTCCTGGTTATCAGATTGACTGTCACACTATCACAGTCCTGTATTCAAGTAACCCTAATTTTACTTAATAATGGCCCCAAAATGCAAGAGTACTCCCCCTAATTTATATATTAAAATTATCAAATTTTAATCTTTGATTAAATGTTATTGTAAGTATTAAAAAATATAATATGTGTATGATTCAATACTATCCATGGTTTCAGGCGTTCACTAGGAGTTTTGAAATGTATCCCTCATGGATAAAAAGGAACTACTATAAATGATAAGTCTCTTCTCTCCTACTGTTTTCAAGATTTACTCTTTGGCTTTGGATTTGAGCCATTTGGTTATGATATGTCTTCGGGTGGTCTCTTTGAGTTTATCCATCTAGAGTACATTGAGCTTATTGTACATGTAGATTAAATTTTTCATAAAATTTGGTAAGTATTAGACAATTATATCTTCAAATATATTTTCTGTACCTTTCTCTCTCTCTTTTCTTTTTGGAACTTCCATTATGCATATGTTGATATCTTGATGGTGTTCCACAGGTCTATTAGGCTCCATTTATTATTCTTCATTCTTTTCTCTAACTGAGATTTTCTCTAACTGGATAACCTCAATTGAACTATTTTCATGTTCACTAATTTTTTGTACCTCCTCAAATCTGCTGTTTAGCCCTCTAGAGCATTTTTCATTTCCATTATTTTATCTTTCAACTCCAGAATTTCTATTTGATTTCTTTTTAAAAGAACATTATAAAATAAATAATATTTTTTTAAAAAACATTTTTGATAGTCTGTATTTTGTGAGATATCATTCTCATGTTTTTTTTAAAAAAAATTGTCTCTTATTGATATTCTCTATTTTTGTGAGATATCATTCTCATGTTTCTCTTTAGTTCCTTAGATGTCATTTCCTTTAGCTCTTTGAACATATCTAAAATAGTTGATTTAAAGTCTGTTTCTATTAAGGCCAATGTCTGGATCTCCTCAGGGGTAGTTTTTATTAACTGCATTTTTTCTTTTCCATGTGCCATACTTTCTTCAGTTTTTTCTTTTTGTATGTCTCATACTTTTTTTGAATACCAGACATTTTAAACATGATAATGTGGCCACTCTAGAAACAAGATTCTCCCTCCTCCCCACGTTGTACTCCTCGTTGTAGTTATTTGTTTGTTTAGTATCTTTTCTGAATAAACTTTGTGGTCTCTATTTTTTGTCACCTATGTCGATTAAAATATTTTTTCCATTAGCTTAGAAGTCAGCTAATAATTTGACAAAGATTTCCATATGTGTTTGGAACTTGCAGAGGGGCTTTGTGTATGTGTTGGGCCCTGCTTTCAACACTCAGGCAGACAGTTTACAACTCTGCCTTGGCCTACACTTTCTGCTTGTGCAGGGAAGGTAGAAATTTCCCAGGTTTTTACTGAACATGCACACAGCCTTGACATACACAGTTTGCAAATTCTCAGAAATATGTTGAAGCTTTTCAAAGCCCATATTCCCCAAAGCATCTCATTCCCAGTACTTTCTCTCAAGATTTTTGTTTAGTCTATTGTTTTCCCCAGTGTTCAGGCAGCAGTATTTATAATGTCTTTCTGTAAATGTTTTCTAACACCACCCCATACCAAGTAGCAGCTTTCCCACTGCGTGAGGTCCAGATTAGGTGAAAAAACAAGGCTTTTGAGAATATGTTTGAAGGAGTCAACAGGCAGATCAATTTTTCATGAATGAGGTCCATTCTGTTTTTCTGGCATTGGTATTAAGAATCTGGGCATTATTTTCAAGCCTGCTGCTTCTCTGAGAAGAATGGAAACAGGGTAAGTTAAAAACCACAAATCGATGTTCTTACTGAGATGGGATATTTTGCTAGAATTAGCACTCCCTACATTGCTAAAAACCTTATGTTAGTTTTCAGAGTTCTAAAAAGCTTTATTTTGACAGTTGTTGCCAGTTTTTTAGTATATTTTATAAAGAGATAAAATTTTGAATATTTTTATTTCATTTTTGCTGATGTCACTACACCACAACCTTTTTATTATACTATTTGTACCATATAATTTATTCATTATACTATTATTATTACTTATTAGTCACAACAATTCCCAATATTAAAAATGGAGGACATTAAAATTCTGGCAATTTTAGTCAAGAGCATAATGGATTGAACCATGTAAAATTGATATTTTTGAAACTGAAAAAAAATTATAGCTACAGTGGCACATTGTATTTTTCAAAAATGCATTTCCAAAAGTTGTAGTTTTCTAAAAATATGCATTCCATCCCACAAGAACTTTTTATAATGTAACATTGATAATCCTCCACTGAGAGGTGAAGTCTATGTTCCCTCTGCTTGATCTGAGGCAAACCTTTGTAACTGCCTTAACTAATAAATACAGTGCAGACGATGCTTTCTGACTTCTCAGGCTACATAATAAAAGGTTATATGACTTCTGTTTGTATCTCCCTCTCCAGAACGACTAGTTGAAAGACTGGAAATCTTAGCCAGAGCAATCAGGTAAGAGAAAGAAATAAAAGGCATCCAACTAGAAAGAGAGGAAGTCAAACTATCTCTCTTCACAGATGATATAACTCTATAATGAGAAAATTCCATAGTCTCTGCCCAAAGGCCATAGACCTGATAATCAGTAAAGTTTTGGGATGCAAAATCAATGTATAAAAAATTAATATCATTTCTATACACCAAGCTGTGAGCCACACCAAGAACAAAATCCCATTCATAACAGCTGGAAGAAAAAATAAAAATACCTAGGAATACAGCTAACCAGGATGATGAAAGATCTCTAAGTGAGAATTATAAAGCAATGCTGAAAGAAATCATGGACGACACAAACAAATGAAAAAACATTCTATGCTCATGGATAGGAAGAATCAATATTCTTAAAATGGCCATACTGCTCAAAGCAATTTACAGATTCAGTGCTATTCCTATCAAACTATCAATGACATGTTTACAGAGTTAGAAAAACTATTTTAAAATTCATATGAGACCAAAAAAAAAAGAGTCTGATGAGTGAAAGTAATCCTAAGCAAAAAAGAACAACACTGGAGGCATCACACTACCTGACTTCAAACTATATGACAAAGCTGCAGAAACCAAAACAACATGGGACTGGTACAAAAGCAGACACATGGACCATCGGAACAGAATCTCTATTCCAGAGATAAAGATTGCTGTAACACAGAAATAAAGCTGCACACCTATAACCATCTGCTCTTTGACAAAGTTGACAAAAATAAACAATGGGGAAAAGACTCCCTGTTCAATAAATGGTGCTGAGATAGCTGGCTAGCCATATGAAGAAGGATGAAACTGAATGCCTACCTTTCACCATATACAAAAAACTAACTCAAGATGGATTAAAGATTTCAATGTAAGACCTCAAACTATAAGAATTCTAGAAGAAAATCTAGGAAACATCATGTTCGACATTGGCCTTGGGAAATAATGCATGACTAAGTCCTCAAAAGCAACTGCAACAAAAACAAAAATTGACAAGTGCAGCCGAATTAAACTAAAGAGCTTCTGCAGAGAAAAAAAAAAAACTATTAACAGAGTAAACAGCAAACTACAGAATGGGAGAAAATATTTGCAAACCATGCATCTGACAAAAGTCTAATATCCAGAATCTCTAAGGAATTTAAGTCAACAAGCAAAAATTAAAACCTTTATTTAAAAATTTGGAAAACATGGACACTTCTCAAAAGCAGACATACAGAGAGACACCCAATATATTTTTAAAAATGCCCAATATCACTAATAACTAGAGAAATGCAAATCAAAACCACAATAAGATCCCCTCTCACACCAGTCAGAATAGATACTATTAAGTCAAAAAATAACAGACCCTGGTGAGGCTTTGGAGAAAAGGGAATGCTTATACACTGCTAGTGGAAATAGAAATTAGTTCAGCTATAGTGGAAAGTAGCCTGAAGATTTCTCAAAACACTTAAAATAGAAGCACTATTTGACACAGCAATCCCATTACTTAGTATATATCTAAAGGAATATCAATTATTCCACCATAAAGATACATGCATGTGTATGTTCATTGCAGCATTACTCACAATAGTAAAGACATGGAATCAACCTAGATGCCCATCAACAGTGGTCTAGATAAAGAAAATGTGGCATATATGCGCCATGGAATACTATGCAGCCATGAAAAAGAAAAAATCATGTCCTTTGCAGCAGCATGGATGCAGCTGGAGGCCATTATTCTAACCAAATTAACACAGAAACAGAAAGCCAAATACCATATATTCTTACTTAAAAGTGGAAGCTATTGGGAGGCTGAGGCAGGCAGATCACGAGGTCAGGAGATTGAGACCATCCTAGCTAACATGGTGAAACCCTGTCTCTACTAAAAATACAAAAAATTAGTGGTGCGTGGTGGCACACAGCTGTAGTCCCAGCTACTCAGGAGGCTGAGGCAGGAGAATCGCTTGGACCTAGGAGGCGGAGGTTGCAGTGAGCCGAGATCATGCCGCTGCCCTCCAGCCTGGGCAACAGAGCAAGATTCTGCCTCAAAAAAAAAAAAAAAAAGTGGAAGCTAAACACTGAATACACATGGACACAAAGAAGAGAACAACAGACACTAAGGCCTACCTGGGGGTGGAGGGTGGGAGGAGGGTGAGGATTGAAAATCTACCTATTGAGTAATATGCTGAATATCTGGGAAAGTTATCTGTATACTAAACCCCCAGGACACACAATTTATCCATGTAACAAACCTGCGCATGAACCACTTGAATTAGTTACATAAACAAGAATGAGGGCATAAAAAAAAAAAGACTTTACTTAGCACCTTTGTCAAAATCACTGAGCATGGATAAATATATATGATCTTACCCATATACAGACCATTCATATGATGGTCTTATCCTTGCCTCTCTATTATGTTCTGTTGAACTATGTCTCTCCTTATTCCAGTATCACAGTGTCTTCATTATTGTAGCTTTGTCTTGAAACAAGGTAGTCTAAATTCTCTGGCTTTGTTATACTTTTCAAAAAATATTTTGAATATTAGTCTTTTGGAACATTTATGCAAACCTAAAATTATTAAGGCATAAATTATTAATGAAGAAATAAATTAGCAAATGTTCATAAATACATCAGCTAACATGAAAGTGATCAAAAGTAGTCAAATAAAAGCTATATAAACGTTATATTATATATGTATATAGAATTTTTCAAAAAAGACTGACACGATATATGAAAGTTTACAAATTTAAAAAAATATCAATTCAGGGAAATATGCCAATAAGAAATTGAACAGAAGGTAAATTTGTTTTGGGTAAGTTGGATTTTGGTCAATTGATTCTTGATTAAAGGCATGCTCTTAAGCTTTCAATATCTTGTTGCTATGTGGTGGGTTAGGGTGAAAGGTTAGGGGAATCTCTTTAAGGTATAGGCTCAGAGTCTTTTGACAGGAGCTGCGCACTTTACTCTGTCTTTTATCTTTCAACTCTCCTGATCTTACTTGTCTTGTTGTATGAGATAATTATACAAAGGATCCATAACGATGAAAAAATATTTGTTTTCAATATGAATTAAATGTATCCACCTTTCAGATGTGATTAAGAACACCTCAGGGCCGGCCGCAGTGGCTCAGGCCTTGTAATCCCAGCACTTTGGGAGGCTGAGGCGGGCAGATCACGAGGTCAGGAGATGGAGACCATCCTGGCTAACACGGTGAAACCCCGTCTCTACTAAAAATACAAAAAATTAGCCAAGCGTGGTGGTGGGCCCCTGTAGTCCCAGCTACTGGGGAGGCTGAGGTAGGAGAATGGCGTGAACCTGGGAGGCGGAGCTTGCAGTGAGCCGAGATCGCGCCACCGCACTCCAGCCTGCAGCCTGGGCGACAGAGCGAGACTCCATCTCAAAAAAAAAAAACAAAAAATAGCTTGTCATAAATGGACCTTAGACAATACTCTTGTCCCTCTTGCAAAAAAAAAAAAAAAAAAAAAAAAAAAAAAAAAAAAACAGTGTATTATGGAAATGTTTCCTTACAAGCCCTAGGACTTTTGCAATAAGGATGTTCTGTACCCACATGGCTTTACTTCTTGGCCCCATTCAAAAAAGAAAATTAACTAAAGGTATTAATTAACCTCTGGTGAAATTGAGAGCCATAGAAAAAGGAAAGGGTTAGCCATCTGGTTTCCTACAATTAGGTTAATTTGTCACCAAATTTAGAGAACTTCGAGTTTGGAAATATTCCAACGGAAGCTGTTTTATTTCCTTTCTGTTAAGTTTCACTGAACAAGAGGAACCTCAGGCCCCCAGAATTAAATAAAAGCCCCTGTGTTCCACCAGCCCTGATCACTCACCTCTCTATTGGGCACTCAACCATGAAACTCCATTCCCTTATTTCTGTTCTCCTCCTCTTTGTGACTTTAATACCAAAAGGTAAGATGGTGAATGATTGTAGAAGTCTATTGGGATGCCTAGACCGGAGGAGGTCTACTGAGATAATTATACTGTGGCCATCCTAACTCAGACACCAATTCACAGCCTTAGGAATTCAGAAATTCAACATGTTTATCTTCTTTGGTACTAATGAGGCCACAATTGAGAAGCAGGACAAGGAGTTCTTTCAACAGAAAATGGGGGTTCAAGAGCTCGATAATTAGAAAATGGGGCCGAAATAGAGTTAGGGGTATAGAAGCTTTGATATGTGATTTAAAGGTTAGTAAATAAAGCAAACAGCTATCATCAAGGCTTCACTCTCCAAAAAGGAGAGTGAAGATGATAGTTCTTGGTTCAAACTCGGTAGTGAATGGAAGTGATGTAGAGTCTATTGGTGAGGAATATTTGTGAAGGGTAGCAGTTAGGCAAATAAGACAGAGTTCAACAAGAAAATTTTGCATCTAATTATAAAAGACCAGTAGAAATTTGGGAGCAAGGGAATTTGGAAAAGAATAAACAGTGGCATGAAGCTTTAATGGCAAAATTTTAAGCATAAGACAAACAGTACAGAAAACACTTCAAGACTCGTAGTTGCATCCTTAGGGTCCATGATTCAGAAGTTTAAATATCAAAATGTAGAATCAAACTGAAAAGGGAATAAAGAATCAAACATCTTCAGGGTGTTTCATTCAGATCCTGATAAGATATGATAAAATTATTATCTCCACTGTTAATAGTGGGATGTTCATATCCCCCAAAATAAAGTGTGTGGTCAATGAGCAAAGATCTCTTCCTCCCTTTATCTCTGAGATTATTTTTTAAATAATTTCAACTTATATTGTAGATTCAGGGGGTACATGTGCAGGTTTGTTATGTTGGTATATTTTGTGATGTGAGGTTTGGGGCATGATGGTAATCCCATCACTCAGGTAGTGAGCATAGTACCAAATAGTTTTTCAATCCTTGTTTTCCTCCCTCCCCACTCTAGTAGTCTCCAGTGTCCCATCTTTATGTCCATGAGTATCCAATGTTTAGCTCCCACTTATAAGTGAGAACATGCAGTATTTGGTTTTCTATTTCTGCATTAATTTGCAGTCCTCCAGATCATCCATGTTGCTACAAAGGATATGATTTTGTTCTTTTTTATGGCTTCATAGTATTCCATGGTCTATATGTACCACATTTTCTTTATCCAGTCCACCATTGATGAGCACCTGGGTTGATTCTTTGTCTTTACTATTGTGAGTAGTTCTGTGATGAACATAGGAGTGCAGGTATGTTTTGGGTAGAATTATTTGTTTTCTTTTGGACGATATACCCAGTAATGGAATTGCTGGGTGGAATGGTAGCTCTGTTTTAAGTTCTTTGAGAAATCTTCAGACTGCTTTCCACAGTGGCTGAAATAATTTATATTCCCACCAACAGTGTATAAGCACTCCTTTTCTCCACAGCCTCATCTTCATTTCTGCTATTTTTTGACTTTTTAATAATAGCCATTCTCACTGGTGTAAGATAGTTCTCATTGTGGTTTTGATTTGTATTTCTCTAGTGATTAGTGATGTTGAGCTATTTTTCATGTTTGCTGGCTGCTTCTATGTCTTCTTTTGAGAAGAGTCTGTTCATGTTTTTCATGTCTTTTCCCCCACTTTATTTGTTTTTTGCTTGTTGATTTAAATTCCCTGTAGATTCCGGATATTAAATTTTTGTCAGATGCATAGTTAGCAAATATTTTCTCCCATTCTGTTGTTTTCTGTTTACCCTGTTAATAGTTTCTTTTTCTCTGCAGAAGCTCTTTAGTTTAATTCGGCTCTACTTGTCAACTTTTGTTTTTGTTGCAATTGCTTTTGAGTACTTAGTCATAAATTATTCCCCAAGGCCAATATCTAGAATGGTGTTTCTTAGGTTTTCTTCTAGGAGTCTTATAGTTTGAGGTCTTACATTTAAATATTTAATCCATCATGAGTTAATTTTTTGTATATGGTGAAAGATAGGCATCCAGTTTTATTCTTCTGCTTATGGCTGGCCAGCTATCCCAGCACAATTTATTGAACAGGGAGTCCTTTTCTTGTTGCTTATTTTTGTCAACTGTGTCAAAGAGCAGATGGTTATAAATGTGCAGCTTTATTTCTGGGTTCTCTATTCTGTTCCAGTGGTTCATGTGTCTGCTTTTGTACCAGTCCCATGCCGCTTTAGTTACTGTAGCCTTATAGTATAATTTGAAGTCAAGTAGGATGATGCCTCCAGTGTTGTTCCTTTTGCTTAGGATTATTTTGGTTGTCTGAGTTCTTTTATGGTTTCGTATGAATTTTAGAATAGTTTTTTCTATTCTGTGAAAAATGTCATTGGTAGTTTTATAGGAATAGCACTGAATCTATAAATTGCTTTGTGCAGTATGGCCATTTTCACAATATTCATTCTTCCAATCCACAGCAGGGAATATTTTTCTATTTGTGCCATCTGTGATTTCTTTCAGTAGTGATTTGTAGTGTCATTTGTAGAGATCTTTCACCTCCTTGGTTAAATGTATTCATGGGTATTTAATTTTTTGTGTGGCTATTGTAAATGGGATTGCATTCTTGACTTGGCTCTCGGGTTGAATATTATTGGTATATAGAAAGGCTACTGATCTTGTACATTGATTTTGCATCCTGAATCTTTACTAAAGTTGTCTATCAGGTCCAGGAGGCTTTGAAAGAATCTTTAGGGTTTCTTAAGTGTAGAATAATATCATCTACAAAAAGAGGTAATTTGATTTCTTCTTTTCCTATTTGGATGCCTTTTACTTCAAAAGGCTGATTGCTCTGGCTCATATTTCCAGTACTATGTTGAGTAGGATGGTGAGAGAGGGCACTCTTGTTTTGTTCCAGTTCTGAGATTCTTTTAAGTGAAATCAAAGCTACTCAATTGTTTGATCTTTACCTAATCTGTGGACATGTTGAGATTCACCTCACATATGATTGTCTCCTTCTGAAGGAGCTTATGCAATTCTCATTTGGTTCTCAGCTTTAGTCAGAAGATACAATTAAGGTCAGATACACTTGTAGTGACATCTGATGTGAAATTATGTGATGGTAATAATTTCAAATTAAAATAAAATTTAGTGGCAGTTGTTTTTATTTTAGATAATAAAACCCATGTACAGATAAAGAATGTGATTTTACTCAGATCACATAGGTAGTAGCAACATTGCAGCTAAAAGCAAATCTCTTTAATCTGGGTCAATGTTGTTTTTAATCAATCCATAGGTGTAGATATGCATACAAAAATGATAACTCTGATTTCTGTCAGACTTTTTTCTCAAAATCTTCTAGTTATATATTGAGGAAACTAAGGAGGTTTTCTGCTATATGTGACAACTTGGATGAACCTGGAGGACATTATGCTAAATGACGTAAGCCAGTCACAGAAGACAAATACTGCATGATTGCACTTATATGAGGTACCTAAAATAGTCAAACTCATGGAAACAAGTAGCAGAATAGTGGTTTCCAGGGACTGGGGAGGGAGGAGGAAATAGGGAGTTGCTATTTAATGAGTAAAAGTTTTCAGTTTTATTAGATGAATAAGCTCTAAATATCAACTGTACAATACTATATCTATAACACTTAAAAAGTTCTTAAGAAGGTAGATCTCACTTTAAGTGTTATTACCACAATAAAATAAACGATGAAGAACAAGAGGTTATTTGAGGTTGAAAGCTGAGTTAATCTCCCCACAGATACGAGAAGAATCCTTCAGAGGCCTGCCTTTCAAGCCGTGACATCTTCCTGGAGGAATAGAAATATCAGCCCTTCTTTGTTCCTTCCAAATCAGTTATACCAGGAAGAAGCATTAAATGAAGGTCCTATAATTCTGCACAGGAGGGAATCACTTTTGAATAGCCAGGTTTCTTGTGATCAGAGGATATTAAAACCATACGTAAAGGTCAAAATGCCTTACTTGTGCATATTGAGATGTTCTTGGACACATTATGAAGTGGGACTCAGAACACTCAGGTCGAAAAATAGGATTTTCATTATCAGTTTTGTATGGTCTCTTAGTACTAAATAGTTAATTGCTGAGCTGTCTATACAATTTAATAATACTGCACTCCAAAAATTCTGATCTTAATCTCTGCTGTGACTGCCGGGCATGTAGAATTTATCAGGTGTCTAGAAGCATTCTGATAATCTTAGAAATTTTATAACTCCTATGTAACTTTTATCTCATAAAATTTCTTTTAAGAAAAATTGAGTGGCTAGATCATGAAGAGTTTTGTTAAAGACATTTTTACCCCCAAAAAATCCAATTAAGTAAAAAAAATTATTGTTTTCATGAAAAAATGTCTCCAAAGTAATTACGTAGTCTGAAATATTAGTTTATCAGCTTAATGTCTGATGAATATTTAGTTATAGTTACTTGAATATATTTTTTATATATCCTTATATTTATTCAAAAAAGAATCCATGGTATCCTATAAAAATTGGAATAGTTCATATAGATTTATATGTATACACAAACATACATATAAATGCTGCGAATATGAGTCTAAAGAGGTTAGAATGGCATAAATCTTGGATTGCTGCATTAGCTCTCTGAGAATTAAGAAAATTATAGCATTCTTCTTACACTGACTGTGAAGAATAACATAATATCTAAATACATGACATTGGACAGGAGCAGAAGACAGCTTGAACTCACATTATGTAGAGAAAAGGAAACTGCGCTTCTATTTTTTGACTGATAAAGTTCCAGGAAGAGCCTGTTCCATTTAAATCCTCTACATCACCCAAAAAAAAACTTTAAAGTTACTGACTCAATGAGTTCTAATGCTAAGAAAGTTATATCCTTTTAGAAAGTAGATGAATGCGCTATTAAGGGTCTTTTCCAGTGTGATTCTAAGTCCTTCTCACTGCATCCACGGAAATTAATGTTGTGATATAATATGAAGTGAACATCTAAATTGTTTCTTTTTCCAAAGGCACTTATTAAATATGCATCCTTTCCTCAACTGCCATGTGATATAACCATTATAACATATTAATGTCAAATAAACTCTAAAGTGTATTAGAGAGTGCCTCTCTTCTTTTGCTCTATATGTATATACTTCTGTCAATAAGTCTGAAAATAAATGTGAATATCTGGGAAGAAATTTTCTTCCTCATGAATGAGGAATATGAATCTGAATATGAATTAAGTAATTTAATCTTATCTTTTTGACTTAAACTAGTGCCCTTGGCATGATGATATGTCACAGTCATCGGTAAAAAGGGAGATTATAACTCTTTGGCTTCATGCTCAAAGCATACCTCTTTAAATTAAGCTTCCCATGTAGCAAGAAGCACATCACTGGTAGGATGAATTGTTCCACTCCTTTTGAGTGAAGCAAGGGACAGCTCCCAAATAGAGGAATTGGCACTATCTTAGGCTACATGCTGTGTCAGTAGGCTGAACTCTACAGTATAGTGGGTTACGCATCCTACTGAGAGGAAGTTCACTCTTTTGGCTTCAGCTGAAGATTCACATTCCACCTCATTTTGCATGGGATGCCTCTAAGTTCACATGCATAGGCCTCCTTGATGCCATACTCTGCCTCTTACTATATCTTTCCCAGTACTAATAACCCCCGATTTTAGCTTCATTTAAAAAGTCTGACAATGTTGCCAGATGTTAAATGTATGGATGAAGTTATCAGGGAAAAGACCAACAGCTAGCAACAGGTCTGCTATGCTTCTCAGCATGAAGCCTGTGTTCTGTGTAGACAATGCAGTTGAACCAGCGCCTTCCACAACTGGCTGGGGAGACTTCAGGTCTCTCTCTGAAAGGCAGCCACTTTCTCTTCCACAATAGTCTTGGAAAAAAGAGAGAATATTACAAGATATTACCCAACTCCCCCATCATGATATTCTCTTGGTGCACAGAAACCCTGAGTTTATAAACTGCTAGTCTGATAGTAGAGTATAATACCAGACTGCACTAGGTTGAAGCTTCTAACAAGAGTGGAAGACAATCTTGCATAGGTTATGAGCACTCAGTTCCAAAAGGCTGCATTGGTTTTTCTGGCTATGGATTTATTTCTACAGAATAGAGAAACAATAATGATAGCCTAGTTTAAATACAAAACAATAACAAAAAACAACAAAAAGATTGAGAGCTGAAAAGGCCACCAAACAGTTACTCATCTACAGAAGCAAAGAAGCCAGAGGTAGTATATTAGAGGACAGTAAAAACAAAATAAGATCCAGGTGTGTTAACAGGATGGTTCAGGAACTAATGTCTGTTAATGAACATCAGCAAAAGTGTTTTTCTTATGTAACATCTGCAGTGATATACAGTAGGAAAAATAAACTATGGTTGTGCTGAGAAGGCAAGAGAAAGGATAGTAAGCATAGAGAAAACTACTGAATTAGACCACACCCTTAGCCATATGCTTCTCAACAACCAGATGAATTAAGAGAACATGTGGATACACTTAAGGGAAAATACCTTTTAGCTCTGTGAGTAATTCTCTCCAGGTGTCTGTCTGTCTATCTATCTATCTATCTATCTATCTATCTATCTATCTATCCATTCCTCCATCTATCTATGAGGTATTGAGCAACATAGGAAAGGTATTTCTTGCATAGTCCTGAAATGAGGAAATTAGTTTAGATAAAATCTAAAGGATTGATAGGCTTTCTATGAAAGGAGATGAAGATATGAACATGAACCATTTGATAGGGATGATGTATGCACAGATGGGAATTTGGAGGGACACATACTTCCTTTGAAACTGTTTCTTAGTGGTGGCATTGTTGGTGTTTGGTGCAAGACAATTCCTTAGGTGAAAAATTTAGCAATGCTGTGCTATCTGCTAAATACCAAAGACACCTTCCCTAGGCATGGTGGCAAGAACAAATGGTCCCACACATTTCAAAATGTACTGCACTAGGGGAGGACAGTCCCTTTAAAGAATTTTAGAAATTGGCTTATTTCCTCCAGGGTGTATATAATCTACAATCTTAGCTCCCTTCCCATAAAAAGGCACTATTTCTGTCTACGAGTCTGATCCTTTCATATAGACAATGTTTTCTTTCCTCTCCCAAAGCCATTCTTCTGGGGGTTTATTGTTTTATGTATATTTTCAATAGTGAATTAATGATGTTCTTAAATCTCTTCCTGTGTAGGAAAGACTGGCGTTATTCCAGGACAAAAACAGTGTATTGCTTTGAAAGGGGTGTGCAGAGACAAACTATGCAGCACACTAGATGATACCATTGGTATATGTAATGAAGGAAAAAAATGTAGAAGGTGGTGGATACTTGAGCCCTATCCAACTCCGGTTCCCAAAGGAAAATCTCCTTAGGTGGGAGCAAACGTTAAGTCCTTTGAACTCCAGAATGGATGGATAAATTTTGCACTCCTGTTTAACCCAATTTCTTATTCTTCCTTGACTGGAAATAAATGTTGTCCTAATCCCACGTGTACTGACTGCCTCCTGGAGCATTTCTTCTTGATGCACATGCAAGCCTCTTAAGAACTATAAGAATAAAATAAATAACAGAAGAATCGCATACCCTATAGGTACTTATAAAAAATATGTTTCTAAGAAAAAAAGATAAAAATGTTAAATATGTAGAACAATAAGAATATGAAGTATCAGTAGGCAGTGTTTGATTATTTGAAGTGCAATGTCAGTCTGCTTCCTCATCCAGTTCTGAACAAATATCATTTTCATTACTAATAGAGACCTACTTAGATAATATGGGTTAAAGCCTGCTAATCATGTGACCTTGCTAACATTGCACCTGAGAATTAGGCGCATGACCATTCCAGTCATTCCAGCACTTGAAGCAGGTCTCCCCTCTACTGCCCCCTGCCCCTAGAGAAGTAGAAAAGAAGACCTGCTTTCTACAAGTAGGCTCACTAGGAGGAGCTGTAGAGCTGAAGACTTGCTAACTCAGCATGCCTGGTTAGTTCTTTCCAAACTCTCCATCAGATAACTCCATTTCCTGGGGCCAAGAAAATTAAAGGGCAGGGAGGATACCAGGAGTATGACATGGCATGAGTGTCACAAAGATGGAAAACATCTAGAATGAGGCCAAATTACCTCACAAACAAAATTCAAGAGTTTGTATTTTTTTAACCACAAAGCTTATGGTCAATGAATCAGGGGAGGATGGGTTATCTCCCTATGCAGAGATGTCAGGAGTCTATTAAAATAACGCTAATCTCATCTTCATGGATCTGTTTCTTCAATACTAGTCATTACTTTTTCTATATCTTCTCAGAATCCCTCATGAACGGCATATTACTCTGAGATCAGATTCTAAGCTAATCTCAGAATAATACACTAATACAATTTTTACCATATACATTTTACACATAGCTGAAAATTTACATCTTCTCTTCTTTGTCATCTTAAGTTATGTGCCACTACATTATCCAGTGTAGCACATTAGAGATTCTTTGATAATTAAATGACATTAAGAGACTTTAAAAGTCATAAATAACCTCCTATATTAAAATGCTAAAAAAGAAAAATTTCCCACATTTGAATATAAACAAGTGTTCTTATAAAATTTCTAGGCATAAATTGAAGTTCAAAGATTGAATCTCTTCAATCTCTATGTTAAAGCACAAAGACATTAGAATCCAAATGAATTACTGCCTGAAATGAAATTATCTTCCCCTTGTTAAGTACAAATTTTTCTATTAAATGTAAGCAAAAAAAAAAAAATCACTCATTCCTTATTATCCGTCTTAGTGAATTAGTGAAAGTTTCTTCAGAGACTTGACATTGAATTAATATAACATCTCAACTCACTGAAGCAAAAAGAACATTTTTTTTTTTTTTTCGAGATGGAGTCTCGCTCCGTCACCCAGGCTGGAGTGCAGTGGCGCGATCTCAGCTCACTGCAAGTTCCTCCTCCCGGGTTCCCGCCATTCTCCTGCCTCAGCCTCCTAAGTAGCTGGGACTACAAGCGCCCGCCACCACGCCTGGCTAATTTTTTGTATTTTTAGTAGAGACGGGGTTTCACCGTGTTAGCCAGGATTGTCTCGATCTCCTGACCTCGTGATCCGCCCACCTCGCCCTCCCAAAGTGCTGGGATTACAGGCGTGAGCCACCGCGCCTGGACATAACGTTTTTTATCTCTGAGCAAGAAGAAAAAACAGCTAAGGGAAATGAAAAAGATAAGGAACAAAAAGAATCAGTCCAGAAAATCTAATTTCTTTTTATTTTTAAGTGAGACAAAGTTTATTAAGAAAGCAAAGGAATAAAAGAATGGCTATTCCATAGGCAGAGGAGCCTCTAATTTCTAATTCTGATTGTTTTTCTTAATTTTCTTTCTGATGATACTCTCGATTTTACCATACAATATTGGCCATTTAATAAAGAAGTTCAGGGACAGACAATAAAATATAAAGTAGAGCAATGTGTCTGATCTCCAGCACTGTCAACATTTTGAGAAGAACAGTTTTTTTTTTTTGCTGTGGGGATGTTTCCTTTATATTGTAGGATGTTTAGCAGCCTCTCTTGCCTCTAAAACATTTCTCCCACCTGTGAGCAAAAAATAAGTAAATAAACAAACAAATAAAAATCTCTACACATTACTAAAAGTTCTCTGAGGGCAACATTGTCCCTAGTTGAAAACCACTATAGTAAAGAAATTATCAGTTAAAGTTGAAAGTAAATAGGAGTTAGAAAATTCACTCAAGTAGAGACTTTGCCTGTAAACTTTCAAAAAGAAAGACAGCTTCACGTATAAAATAATAGATCAGAAAAGTCTTCTGACAATCCAAAGATGAATTATGTCTCTTTATCTGAAAGATATAGATCTAGAGATAACCCCTTTTTTTTTTTTTTACTGCTGTGCTTGTTGTTATAAATACCTGACCATATCTTAACCATTGAGATTTTAGGGCAATGTTGCTCTGATATCTCATCCAGAGGTGCAGAAATCCACGTTTTAGGACATTTAAAAGATTTCTGGGGAAAGGCTGTCTGTGCCTTTTGATAATAAGACTGGGTGAATTACATGCAATCTGTTGGAGTACTTGACTATATCTTCTGGAGAAGGCCATGTTTACTGTATACAATGATATGATTCTGTGCATGGAACATATTATATTGATACTAATTTATGAAGGCATAGTTGATAAACCCCAAAGGAGTTAATTTTATTGTTATATAAAGGCAAAGGCAGGCTGGACACAGTGGCTCACACCTGTAATCCCAACACTTTGGGAGGCCGAGGTCAGGAGTTCAAGACCAGCCTGGCCAACATGGCAAAACCCCGTCTCTACTAAAAATACAAAAATTAGCCAGGCATGGTGGTGGGTGCCTGTAATCCCAGCTACTCAGGAAGCTGAGGCAGGAGAATCACTTAAACCCAGGAGGGAGAGGTTGCAGTGAGCCGAGATTGCGCCACTGTACTCGAGCCTGGGCGACAGAGCAAGACTCCATCTAAAAAAAAAAAAAGACAAAGGCAATACTATATAACATGAAAGCTTGAGATACTCTCAGACCTTTGCCAGTTGTACATTTAGAAGTTTGTTTTGTTCTTTCTATCTTTCTGGAAAATTTGATATGATCGAGACAATAGAGTTTCCAAATAAATGGCAAGTCACAAAAATACTTGAAAATAGTCCAAGTAAAATGGATTTTACTATCACTAGAAAAAGATTGCAATTTCCATATTCAAAATACAAAATAAAATATTTTTGCTGCTGTAAGAACCATAACTCATATAACCTTGAAAGGTTTTTATATTAGATGTAAAGTAGTATGACACCCAATGATAGACTGTGATGGGTTAAAGAGCAATACTATGAACACTAAAGCAACTGTTAAATAACACAACAGTTTAATAACAAAAAAAATTGAATAATCACAATGACCCAACTACTTGAAAAAAAGAAGAAAAAGAAATCAAAGAACAAATGAAACAGAACATCTGTAAGATGGCTAAGTAGAAGGTCCCCAGCCTTCATCCACCCACAGAACAGTGATTTGGCAACCATCCATGGATAAAATGTCTTTGTGGGAACATCAGGACCCAGTCAGGAGGTCATGACAACCCACTAGAGCCCAAGACCAAGGAAAACTGCTTTGAGAAGGCAGGCCCATGCCCCTGGGAGTAGGCTCACCAGTCATAGTCCTGGCCATGAACACAGAAACACCGCCATCTGCCTGTGGACCCTGCTGCAGCCCTGCTTACATGTGGTTCCAGATGCAGCCTCAAAAGTCATTCCCAAAAGTCATTCAGGAGCAGGTTGTTTAATTTCCATGTAATTGTATGGTTTTTAGTGATTTTCCTAATATTTATTTCTATTTTTATTGGGATGTGGTCAGAGAGTGTGGTTGGTATAATTTCAAGTTTTTTGAATTTGCTGAATATTGTTTTATGGCCAATCACATGGTTGATTTTAGAGTGTGTACCATGTGCAGATGAGAAGAATGTGTATTCTGTTGTTGGGTGGACTGTTCTGTAGATGTCTTTTAGGTCCATTTGGTCAAGTGTTGAGTTAGGGCCTAAATATCTTTGTTAGTTTTCTCTCTCAATGATCTGTCGAATGCTGTCAGTGAGGTGTTGAAGTCTCCCACTACTACTGTGTGGTTATCTAAGTCTTTTTGTAGGTCCCTAATAACCTGTTTTATGAATTTGCGCACACTTGTCTTGGGTTCATATATATTTAAGATAGCTAAGTCTTCTTGTTGAATTGAACCCTTTACCATTATGTAATGCCCTTCTTTGTCTATTTCTATCTTTGTTGGCTTAAAGTCTGTTTTGTCAGAAATTAGAATGGCAACCCCTGCTTTTTTGTTTCCCATTTGCTTGGCAGATCTTTCTTTGAGCCTTTACTTTGAGCCTATGAGTGATGGGCTTACATGCAATGACACTGAAGACAGCATACAGTTGGGGCTTGCTTCTTTATCCAACTTGCCACTTTGTGCCTTTTAAGTAGGGCATTTAGTCCATTTATGTTCAAGGTTAATATTGCTATGTGTGGAGTTGATCCTGTTATTGTGTTGTTAGCTGGTTATTATGCAGACTTCATTGTGTGTTGCTCTATAGTGTCAATATCTATGTAATTAATTGTGTTTTGTGGTGGCTGGTACTCTTTCTTTTCCATATTTAGCACTCCCTTAAGGACCTCTGCCCTTAAGGCATGTCTGATGGTAACAAATTTCCTTAGCATTTGCTTGTCTGAAAAGGATTTTATTTCTCCTTTGCTTATAAAGTTTAGTTTAGATGGATATAAAATTCTTGGTTGGGATTTCTTGTCTTTAAGAATGCTGAATGTAGGCCCACAATCTCCTCTGGCTTATAGAGTTGCAGCTTAACAGTCCACTGTTAGCCTAATGGGATTCCCTTTGTGGGTTACCTGCTCCTTTTCTCTAGCTGCCTTTAATACTTTTTCTTTCATGTCGACCTTGGAGAATCTGATGACATATGTCTAGGGGATGGTTGTCTTGTGTAGTATCTTGCAGGGGTTCTCTGCATTTCCTAAATTTGAATCAACCTCTCTAGTGAGGTTGGGGAAATTTTTATGGAAGATATCCTCAAATATGTTTCCCAAGTTGTTTGCTTTCTCTCCTGCTCTTTCAGGGATGCCAGTGAGTCATATATCTGGTCGCTTTACATAATTCCATATTTCTCAGAGGTTTGTTCATCTTTTTGAATTCTTTTTTCTTTATTTTTGTCTAACTGAACAAGTCTTCTATTTCTGAGATTCTTCCCTCAGCATGGTCTATTTTTTTATTATTATTATACTTTAAGTTCTAGGGTACATGTGCACAATGCGCAGGTTTGTTACATATGTATACATGTGCCATGCTGGTGTGCTGCACCCATTAACTCGTAATTTACACTAGGTATATCTCCTAATGCTATCCCTCCCCGCTCCCACTACCCCATGACAGGCATCAGTGTGTGATGTTCCCCTTCCTGTGTCCAAGTGATCTCATTGTTCAATTCCCACCTATGAGTGAGAACATGTGGTGTTTGGTTTTCTGTCCTCGGGATAGTTTGCTGAGAATGATGGTTTCCAGCTTCATCCATGTCCCTACAAAGGACATGGAATCATCCTTTTCTTATGGCTGCATAATATTCCATGGTGTATGTGTGCCACATTTTCTTAATCCAATCTATCACTGATGGGCATTTGGGTTGGTTCCAAGTCTTGCTATTGCGAATAGTGCTGCAATAAACATACGTCTGCATCAGCATGGCCTATTTTGCTGTTAATACCTGTGATTGTATGATTAAATTCTCATAGAGAGTTTTTCATATCTATCAGATCAGTTTTGTTCTTTCTTAAAAGGGCTATTTTGTCTTTCAACTCATATCATTTTATTAGATTCCTTAGATTCCTTGAATTTGGTTTCAACTGTCTCCTGAATCTCGATGATCTTCATTCCTATCTTGATTCTAAATTATATGTCTGTCATTTCAGCCCAGTTAAGAACCATTGCTGAGGAACTACTGCAGTCCCTTGAAGGTAAGAAGACACTCTGGCTTTTTGAGTTGCCAGAGTTCTTGTGCTGCTTCTTTTTAATCTGTGTAGACTGATGTTTCTTTAATCTTTGGTGTCGCTGTCTGTATTAATCTGTTCTCAAGCTGGTAATAAAGACATACCAGAGACTGGGTAATTTATAAGGAAAGAGGTTTAATTTGCTCACAATTCCACATTGTTAGGCTGGGGAGGCCTAACAATCATGGCAAATGAGGAGCAAAATTACGTCTTACGTGGTGTCAAGCAAGAGAGCTTGTGCAGGGGAATTCCCATTTATAAAATCATCAGATCTCATGAGAGCTCACTCACTGGGGAAGCACCCCATGATTAAGTTATCTCCTTCTGGTCCTGCCCTTGACACATGGGGATTTATTCAAGGTGACATTTGGGTGGGGACACAGAGCCAAACCATATCACTGTCCTTTGGATGGGGTTTTTGCTCTTATATTCTTTGACACCTTTGATGGTTTGATTGTGGAATAAGGTGGGTTCCGTTGACTGGCTTCATTTCTGGGAAACTTCTGGGGGCCAAGGCTCAGCTCATTACTCCGGGGCTGTGTGCCCTAATCCTGGGAAGCTGGTACCAGGCTCCTGGCTTTGTTCTCTTGTCCCTTGAGGTGAGAAACCTGCTGCACTTGACATTGGACATCTTAAGTTCTAACTTAAAGTTCTAACTTAAGTTCTAACTGCAAAAGCACAGACAATGCAAGCAAAAATAGACAAATTTCATTATAATCAAAATAAAAAGCTTATGCACACCAAAGAAAACAATTAAAGAGACAGTCTACAGATTGGGAGAAAATATTTGCAAGCCATACATCTGATAAGGGGTTAATAGACAAAATTTATAAGGATCTCAAACAACTCTACAGAAAGAAAACAAATAGTCCAATTAAAAAATGGGCATGGGAGGTGAATAGACATTTCTCAAAGAAGACATACAAATGACCAATAAACATATGAAAAAGTGTTCAACCTCACTAATCATTAGGGAAATGGAAATTAAAACCACAATGAGATATCACCTCACACCTGCTAGAATGGCTACTACAGAAAAGAGGAAATGTAACAGGTGTGGGAGAGGATGTGTAGAAAAGGGAACACTTGCACACTGTTGTAGGAATGTAAATTAGTGTAGCCATTATGGAAAACTTATAAGTTTCTGAACAAAAATAAAAATAAAATTACATATGACCTAGCAATCTCACATCTGGGTATTTACTGAAAAGACTTGAAATTTGTATATTGAAGAGATGTCTGCATTTCCATGTTCATTGCAGCACTTTTTGCAATAGTCAAGTTTTGGAATCAACCTAAGTGTCTATCAACAGATAAATGGATAAAGAAAATATAGTATATATACACAGTAGAATACTATTCTACCTTAAAGAAAAGAAACTTTTTTATTTGCAGCAACAAAGATGGAATTGGAGAACATTAGGCTAAGTGAAATAAGCCTGCCACAGAAAGACAAATATTACATGTTTCACTTATTTGTGGAATCTAAAACAATCAAACTCAAATAAGCAGAGAGTAGAACAGTGGTTACCAGAGCCTGGGGATGGTAAAGGGATAAGGATATCATGGTCAAACAGTACAAAGCCTCAACTGGACAGGAGAATAAGGTTTCTTTAAGATATACTGCACAGCATGGTGAATATAGTAAAAAATGTATTATACATTTTGAAATTGCCAAAAGAATACATTTCAACCATTCTCAAGACAAAAAAATAATGATTTTAGGTGATTGGTGTGTGAATTACCATGATCTAATTATTCCACATTGAATTCATAAATCATAACATCACTTTGTACCCAATAAATAAGACAACTATAATTTATCAATTTATAATTAATAATTTGTTAATAAATAAGATAACAGGCAAAAGATTTGAGTACACATTTCACCAAAGAAAATATGTGAATGGGCATAAACAGATGAAAAGATTATCAGAATCATTAGTCATTAGTGAAATGCAAATTAAAACCACAATGAGAAGCCACTTAACACACACTAGAATAACTATAATAAAAATGACCAGTGATAAAATATGTCCATGAAGATGTGGCTAAATGAGGGCCCTTTACAATGCTGATGGAAATATAAAATAGTATCACCGCTTTGGAAAATAGTTTGGCCTTTTCTTAAAACTGATAAATATGAATATATCATGCAATTTAATGATACTATTCTTAGGTTTCTATCCCATATATTAGTATATGGATAAACAAAATGTACTATATCTATACGGAGAAATACTATTTCATAATAAAAAAGAACAAATACTAATAGATGATACATCATGGATGAACTTCCACAACATTATGCTGCAAGAAAAAAGCCAGTGAATGAGTTTATATATAACCCCCACACTCCCAGTCTTCAGATTAAAATGTAGCCCCAGCTGACAGCTTTTGTCTGCAACCTCAACACAGACCTTTAGCCAAAAGCACCCAGTTAAGCCTCATCCCACAGAAACTTGTGATAATCAGTTTGTTGTTTTAAGCCACTACATTTTGGAAAACCTTGTTATGCAACAATAACTAATACACTACCCCTGTGAAATTTCTATATTGTGCTTATTCTCTTTCATAAAATGTGTTGAGTAATCACCTAGCTCAATCTGTAATCTCATTTATTCTTAAGAAATAGGAATTATCACACTTTGGGAGGCCGAGGCGGGTGGATCACAAGATCAGGAGATCGAGACCATCCTGGCTAACAGGAGGAAACCCCATCTCTACTAAAAAAATACCAAAAAAAAATAGCTGGGCGTGGTGGCGGGCGCCTGTAATCCCAGCTACTTGGGAGGTTGAGGCAGGAGAATGGCGTGAACCTGGGAGGTGGAGCTTGCAGTGAGTCGAGATCGCGCCACTGCACTATAGCCTGGGTGACAGAGCAAGACTCCGTCTCAAAAAAACAAAAAAAGAAATAGGAATTATCTATTCCTTCAGGATTGTACATAAAATCTTGCTGGTTCTAGCACCTTTTGGATGTAAAAGGATACAACATTGACCACTTGTAAGTTTGTTTTGGTCAATATTATTCATTCGTATTTCCCTGAAAGTGTCCATTTCATTCACATATTCAGGATAGAGGGTTTAAAGGATTCTATCATGATATCAAAGCTCTTCTCTATCTGTAGTTTATGTTCCTTTTCTTCCCTGTATTATTTTTTTTCTCTTTTTCTCATGATGTTTTCCTAAGACTCAACTAATATATGAATCTTCCCATAAACTACCTAGTGGTCTTACTAAATAACTCTACAATGTTTCTTGCTTTGTTTTGTTTCTTATTTATGTGTGATATTATTTTTGTTTATTGCCTCCTATTTTGTTTCAGTTTTTTTCTATTTATTTTGTTATTTATTTCGATTCTTCAGTTGAGCAGTATGCTGCTTTCATACTTTCATGAATTCTAGTAAATGTCTTGAAAACCATAAATGTCCTTTTTTATACCACTTTGGCTGCAATCCACAGGATTTCATTTATAGTGCTCTCCGTTTTTTCAGATCTAATTATTTTGTATTCATTTTTATGTATGCCTTAGCCCAAGTGTTATGTAGGAATGTGTTGTGTTTGAATATCTCTATGTATGAATTTGGGAATATATCTTATTGTTATTGATTTCTGATATTAGCAACTTGCTGCAGGGAGCATGCCCTTTTCGATATCAATTTTATTTTAGAATTTATTCAATAATCATGGAAAGCCTCTCTGAGATGGTGACACAGGAACAAAGACTGAATGAAATAGGGGGACAGAGTTTCCATAGAAATATCTTAGAAAAGAATAATCCTTGCAATGGTAATAGTAAAAACAGAGGCTATGAGGTAGAAATGAGTTTGAAATGTTTATGGAAGAGCAAGAAAACTAATACGTGTGGAACAGAATGAAAAGAGGGAAGAGTAGCAGGAAAAAAATATCGGAGAAATATTCAGCAACCAAATCAGGTAGGACATTGTGTGCCATGTAAACAGACTGGATTTATTCTATGTAGTTTTTTTAAAAAACGTAATTAGATTTTCAATAAGGAAATAATTTGATTTAATTTGCATTTTAGAAACATATCTCTGGTGTCTGAACATAAATTAGAGTATGCAAAGCTCTCATAGAAACATAGAGACAAGTTAGGGGCTCTCTCCAGAGACACTAGTGACTTGGACAATGGTGCAATGACAGGGGAAGTGAACAAAGGTTGGATTTAAGACACATTTTAGGCCGGGCCCAGTGGCTCACACCCATAATCCCAGCACTTTGGGAGGCCAAGGCAGGCGGATCATCTGAGGACAGGAGTTTGAGAACAGCCTAACCAACATGGCGAAACTCCATCTCCACAAAAAAGAAATACAAAAATTAGCTGAGAATTGGTAGCTAGCACCTGTAATCCCAGTTACTCGGGAGGCTGACACACAAGAATCGCTTGAACCTGGGAAGCAGAGGTTGCAGTGAGCAGAGATCGCACCATTGCACTCCAGCCTAGGTAACAGAGTGAAACTCTGTCTCAAAAATTTTTAAAAATAAAAAATAAAAGAGATATTTTAAAGATAGAACTCGGCTTGCTAATGGGTTGTAATTATTAAATGAGAGAATCAAAGGTATGCTCAGAGTTTTTGTTCGTTTTTGTTTTTTAACCCAAACAACTAGGTACATGAGCCCATCACTGAGAGAGCAAGACTAAGGGGAGTGTGAGTATTAACAGAGAAAGTGGTATGAATCAAAAATTCATTTTGGAATTCTTGAGTTGCTTATTAGACATCCAAAAGTAGATGTCAAGTAAATAGTTGAATTTTTTTATTCTGAAACTTATAGGAAACATCCAGGCTAGAGCTAATACTTCATTTACACAGAGAGAGACAGCAACCTTGTGCCAATATGCTTCTCATAGCTATGAAGAGAATCTATCTATAGACTTGATCAACTCAAGTGCAGAAAGAGAAAAAAAAATTGCCTCCTAACAACTGATGGAGTGATTTTACTCATTTCGTTTGACCTTATGTCTATCATTTATTTTTACCTTATTTTCTATCTTTTTCTCTTATTTTGCTAGTTGAACAAAGTTATTATCCATTTTTTACCTATACTGGAAAATAGTGTATACTAAGATTCTCCTTTCAATTAACAACATATTGAACTAAAGGTTTTACTCGCTCCATATAAGTTAAGCACACCTGCAACTCCAGCAGCCACTTGGGTCAGGAGACCTAGCCAGAAATTGATTTGGAAATAGTAGAGAAGCCCCCTGGGACAATCTCATAACATTTAAATAGTGAAATTATAAACACAAAACAATGCCCAACAATGAAAGGATGATTACATAAATATATTATGAAATATCCATAATATGGAATATTATGCAGAAAGTAAAAATTACTGTTTTGGAGTATTTGAAAATAGTATAGGAAAATATTTATAATAAAGTAATACTTATTAATAAATAAAGCTATAGGTGAATCACAAGAATAAGAGAGAGAGAAATTTAATGGAAAGTAAATAAACTAAAATAGTAATGATCTTTTAAGTGATCAAGTAATGTGTTATATCTATTATCAGATAATCTTATTTTTTCCAATTTTACATGAAATAATATTTAGGAATCAATAAAAATAAAATATACTTATAGGATATAGGCATATATGTGTTTGTCTACTCTTATACAGAGAAAAACTTGTGAGTGACTTAGCAAAAGTATATTCAATGGAAAGCTGAGGGAAAATGTCAGCCACTTGTGGGGTAAGAAGTGAATGAAAGATAAAATGGAAATGAAGCATAGAGACTATGATTTTCCTGAGGGGGAAAGGGAAAAGCATTCATTAAAAAAAAAACTAAATACAGGAAAGTCAATTTTGTGTTTTGTTTTTAACATGGCAGGAACTTGAGGATATTGACAGACTTAAAGTAAGGAAAACAATGGATTTAGAAAGCTGGCAGCGCCGGGCACGTAGCTCACTGCTGTAATCCCAGCACTCTGGGAGGCAGAGGCAGGCAGATCACTTGAGGCCAAGAGTTCAAGACCAGCCTGGCCAACATGGTGAAACTTCATCTCTACCAAAAATAGAAAAATTAGTTGGGTGTGGTGGCACACACCTGTAATCCCAGCTACATGGGAGGTTGAGGCAGGAGATTCACTTGAACCTGGAGGTGGAGGTTGCAGTGAGCTGAGATCATGCTGCTGCCCTCCAGCCTGGGTGACAGAGTAAGACTCTGTCTCAAATAAATAAATAAATAAGAAAAAGAAAACCGGCATCAACAAGAAGAAAAATAGATAATTAATGCATCAAAGTCCCCAAAGCTGTCAGTACTGCTGAAGGCAGGAAAGGAAGGTAAACAATGAATACTTGATTATAAATTGTTTATTGAAAATCTGGTGTCTTCCTGGAGAGTTATGTGCAATAAAACTCTATAATTTCTAGGTCAAATTTAATTATCTAATGGTAAATTACCTTCATTCTTCTTCTACTGTGACAGCTTATATTTGATAGCTTGATAGCTATCTGATTTTCTTCTTGGTGTTCTTTTAAGAAAAGTCATTGGTCAAAGCACTTTATCTTTCTTTGCTGAAGCCCTCTGCAATCTAAGCCATCTTTTGATGTTCATCTGGTACCTACTGGTCCACCCCCAGAATGCAGTGAACCTTCCTCTGACCCTTCTTTGATATCCGTGATTGGTAGCCCATGGATTACACAATGTTCTTGGGCTTCCTGGGCAGAATTCCAAGCCTGCCTCCTGGCTCCAAATCTCTTAGGTTGGTGCAAACATAATTGCGATTTTTGCCATTGAAAGTAATGGCAAAAACCACAATTACATTTACACCAGCCTACATCAGGCTGGCAAACAAATGTTCATAGAAAATATCAAGCAGTGAAAATTATGCCCTTAGTGTTCCATAAAGGATTTCAATTATTTGTTCCCATAAATTGTATTGCTTTGCAGTGTAAACTGTACTTCCAAAGCTTTTCCTCGTGATCAAGAAAGAAATAATTCTCAGAGAGGTGAGAAAAAGCAGTAAATGCTGGATTCTTGATCAGAGATGCTAATGATCCTAGGCCATTCTGGCTTCAGTAAATGGAGCAGTCAGCAATAACCAGCACAATGACCCTAAGATCCCCCTTTGAGTTTCTAGGGTGCTGGCAGAGGCTTGTGCCCAGGCACCGCTGCCCCAGCAACTCAGGAGGAAGGAACTGAATGGAGGTTTAGGAAAAAACATCTCCAGAGCTTTCATGCCCCTCACTGGCCCTCCTTAGGCTAAGACTTGGGAAGTTTGCCTCTTCCAAGACCTCCCCATCCCTGACTCAAGATTTCATTTTCAAAGTCTCTAAAGGCAGGGAGGACCTGCTCAAATAATGTAACCACGTGTTCCATTCACTAACACTCTGAAGTATTATAGAAGTAGCACCAAGAAGAAGCCATGGCAGAAAGAGAACTTCCTTCTTGGTACTGAGAAAATTTACTTCACCTGTAGTGAAACCATCTAGAAAGGAATGAAGGTCAAGTAAGACCAGGAATGTGCATGTACTTTGCAGTCTCTGAAGTTGATATTCTGGCCAGACGTGGTGGCTCACCCCTGTAATCCCAGCACTTCGGGAGGCCGAGGCATGTGGATCACTTGAGGCCAGGAGTTCGAGACCAGCCTGGCCAACATGGCAAGACACTATTGCTACTAAAGATACAAAACTTAGCCAGGCATGGAGACGTGTGCCTGTAATCCCAGCTACTTGGGAGACTGAGGAAGGAGAATCACTTGAACCCGGGAGGCAGAGGTTGCAGTGAGCCAAGATCGCACCACTGCGCTCCAGCCTGGGCAACTGTGTGAGACTCTGTCTCTAAATAAAAAATAAATAAATAAATAAAGTTTACTCATACCCTCTTTAAGCATTCCCTACGGCACCCAAAGTATTCTGGTGTTTATGTTCATTTCCTTAGTGTCTAAGAAGTAATTTGTGCCTCTCTGTCAGAAATATGCTCGTGTTGCATTGCCGTTTCTTTGTATATATTATTTGCTTTCCGAAGTGTATTATAGGTTCCCTAAGGCCCACTCTTCTTTCTTTAATTCCTCTCATATTACATATAACTGATGTGAAAACAATTTGTGTTAACTTAGGTTTCAATATAAAAATTAGTTTATCTCATTCGATCGATTGGACAGAAAGATAATCAAATAAAAGTTTTTCTGTATCTCACTAGTCTGTTTATAATTCCATTGCTTAAGCATGCTAACACACGGTGCCAAAATAGTAATAAATAGGCATGCTGTTGTATTACGTGGTTCTTCCCATTATCAGAAAAATAAAATGAATGCTTTTCCTCTATAACTGCTTCCTTAACTTTTACAGTTCCTCCAGAATGCATAAGACAATGCTGATATTTCAAGTCTCTCTCCTGCCTTTGCCATGGCTGTGCTTTCTACTACCTTTGCACACACCCTGTTGACCTTTGATAAATGTACTTTAAATGACTGATAGTCATGATGATTGCATGCTGTCTCCTGATATAAAATCTCATTGAAACACAGAAATGTTATTGCTCCTGAAAGGTTCAATAATCACTCAGCAACTCACCTCTTCAGAGGACTGAATGTACACAGAAGTCCTCTTCATCTCAACTACTGATTCTCTCTAACCTGCTTTACCTATTCAACCATGAGGGTCTTGTTTTTTGTCTTTGGAGTCCTTTCCTTGATGTCCACAGTTCCTCCAAGTAAGGCAGAAACTTTTTTATTCCAAAGTTCTAAAAATATAAGTAAAAGAAAATGCAAGGTCTTTCAAGAGTCTGAAAATAAATTAGGCATGGGCAGATTTTACTGTACCATGAAGGCTGCTCAGAAGATTGAAGAGTTGATACTAAAGAAATAAATAAGGTGGTTCACTGCAGTGATTTAACCTATGATAAACTCACTTGAGGCCAGGCACAGTGGCTCATGTCTATAATCCCAGCATTTGGGGAGTTTGAGGTGGGTGAGCTTGGGAGTTCTAGACCAGCCCGGTGGGGGCAACAGGGTGAAACCCCATCTCTACAAAAAAAAAAAAAATACAAAAAATTAGTCAGGTATAGTGGCGCGTGCCTGTGGTTCTGGCTGCTCAGGAAGCTTAGGCAGGAGGATCGCTTGAGCCTGAGATGTCAAGGCTGCATTCAGCTTAGTTCATGCCACTGCACACCAGCCTGGGCAACAGAGTGAGACCCTGTCTCAAAAAATAATCATAAAAAAAAATAAACTTACTTGAGAGTTGTGTTTGATCAAAAGATGGTGAGAGGATGCACACAGAACACAGGAAATTTAAAGAATTGGAAAAATGAAAAGCGAATGAAGACTAGAAGAAGGGCTAGAGGTGAAGAGGTGGATGCTCCACCATAATCCTTGGTTCACAGGATAAATTCACCACTGATCCAGGCAAGGACCTAGCCTCTGTGTTCCTTTAAAGTTGAATAAAACTCATATGATATCATTTAATGTATATGGAAATTACTTTTTGTATGGTGAGAGTTAAGATTCCACCTTAATTTTTAACCACAAAACTAGCCAATTATATATAAGCATATTTATTAAATAATCAATATGACTTTCCCAAATTAATTTTAAAATTCATCAATACCCCATAATAAAAACATATTAAACTGTGGTTCATACCTGAGATTTAGATTACTGGTTGACTTATTGATCATTTCTGAAGCACATTTTAATACTTCACAATTCAAGATTCCCTCATTTATATAATACTTCATGATTCAAGATTCCCTTATTTATATAATTATAAATAATTATGCCTTTCCCCCATGAATGTTAGTGGGTTTTTTATATTTTTATTGAGATAAAATTTACCATAATATTCATTGCCTTAAAGTGTTCTATTCAGTGGTTATCAAGTGTATTCTTAAAATTGTGCACCCCTCACCATTATCTAATTCCAGAATATGTTTATCAGCGCAAGAAGAAATCTCTCCTCCTCCCAGTCCCTAGCAACCACTGATCTAATTTTTGTCTCTATGTATATTCCTATTCTGGACATTTACTATGAACAGAATAATAAATATCTGATCCTTCATGTCTGCCTTCTTTCATTTAGCATAATGTTTTCAAGATTCATCCATGTTGTGGCATAGATTCGTACTTCATTCCTTCATTCAGTGGTCATCAGTATATCCCACTTTAAGAATCCACTGATACTCACTAAATGGAACACTCTAAAGGAATGAATTTTATAGTAAATTCTATCTCAATAAAAATATAAAACACCAACATTCACGGAGGAAAAGTATAATTCTGTATAATTATATAAATGATGGAATCTTGAAATAAATTTTAAAATGTGCTCTGAGGTAACATGTGCCTCAGAAAAGATAAATAAGTCAATTGATAATCTAAATCTCAGGTATAAACCACAGTTTAATATGTATTTATTATAAAGTATTGGTGGATTTTAAAATTAATTTGGGAAAGTTAGATTGATTATTGGTGTTGGTAAAAAAAATTTCATCATATGAATTATTTAGCATATGGTTGTTTATAACAGACTCTAATGATCCATTGTGTTTCTTTTATATCAGTTGTAATGTCTCCTGTTTTATTTCTGATTTTATTTATTTGGCATTCTCTCTTTTGTTCTTGGTTAGTCTAGCTAGCAGTTTATAAAGTCTGTTTATCTCTTCCAAAAGTCAACTTTTTGTTTCATTAATTCTTTGAATTTTTTAAATCTCGAATTCACTTAGTCCTGCTCTGATTTTTATTATTTCTTTCCTTCTCCTAAGTTTGGATTTCATTTTTTCTTGTTTTTCTTGTTCCTTGAGGTGCATAGTAGCTTGTTTATAATCTTACTATGTTCTTGCAGTAGGCATTTATTGCTGTAAAATTCTCTCTTAGCACTGTCTTTGTTGTATTCCATAGGCTTTGGTATGTTGTGTTTCCATTTGCATTTATTTCAAGAACATTTGTTATTTTCTTCTGAGTTTTTTCATTGACTCAATGGTTGTTCAGAAGCATGTTGTTTAATTTCCATGTTATCTGTATAGTTTCCAAAGTTCTTCCTAGTATTCATTTCTAGTTCTATTCTATTTTTGTCTAGAATATACTTGATATAATGTTGATTTTTCAAAATTTGTTGAAACTTGTTTTGTGTCTTAACATATGGTCTAGCCTGGAGAATGTTCTGTGTGATGAGGAGAAGAATGTGTACTCCACAGCTTTTGGATGAAATGTTGTGTAAATGTCTGTTAAGTCTATTTGTTCTGTGGTACAGATTAAATTTGATGATTATTTGTTAGCTTTCTACCTAGATGATCTGTTCAATGCTGAAAGTGGGGTATTGAAGCCCTCAGTTATCATGATGTTGAGGTGTATCTCTCTCTTTAGCTCTAATGACATTTTTAATATATCTATTCCACTACTGGGTACATATATATACATATTTGGAATTTTTATATCCTCTTGCTGGATTGGCCCTTTTATCATTATATGATGGCCTTCTTTGTCTCTTTTTATGTTTTTTCACTTAAAGTCAATTTTGTCCAATATAAATATAGATGTATTAGGCCATTCTTGCATTGCTATAGGGTTATCATAATAAAGTACCACATAATGGGTGCCTTAAATAACAAAAGTTCATTTTCTCACAGTTCTGGAAGTTATAAGTCTAAGATCAAGACGTCAGCACATTTGGTTTCTCCTGAGGCCTGTCTTGGCTTGCAGCTGGTTGCCTTCTTGCCATGTCCTCTTATGGCATTTTTTTGTGCACATGAATTCCTGGTGTCTCTTCCTCTTCTAATAAGGACATCAGCCATATTGCACGAGGGCCATACCCTGGGAGTCTCATTTTAGCTTTATCAGTCCTTAAAAAAAAAAAATCTTCAAATATGATTACATTCTGAGATACTAAAGATTGGGACTTTAACATACAAATTTTGGAGGAAAACTGGTTAGCCCATAACAATGAATTCATCAATAGACTGATATGATCAAGGAAAGAATCAGTGAGCTTAAAGAATTTTAAATAGCAACTTCCAAAACTTAAAAGCAAAGAAAAAAGAATTAAAAAGAACAGAATATTTAATAAGTGTAGGCCAATTAGAAAAGGAAAAATATATGTGTAATGAAGTATCAGGAGGAGGAGAAAGAAAGGAACAGAAGAAATATTTGAAGAAATTCTGACTGAGATTTTCCCAAAATTGAAAATAAACAAAATCTACATATCTAGGAAGCTGAGAGAATACCAAGCAAGATAAATACAAAAAATTTAAACATAGGCATATTATATTGAAACTGCCAAAAATCAAAGACGAAAAGAAAATCTTAAAAGAAGCCAGGAGGGGAAAAAATCTTTATCTATGGACAACCAAGGATAAGAATTACATCAGACTTCTCTTAAACCACATAAGCAAAAAGAGAGGAAAGTGAAATATTTAAAATGTTAAAAAAAAAAAAAGAACACTATCTTAAAACTCTCTACTTAGCAAAATTATCTTTTTTTTTTAGACAGAGTCTCACTTTGTCACCCAGGCTGGAGTGCAGTGGCAGTGACCTTGGCTCACTGCAGCCTCCGCTTCCTGGGTCCAAGCAATCTCGTGCCTCAGCCAGCCACCACCACGCCTGGCTAATTTTGTATTTTTAGTAGAGACTGGGTTTCACTAGTTTGGCCAGGCTGGTCTTGAACCCCTGACCCCAGGTGATCTGCCCGCCTTGGCCTCCCAAAGTGCCAGGATTAAAGGTGCAGGCCACCATGCCCAGCCTACCCTCTAAATTAAAGTAAAAATACATAATTTTCTTAGGTAACCAAAAATAGAGTTTGTCACCAGTAGTCCTACCTTACAATAAAAGTAAAAAGAAATTCTTCACTCATACTCAATGGTGAAAAACTAAAAGCTTTTCTTCTAAGATCAGGAACAAGGCAAAAGTGCCCCTTCTTGCCACATTTATTTAACATGATTCTAAAAGTTCTAGCAAGAACAATTAGGCAAGAAAAGGAAATAAATGGCATCCAAACTGTTGGGGGGTGGGAATGAGTAAAATTATCTATTTCCAAATGACATAATTTTTTTGTAAAAAACCCTAAACTTCACTCCCCCAAAATTATTAAAACTAATAACAAATTCAGTAAAGTTGCAGGATAGAAAATCAACCTACAAATACCAGTTGTGTTTCTATAGCACTAACAGCAAGCAACTGGAAAGCAAGTAAAGAAAATCCCATTCATAATAGCAAGAAAAAGATAAGATATTTAAGAATAAACTTAACCAAAAGATGAAAGACTGGTACATTAAAAATTGCAGACATTCATGAAAGAAATTAAAGAAGACACAAATCAGTAGAAAGATATCCTATGTTCATGAATTGGAAGACATAATAATATTAAAATATCCATACTATTCAAAGCAATTTATAGATTATATACAATCCCTATCAAAATCCTAATGGCACTCTTGACAGAAATAGAAAAAACAATTTTAAAATTCATATAAAACCACAAAGGACCCAGAATAGTCAAAACAATGAGCAAGAAAAACAAAGCTAGGGGCATCACATTTTCTAATTTCAAAATGTATTATAAAGATAGAGTAATCAAAACTGTGTGCTACTGGGATAAAGATAGACATATAGGCCACTGGAAGAGAATAGAGGGCCAAGAAATCAACTGACACTTATAAAGTCAACTGGCCTTCAACAAACATGCGAAGAATATATAATGGGGAAAAGATGGTTTCTTCAATACGTGGTACTAAGAAAACTGAATATTCATATGCAAAAGAATAAAACTGGGCCTGTATCTTACACTACACACAAAAAGCAATTCAAAATGAACTACACATTTAAACATAATTACCTGAGACTGTAAAACTTATAGAAGAAAACATAAGGAGAAACTTTCATGATGTTGGTCATGGCAAATATTTTAACTTATAAATTGTAACAAAAGGATTTGGGAAGGATTGGTATGTTTAAAGGGAATATTTATGGGAGATTATGGGTTATAGGCTCCTGTCCATATCTCAGTAACTTCCTCAGTAAAGGAGACATGGCCTTGAGCCCGAATACACTGGGAAGCTGGAACTAAGACTCAACTCCTTCTGACCCCTTCTCTCAATTAAGGATTCTTTTTTCTCATTTCACCAAGAACAGAGAAGCAACCAAAGATAGCTTTTCCACTTTTCCACCACCATATCTCTTCACATGGTTTTATCTTTATCCATAATCTGCCTTCTCTTCACTCTGTGATTCAAGGCCAACCCCTCCACTTACACTAGATTCCATCCCCAATGACTTTTTTAAGAATTTAACTCCAGAAATTAAACATTATTTCCTGCATTATGAATCTCTACACCACCCCCAAGCTGGATAATTCATTTTAGGTAGAAATATGTGGTAATAGTTCTCATTTAAAATTCTGTACATTTCCAACTACTGCCTCATTTACTACTCTCTTTACAGAAGAAATCATCGTTTGTCTTTATTCAGCATCTCCACTTTTTCTCTTGCATTCTTTTGCTGTTGTTTTTGTTTTTCTGGGAAAGTTCTGTAATGCTTTTAATTTATTATAAAACATTTCAGACATTTAAACATAAAAAGTAAGTAATATTGTGTCATATAATTTGTCTTCTCTTTTTAAAGCCAGAAGCTTCACTTCTAATGATGAATGTCCTTCAGAATATTATCATTGCAGACTGAAGTGCAATGCTGATGAACATGCAATTAGATACTGTGCTGACTTCAGCATCTGCTGCAAACTGAAGATCATTCAAATTGATGGACAAAAGAAGTGGTGAAAATTCTAACTCCATCTTCTTCAGACTCCAGGAGAAAAAACATGTCTTAAACTCTCTTATCTATGAATAATTAACATGATAGATGAAAATTATTATAATTGCATGTTTAGATGGTCAGGTGAAAATGAATATAAATTTTATAAATGCTTACACTCTATTTTCATTTGTGCATTTTAACATTTACTCCCTTAATTTACATCCACAGCCACATTGTTGTTTCACCCATAGTACTATATCCGATGCGGGGAGTAAGAGCCAGCCCCTTTTGCCCCCCTGGCTCTTAGAACCCCTATCGCAGGGGGGTGAGGCACCACCAGCGATGCTGGGAGTAAGAGCCAGCCCTTCTTGCCCCTCTGACTCTTAGGACCCCCATTGCAGGGGGATGAGGAGCCCCCCACGATGCAGGGAGTAAGAGCCAGCCCCTCTTGCCCCCCTGGTTTTTAGGATCCGCGGTGGATACACAGCCTGTTTATCAAATTGTGAGTAATATCATCTCCCGCTCTGGAGATTATGAACTGTTTCACAAACCGGTGTACACCCTGGGTATACAGAGATTGTACACCCGTCTGTATTGGGTGTCATATCATCTTCTTCCTCCCTGAATATTAAGAACAGTATCAAAGGGGTGTTTCTACTCCCTGGGATATCGCGTGTCATATCCTCCTCTCCCAAGTTGCAATTAGAAACAATATCAGTGGGGGTGTGTCCACCTTCTGTGATATTGAAAGTAATATCACATTCTTCCCTCCAGGATCATGGGAACAATATCCTTGGTGGTGTCCACTTTCTGCCATATATATAGTCCTATCAGCCCCTCCGCTTTGGAATGTTATTAAGGACCATCTCACACGGGGGTGTACACTTCCTGCGATGTTGGGAGTAATAGCATTTTCTTCTTCTGTGAATTAGGAGCAAAATCACCGGGTGGATGCACACCCAGTGCTATATTGGGAGTAACATCATACTCCACCCCTTGGAGATTATATTCGGATCAATATCACCGGCTGAGTGTACACCTACTGCGATATTGAACGTAATATCATGCTCTCTCCCACCCTGGACATTAGGAGCAATATCACAGGTGGGTGTACACCCACTGAGGTATTAGGGAGTAATATTAGTGTGAATTATACCTCATTTATTATTAACATGAATATGAATGACCGATATTAATATTAATATTAAGAAATAATTGCTAATAAAGTTTTCAGATTATTAATATTAATATTAATTCTTAGGAGCTAATATTACTGTTTTCTAATGAATAAGATCAATATCAGTTATTAATATCAGGCATCATTAATCATTAATATTAATCATGTATTGTTACCATTAGTATAACTATTTAATATTAATTATCATTATTATCGGTATTGATTTTTAAAAATATTATGGGTTATTAATATTGATAATTATTAGTGTCAATTAATAATTGAGATTATTAATTGCGGTAAGTCGCATTGCGCCATTCCACTCCTCCCTCGGCAGCTCGTTTACGACCCAAAAGGGGACACAAATGCCCCTGAGAGAGCAGCCGTAGACTGGGATAGATGAGGATGGTCACGTGGTGGAGAGGCGTGTTTTTGGGTACCAGCCCTTCACCTGCGTCAATCTTCTCAACTGAAAAAACAATACACCGTCCTATACCGAAAAGCCACAAGCCCTAATTGATTTGCTCCAAACTGTTATCCAGACCCACAACCCCACCTGGGCTGATTGGCACCAGTTGCTCATGTTCCTCTTTAACAGCGAAGAAAGGCGGAGAGTCCTCAAGCAGCAACTAAGTGGCTAGAGGAACATGCACCAGCTGATTATCAAAACCCCCAAGAGTATGGAAGGACCCAGTTGCCAGGAACAGACCCCCAGTTGGACCCACATGAAAGAGAGGATATGCAAAGGCTAAACCGAGACAGGGAAGCTCTCTTGGAAGGATTAATGAGGGGAGCTCAGAAGGCCACAAACGTTAACAAGCTCTCTGAGGACATTCAGGGTAAAGAAGAAAGTCCAACACAATTCTACGAGAGACTGTGGGAGGCCTATCGTATGTATACTCCCTTTGATCCTGATAGCCCTGAAAATCAGCGCATGATTCCCATGGCTTTAGTCCGTCAAAGCGCAGAAGACATGAGAAGAAAACTGCAGAAACAGGCTGGGCTTGCAGGGATGAATCCATCCCAATTACTAGAAATAGCTAGCCAGGTGTTTGTAAACAGGGATGCAGTAAGCCGTAAGGAAAACGGCAAAGAGAATGGAGGTCAGGCCCGGCGATATGCCGACCTGTTTGTCAGCTGCAGCAATCAGAGGGGCCCCCACAAAGAGGCAAGGGAAGGGAGGCCCTGGGAAAGAAACTCAGCTTGGCTGTCAGAGTTTGCAGCATAACCAGTGTGCTGATTGTAAAGAAATAGGACAGTGGAAGAACAAATGCCCTCAGCTCAAAAGAAAACAAGGTGACTCAGAGCAGGAGGCCCCGGACAAGGAGGAAGGGGCCCTGCTCAACCTGGCAGAAGGGTTCTTGAACTGAGGGAGACAAGACTCAAGCGTCCCCATTGAGCCTCTGGTCACAATGACAGTCGGGGGTGGAGACATTGACTTTCTTGTAGATAGCGGTGCTGAACATTCGCTAGTAACCGCCCCGGTCGCCCGGTTATCCAAAAAGACTATTGACGTCATCGGAGCCACGGGGGTTTCAGCAAAGCAAGCTTTCTGCTTGCCTTGCACTTGTACTGTAGGAGGATATAAAGTCATTCATCAGTTTTGGTACATGCCTGACTGTCCCTTGACCTTTTCGGGAAGGGACTTGCTCAGCAAGCTGAGAGCCACTATCTCTTTGACAGAGCACGGCTCTTTGCTGCTAAAGTTACCAGGAACGGGAGTCATTATGACACTTGTGGTCCCCCGAGAGGAGGAAAGGAGACTTTTCTGAACTGAGCCAGGCCAAGAGAGAAGACCAGCTCTGGCTAAGCGGTGGCCAAGAGTATGGGCAGAAGACAACCCTCCAGGATTGGCCAGTTAAGACTGGGGCCCTGCCAGTGAGGCAAAAACAGGGGCCGGTCCCCAGAGAAGCCCTTCAAGGTATCCAGGTCCATCTCAAGCACCTAAGAACTTTTGGAATTATTGTTCCTTGTCGGTCTCCATGGAACACTCCCCTCCTGTCTGTTCCCAAGTCACGGACCAAGAACTACCAGCCGGTACAGGATTTGCGCTTGCTTCATCAAGCTAAACTGACTTTCCATCCAACAGTACCTAACCCGTCCACATTGTTGGGGTTCCCGCCAGCTGAGGACAGCTGGTTCACCTGCTTGGACCTGAAAGATGCTTTCTTTCCTATCAGATTAGCCCCTGAGAGGCAGAAGCTGTTTGCCTTTCAGTGGGAAGATCCGGAGTCAGGTGTCACTACTCAGTACACTTGGACCGGGCTTCCCCAAGGGGTCAAGAACTCCCCCACCATCTTCGGGGAGGCGTGGGCTCGAGACCTCCAGAAGTTTCCCAGCAGAGACCTAGGCTGCGTGTTGCTCTAGTAGGTTGATGACCTTCTGCTGGGACACCCCACGGCAGTTGGGTGTGCCAAGGGAACAGATGCCCTACACCGGCACCTGGAGGACTGTGGATAGAAGTGTCCAAGAGGAAAGCTCAGATCTGCTGACAGAAGGTATGTTACTTGGGATTGACTATCCGACAGGGGTGGGAAGGCAGCCCGGGATCAGAAAGAAAGCAGGTCATTTGCCATCTAGCGGAGCCTAAGAGCTGAAGGCAGGTGAGAGAATTCTTAGGAGCTGTGGGGTTTTGTAGACTATGGATCCCAAACTTTGCAGTATTAGCCAAGCCTTTGTATGCGGTCACCAAGGGGGCGGGGACCGGGAAACTTTGGAATGCGGATGCCAACAACAGCAAGGCTTTCATGAGTTAAAGGAAAACCTCTGGCAGCCCCAGCCCTGGGGCTACCCGATCTAACAAAGCCTTTTCCATTATATGCATCAGAGAGAGAAAAGATGGCAGCTGGACTTTGAACCCAGACTGTGGGGCCCAGGCCGAGGCTGGGGGCCTACCTCTCTCAACAACTAGACGGGGTTTCTAAAGGATGGCCCCCCTGTTGGAGGGCCTTGGCAGCAACTGCCCTGCTAGTACAAGAAGCAAATAAGCTGACTCTTGGGCAAAAACTGAACATTAAGGCCTCCCGTGCTGTCGTGACTTTAATGAATACTAAAGGACATCATTGGCTAACGAATGCCACACTCACCGACTACCAGACTTTGCTCTGTGAAAATCCCCGTATAACCATTGAAGTTTGTAACACCCTCCACCCCGCCACCTTGCTCCCGGTATCAAAGAGCCCTGTCAAGCCTGGTTGTGTAGAAGTGTTGGACTCAATTGACTCTAGCAGACCTGACCTCTGGGACCAGCCTTGGGCATCAGTAGACTGGGAACTATACTTGGATGGGAGCAGCTTCTTCAACCCCCAAGGAGAGGTGGAGGGTATGCAGGGGTAACCCTGGACACTGTTGTTGAAGCCACATCATTGCCCCAGGCCACTTCAGCCTAGAAAGCTGAACTCATTGCTTTCATTCGGGCCTTAGAACTCAGTGAGGGTGAGACTGTCAACATTTACACTGATTCTAGGTATGTCTTTTCAACCCTTCAAGTTCATGGAGCGTGATAGAAAGAAAAGGGCCTATTGAATTCTAGGGAAGAGACAGAAAATATCAACAAGAAATCTTGCAATGATTAGAAGCAGTATGGAAACCCCACAAGGTGGCAGTTATGCATTGCAGGGGACACCAGCGAGCTTCCACCTGGCTGGGTTTGCGGAATTCCCGCGCTGACTCAGAGGCTCGAAAAGCAGCATCTTCCCCCTTCTGGGCATCAGGGCTCCCTCAAGCACCTGATCTGGGACCTACTTCTTCTAACGAAGAAAAGGACTTTCTCCAGGTAGAGGGAAGGACAAGTGATGGAGGAAGGATGGATTCGGTTAGCAGATGGGAGAGTAGCTGTGCCACAGCTGCTAGGAGCTGCAGTTGTACTGGCTGTGCAAGAAACCACCCATCGAGGTCAGGAGTCACTGGAAAAGTTGTTAGGCCGGTATTTCTACATCTCGCCTTTGTCTGCCCTGGCCAAAACGGTGAGGCAGCCATGTGTTACCTGCCGACAGCATGATATGAGGCAAGGTCTAGCTGTTCTGCCCGGCATAAGAGCTTCTGGAGCAGCCCCCTTTGAAGGTCTCCAAGTGGACTTCACAGAGATGTCAAAATGTGGAGGTAACAAGTATGTAGTAGTTCTTGGGCATACCTACTCTGGGTGGGAGGAGGCCTATCAAACACGAACAGAGAAATCTCGTGAAGTAACCCCTGTGCTTCTTCGTGATCTGATTCCTAGATTTCGACGGCCTTTAGGGATCGGCTCAGACAACGGGCCTGCGTTTTTGGTTGCCTTGGTACAGAAGACGGCAAAGGTATTGGGGATCACACGGAAACTGCATGCAGCCTCCCGGCCTCAGAGTTCCGGAAAGGTGGAGTGGATGAATCGGACTATCAAAAATAGTACTATTGTTTTCCCCTCTGGATATTTAAAACAACACCACAAGGGGCATCAAACCACCTGCTAAATTTGAGGGAATGTTATCCTCTCCCCTCCTCCCCCGGCCCCGGATATTAGAGACAATAACACAGGGTTGATGTACACCCACTGCTTTATTGGGAGTAATATCATCCTCTCCCTTCTTGGATATTAGGAACAATATCACATTGTGCGTGTACGCCTGTCGCGAAATTCAATGGAATGTCATCCTGCGCCTCCCTGGATATGACGAACAATATCACGGGGGATGTATAACTTCTGAGATATTGGGAGTGATATCATCCTCTCCCTTCTGGAACTTAGGGACAATATCTCAGGGATAGTGTACACCTTCTGGGATATTGGGATATCATCCTCCCGCCCACTGGATACTAAAAACCATATCACAAGGGGCGTGTACACACACTTTGATATTGGTATGAATACTATCCTCTCCCTCTTTGGATATTCGGTGCCATATTTCAGGTGGGGTATACACCACCTGCAATATTGGCAATAATATGATTTTCTCTCCCCCTGGATATCAGAAACAATATCACAGGGGGTTGTGAACAACCCCTGCGATATTTGGAGGAATATCATCGTCTCCCCTCATGATTATTAAGAACAATATCGTAGGGGTGGGGGATGTACACCCCCTTTCATATTTGATATCATCCTCTTCCCCCCTGGATATTAGGAACAATATCAGGAAGGGATGTACAGACCCTGCGACCTTTGCTGTCATAGAATTCTCTCTCCCCTAGATATTAGGAAAAAATGTCACTGGGGATGTGAACATCCCTGCGATATTGAGAGTAGTATCATCCTCTCCCCCCTTGCATATTGGGAACAACATCACAGGAGGGGTGTACTGCCTCTGTGATGTTGGGAGTGAAATTTTCCTCTCTTCCCCTGGACATTAGGAAGGGTATCAGGGGGAAGGTGTACATTCCCTGTGATATTCAACGTAACCTTATCCTCTCCCTCCCAGGGTATTCAGAACAATATTACAGGAGGGGTGTACACCCTCTGCGATATTGAAAATGATATCATACTCTTTCACTCTGGATGTTAGGAACAATATCACAGGGTGGTGTACCCCCCCTGCGATATTGGGAGTCATATCATCCTCTCTCCCTGTGGATATTAGGAAGAGGATCACAGGGCTGTGGAAACCCCCTGCGGTCCTGGGAGTAATATCATCCTCTCTCCCTCTGAAAATAGGAAGATTTTCACAGGGGTGTGTTCACCCCCTGCGATATTGGGAGTAAGATCATCCTCTCCACCCAGGAAATGACTAACAAGGTCATGGGGATGTGTACTCCGCCTGCGATTTTGGGAGTAATGTCATCCTCCCCAAACCTGGATGTTAGCAACCAGATCACAAAGGGGTTGTACACACCCTGCGACATTGGATGTAATATGATCCTCTCCCGACCTGGATACAGAGAAAGATACCACACCGCGGGTATACGTTTCCTACACTGTTGACAGCAATATCATTCTTTTCCTTTCTGGATATTAGGAAGAATATCACAGGGGTGCTGTACAATTACTTCGATATTGGGAGTAATATCATCCTCTATTTTCCTGGACATTGGGCACAAAAACAAAAAAGGGTGTACAACCCCTGCGATATTGGGAGTAATAGCATACTCTCCTTCCCTGGATGTTAGAAAACAATATCATCGGGGCTGAACACCCCCCACGATGACGGGAGTCATGGTTACTCTTTCACAGGCCATTTGGAACAATATCACAGGGGGTGTTTACAAACAGGGGTGGTGTACACCCCCTGTGATATTGGGAGTAACATCATTCTCTCCACCTCCGGATATTAAGAACAATATCCCGGCGGGAGGTGGTACACCCCCAGTGATATTGCGAATAATGTCATCCTCTCCTTCCCTGGATATTAGGAACAATATCACAGGGGGGTGTACAACTTCTGTGATATTGGAAGCAATATCATCCTCTCCCCCGCTGGATATTAGAAAAAAATATCACTCACGGTGTACACCCACTGTGACATGAGGAGTAATATCTTCCTAGGGTATTACGAATAATTTCACAGTCTGTACACACATGGTGTACACTCACTGTGGTATTAGGAGTAATATCTACCTAGTAGATAACAAATAACATCGCAGGGTGTACACCCACTTTGATATTAGGTGTAATATTTTTCTAAGTTGTTACAAATAAGATCACAGGGTGTACCAACATGGTGTACACTCACTGTGATATCAGGAGTCGTATCTCTGTAATACCTTATGAATAATATCACAGGGTGTACACCCACTGTATTATTAGGAGTAATATCTCTGTAGGATATTACAATTAAGATCACAGGGTGTAGAGCCACCATGATATTAGGAGCAATATCTTTCTAGGATATTACAAATAATATCACAGGGTGTACGCCCACTCTACTTTCAGGAGCAGTATCTCCCTAGGATATCAAAAATCCTGTCACATGGTGTCCAATCTCTGCCTTCCAGGTTCTAAGGGATTCTCCTGCTTCAGCCTCCTGAGTAGCTAGGGTTACCAGCCACCATGCCCGGCTAATTTTTTTTTTTAATTTTCACTGGAGACGGGGTTTCACCAGGTTGGTCAGGCTGGTCTGGAACTCCTGACCTCAGGTGATCCATCAGCCTCGGCCGCCCAAAGTGCTGGGATTACAGGTGTGAGCCATGGTACTGGGCCAAAAGTTATAGATTCAATTCATTTGGAAACACAGCTCCCATTTTTGAGTGTGCATGTACTTTTATGAAGAAATGATGTCAGAAAACCGAAGGATGATGATAAATATGAAAAGTAATTGGCATGGGAAAAACTCTTCCGATTGAGAATTATATTTGATTTCATTTTCAGATAATGGGGTCCTAGCTCTTGTGTCGTCCTTTTACATATTCTACATCAATGGAAGTTGTAGCACCGTGTCAGAATAAAGTAGAGTGTATTTCATGGCTTCTTAATTTCTTTCAATTAGACTGAGATCTTTTTCTTCAAGAGAGAAGGACACTGTCATTGCATTGTATTTTTTCTGAAAAGAGTAGGCCGTATTTTACTGAGATCACGGAGTTGTTATATGTGACGTTTTGGTCTTCTAATATTCTTCAGTGGATTTTCTCTAAAGTAGTATGAACAGAAAGCCTTGTATAGCAAAAAGTAAATCACGTAATAATTCTGAGATTTTTGGAATTGTCACAACTGAGAAACATTGCTGGCGGTGTATGGTCCGCAAGTGTCAAGATGTTCCTTGTGAATTGCTTGCATCCAGCATTAAGGGCTGGTTTTTATCTTTTATTTTTCCAATCCTCTTTCCTTCTCAAGGTGTCCAAGACACACAGAGCCACGGAATCTCACAAGTGTCTGAGAATTCCTCCTCCTGGGACTCTCAGAGGATCCAGAACTGCAGCCGCTCCTCGCTTTGCTGTCCCTGTCCCTGTCCATGCATCTGGTCATGGTGCTGAGGAACCTGCTCAACATCCTGGCTGTCAGCTCTGACTCCCCCCTCCACACCCCCACGTACTTCTTCCTCTCCAACCTGTGCTGGGCTGACACCGGTTTCACCTCGGCCACGGTTCCCAATATGATTGTGGACATGCAGTCGCATAGCAGAGTCATCTCTCATGCGGACTGCCTGACACAGATTTCCTTCTTGCTCCTTTTTGCATGTATAGAAGGCATGCTCCTGACTGTGATGACCTATGACTGCTTTGTAGCCATCTGTTGCCCTCTGCACTACCCAGTCATCGTGAATCCTCACCTCTGTGTCTTCTTCGTTTTGGTGTCCTTTTTCCTTAGCCTGTTGGATTCCCAGCTGCACAGTTGGATTGTGTTACAATTCACCATCATCAAGAATGTGGAAATCTCTAATTCTGTCTGTGACCCCTCTCAACTTCTCAAACTTGCTTGTTCTGACAGCGTCATCAATAGCATATTCATGCATTTCCATAATACTATGTTTGGTTTTCTTCCCATTTCAGGGATCCTTGTGTCTTACTATAAAATCGTCCCCTCCATTCTTAGGATTTCATCGTCAGATGGGAAGTATAAAGCCTTCTCCACCTGTGGCTCTCACCTAGCAGTTGTTTGCTGATTTTATGGAACAGGCATTGGCGTGTACTTGACTTCAGCTCTGTCACCACCCCCCAGGAATGGTGTGATGGCGTCAGTGATGTACGCTGTGGTCACCCCCATGCTGAACCTTTTCATCTACAGCCTGAGAAACAGGGACATACAAAGTGCCCTGTGGAGGCTGCTCAGCAGAACAGTCGAATCTCATGATCTGTTCCATCCTTTTTCTTGTGTGGGTAAGGGCAACCACATTAAATCTCTACTTCTGCAAATCCTGCCTCTTAGTCACATTATTTTTGTGGCTTGATGGCTTTTATTCCTTTCCGCATTTCCTTTGTGAATATTGCTTTCTTCGTTATGCCTTTAACTGGAATGGGTGAGGATTCTGGGATCCTTTGTTTAGCAGAAACCTCATGACTGAATCCTCTATACCTAGGCGGCCTCTTTTAGTTTCTGAGCAATAACCCTGTCATCCAGGTGGAATCACAACCATCTTTTCATATACACGAAGTCCTCACTTCGTTTTGGAATTCCCTGAAAACTGACTTTATGGAAACAATGTACAGGAGGTCCTCCAACACCATTGGTTGTTCAAAGTTATGTAGTTATACTGTTGATGAAAAATAAGTGGTTTCACTATACATAATTTTGCTTCAAGGTGACGTTTCCAAGAGACTTTCAAAGATGTTAAGTGAGGACATACTGTACATCAAATTCATATCCTCTTCCACAGTTCATGTGGAATTTCTTTATAAACTGCTTCTATAGAATCTATTTAGGCAGGTTATGTAGAGAGATCCATGTCGCCATTCTTCAATCTTGGCTTTGAGTCAAATCACCTGGGGAGTTAAAAATGATGAGGCCTGGGTCTCAATACCTGAGATTCTGATTTCCTTGCACCTGTGTGAGTGTGTGGATTTTTTTTTTTTTTCTTTTAAAGCACCAGAGGTGGTTCCAATAATGAAGTTTTTAGAGGCATCAAGCTCCAAAGAGTAAGAGCAGAAATTAATTGTAGTATGATTTCTTCAAATATTATCTTCAAATGCATTGTCCAGCAACACCATACAAATATTTATTATGTTGTTTTTTCTTACCATTTCGCATTTTCTATTTCTTTCCCTTTTTTTTTGAGTCAGAGTTTCACTCTTGTTGCCCAGGCTGGAGTTCAATGGCACGGTCTCGGCTCACTGCAACTTCTGCCTCCCCTATTCAAGCAATTCTCCTGTCTCAGCCTTCCAAGTAGCTGGGATTACAGGCATGCGCTACCATGCCTGGCTATTTTTTTTTTTTTTTTTTTTTTTGTATTGTTAATAGAGACAGTGTTTCTCCATTTTGGTCAGGCTGGTCTTGAACTCCCGACCTCAGGTGATCCGCCCGCTTCCGCCCCCCAAACTGCTGGGATTACAGGCATGCGCGACCGCGCCCAGCCACCACTTAGCATTTACATTTTACATTTGTTGAAGTTCTACATTTATACACACATTGATTGCTGCTTTGTTATACACTTGCATATACATAAGATGGGAAACAGAAAAGAATAAAATGGGCACAGTATCCCTGAAGTTTCACATTCCGAGACATTTTAAAAATATTTGCTCTTCAGAAATTTGTTTCAATGAAGAAACTGTGGTATACACACCCAATGAAGTATTATGCAACCTAAAAAGGAAGAAACTCCTCTCCACTGCAGACAAAATGGATGAGACTGCAGATCTGTACATTAAATGAAAGAAGCCAGGCACAGAATGACAAATATTTCATGTCCTCACTTCTATGTAGGAAGAAAAAAGGAAACCATGGCCAGGTGTGGTGGCTCAGGCCTGTAATCCCAGCACTCTAAGAGGCCGAGTCACACAGATCACTTGAGTCCAGGAGTTCGAGACCCGCCTGGCCAACATGATGAAACCCCGTCTCCACGGTAAACACAAAAAATGAGTCGGGCGTGGTGACCTGTGCCTGTAGTCTCAGCTACTCGGAGGGCTGAGGCCCAAGAAGCGCTTGAACTCAGGAGGCGGAGCTTGCAGTGAGCCCGGACTGTGCCTGTGTACACCAACCTGGGCAACAGAAAGAGACTCCATCACACACCTGCACACAAAAGGAATCTCAAGAAGGTGGAAAGTATAAAGATGGTTAGCAGACGCTAGGAAGAAAAGGGGTGAGATAGGGAATGAAGAAAAGTGGATAATTGAGTCCCAAAATACAGAAAGATGGAATAAGTGAGTTCTAGTGTTTGATAGTACAGTATGAAAATTTTAGTTCACAAGAATTGCTTGCATATTTCCAGATGCTTTGGTAAGAAGCTTCCTAACTTTCTCATTATGCTGGTTTTTAAGCTCTTCTGTTTCTGCTCTTGAAATCATGCTGGTTTTTTGTTTTTTGTTTTGAGATGGAGTTTCACTCTTGTTGCCCAGGCTGGAGTGTCATGGTGCAATCTTGGCTCACCGCAACCTCTGCCTCCTGGGTTCAAGCGATTCTCCTGCCTCCACCTCCCGAGTAGCTGGGATTACAGGCATGCGCCAGCACGCCCAGCTAATGTTGTATTTCTGGTAGAGACGGGGGTTTCTCCCTGTCGGTCAGGCTGGTCTTCAACTCCTGACCTCACGTGATCCACCCGCCTCGGCCTCCCAAAGGGCTGGGATTACAGGCGTGAGCGACTGCGGCCGGCCCATGCTGTATCCTTATCTGTTGTCAGTTGTTGTTTGTTTGTTTTGGAGCCCAGAAATAACTTCTCACCTTTATGTTCACATGATTTTTCACGAGTGCTAAGAAAGCTCATTGGTGGAACAGCAGCCTTTTCAAGAAATGGTGTTGGAGAAACTTGATTTCCACATACAGAAGAATGAAGGTGGACCCTATGTCACACCAGGTGCAAAAATTAACAAAAACTGGATCAGAGACCTCACCCCAAGCGCTAAAAGTATGACACGCCTAAAAGAAAACATTGGCCACGCTTTCATGACATCAGATTGGGCAATGTTCTCTGGGATATGACACCAAAAGCATAGGCAACAAAAGAAAATTAGATTCCTTGGATTACATATAAATGACAGACACTTTTGTGCAGCAAAAAACATGGCGAACTGAGTGAAAACATAACCCATGGATTAGGAAATATATTTGCAAAGCATATATCTGAAAAGAGGCTGACAGCCATCATATATAAAGAACAGCTAGAACTAAACAACAAGAAACCCAAAGCATCCCATCAACAATGGTCAGAAGACGCGAGTAGACGTGTCCCTAAAGAAGATATCACAATGGCCAATAAGCATCTAAGGTGATGTTCAAAATCACTCATCATAGGGAAGCACAAATCAAACCAAGAATGTGATACCACAGATTAGGATGGATGTGATAAACAAACAGGCATTGGTGAGACTAGAGAGAAGTAGGAATGCTCGATTCTGATCGGAGGGAATGTAAAACCGTGAAGGAGTGGGGGAAAATAGTATGGCGTGTACTGGAAAAATTAGAAACAGAATGATCAGATGTTCCCGCAGTTGCATTTGTGGGTACCTACCAAAAAGAATTAGAAGCCAGGAGTGGAAGACAGATTTGTGTACACCCATATTCATAGCAGCATTATTCACAACAGCCAAAATGTGGAAGCAACCCAAGGGTTCGTGGACAGATGAATGAAAAAGCACACTGCAGTTCTTTCATACAATGGAAGACCATTCAGCCTTCAAAAGGCAGGCACTTCTGGCCGGTGCGGTGGCTCACGCCTGTAATCGCAGCGTCTTGGAAGACCGAGGTGGGCGGATCACCTGAGGTCAGGAATTCAAGACCAGCCTGGCCATCTTGGTGAAACCCTGTCTCTACTGAAAATGCAAAAAATGAAACGAGCGTGGTGGCGTGTGCCTATAGTCCCAACTACTCAAGAGGCTGAGGCACAAGAATCGCTGGAACCCAGGAGGCGGAGGTTGGAGTGAGCCCCGATTGTGCCACTGCACTCCAGCCTGTGCGACAGAGTGAGACTCCATGAAAACGCAAAGCAAAACAAAATAAAACCAAATGAAAAAAAAAACAACAAAAACAAACAGGCACTTCTGACGCAGGCCGCAACATGGATGAACCTTGAAGACATTATCGTCAGTGAAATAAATAAATCCCAAAAGGATAAACATGCCCAGTCTCAGTGGCTCGCACATGTAACCCCAGCACTTTGGGAGGCTGAGGCAGGCGGATCACTTAAGCTCAGGAGTTCGAGAACAGCCTGGCCAATATGGTGAAAGCTCGTCTCTATTAAAAATACAAAAATTAGCTGGGCGTGATAGCGCACGCCTGTAATCCCAGCTACTCGGGAGGCTGAGACACAAGAATCGCTTGAACCCAGGATGTGGAGATTGCAGTGAGGCGACATCACGCCACTGCACTCCAGCCGGGGTGACAGAGAAAGACTCTGTTTCCAAAACAAAACAATTAAATACAGTATGATTCCATTTATCTATTAAGTGTCTAGAGTAGTTAAACTCATAGAGTTACAAACTAGAAAGGTGGCCCCCAGGGGTGGGCGAGAAAGAGGAGTGGAGAGCTTGGTGAATGGGTGCAATTTCCATTTTGAAAGATAAAACTGTTCTGGAGACGATGACGGTGATGGTTGCTAAACAATGTGAACGTACTTAATGTCATGAAACTGTAAACTGAAAAAGCATGGAAACTGTAAATGTTTATACTGGCCATTCTATATGAAGTAATATATATTTATAATTTTTAATATTTATATGTGGTATATTTTCCCATAATAAAAGATGAAAATTAAAGCAGTTGGATGTTTAAAAAGAAAAGAAAGAAGGGAAGAATACACACTAGCTTTCTCCTGATTAGAGGAAGAGCCCCAAATCTTCTATGGACACTCACTTTTCTCTTCTTCTTCTTGCATTATTATACGGACATCCTTAGAGGTTGGGGAACTTGGGTGACTTTGGCTAAGAAGGAGCTCTGTGCCTTGAGCCCCCCAGGCCACAGAATAGTAAATAGTCAGTCTGTGCCTCCAGCCCTGCAGTGTGGGGTTCCAGTCCTGTGGGCTCCACTCCCGTCACCTGTATCACCCTGTCTTCTTGCCAGCCTTGAAGACGGAGTCTGAGCCTCCATGGTGCACCACACAGGGAGGACAGTGGACCTGTTCTCCGTGGTCATGGCCCAGCAGAGGGGAAGGGCAGTTCAGTGAGTGTAGGGAAAAGAAAGAGATCAGACTCTTACTGTGTCTATGTAGAAAGGAAAGACATAAAAGACTCCATTTGGAGAAAGACCTGAACTTTCAACAATTGCTTTGCTGAGATGTTGTTAATGTGTAGATTTGCCCCAGACACTTTGACCCAACCTGAAGCTCACAAAAACATGTGTTGTATGAAATCAAGGTTTAAGGGATCTAGGGCTGCGCAGGACGTGCCTTGTTAACAAGATGTTTCCAAGCAGTATACTTGGTAAAAGTCATCGCCATTCTCTATTCTCAATAAACCAGGGGCACGATACACTGTGGAAAGCCGCAGGGAGCCCTGCCCTTGAAAGCGGCATATTGTCCAAGTTTTCTCCCCATGTGATAGTCTGAAAAGTGGCCTCGTGGGAGGAGAAAGACCTGACCGTCGCCGAGCCCGACACCCGTAAAGGGTCTGTGCTGAGGTGGATTAGTCAAAGAGGAAAGCCTCTTGCAGTTGAGAGAGAGGAAGGCCCCTGTCTCCTGCCTGCCCCTGGGAAATGAATGTCTCGGTATAAAACCCGATTGTACATTTGTTCAATTCTGAGATGGGGGAAAAACCGCCCTATGGTGGGAGGCGAGACAAGTTTGCAGCAATGCTGCCTTGTTATTCTTTACTCCACTGAGATGTTTGGGTGGAGAGAAACCTAAATCTGGCTGATGTGCATGTCCAATCATAGTACCTTCCCTTGAACTTCATTATGACATAGATTCTATTGCTCACATCTTCGTTGCTGACCTTCTCCTTATTATCACCCTGCCCTCCTACTACATTCGTTTTTGCTAAAATAATAAAAATAATAATCAGTAAAAACTGAGGGAACTCAGAGGCCAGTGCCGGTGCAGATCCTTGGTATGCTGAGCGCCGGTCCCCTGGGCTCACTGTTGTTTCTCTATACTTTGTCTCTGTGTATTATTTCTTTCCTCAGTCTCTCATCCCACCCGACTAGACATACCCACAGCTGTGGAGGGGCAGGCCACCCCTTCAAGTGAGTGCTGAGGGAGGGTCGGGAGCCTTGTTTGGTTCCCTTCTCCTCAGGACAAACAGGAGAGTGTGGTGGACAGATGGGAGGAGACCAATGTGCAAACTGTCCGCTCAGCAGACTGTGCAGTTTCTGTTCTTGGTTGTGCTGGGGGTCTCAGAAATCTTATTCAAAATTTTGCTCTCCTCCCCCACTGGTTGTCCTTTTCATAGACATCTCACTCATGATAGCAGGGAATCAGTCCCTCTAAACTATTCCCTAAGAACAACAAAAAGATTATGAAGGTGATGATGAGGATAAAGAGGATGATGACAGACACCATGGCATCATGAACCCTTACTGAGGGCTTCCTAAAGGCCAGGCTCTGAGCTCTGTGCTCTATGCAGCTTGTTTCATTTCATCTGCGTAGTCTCCACTTTATTAGTGCACATTTCAGGATGATTTTACAGACTAGAAAAGGAGCAACGCCTTTTCATAGAACTCGTACTAGATCATGAGGTCAAAAAGGGTGAAGTCCAATTTGAACCAGTCAGTCTAAGTCCAGACACATGGCATTTGGCCAGTCCTCTCCCTGCAACCAACCTGCCCTCTCAAATCCTCGTCACTCAGGCGGATGCCCCTGCTCACTATGCCCTTCCCTTTCGGGGTTCCTTGTAGAACACAGCTAGACCAGTGGGTGCCACAATCACTGTGTCAAGTATGGAAAGGACAGCTGAGATCACATCGAGGATTCCAGAAAGAATTGGCACAGGATCATTCGGGGCGCATCTCTCCCTTGCCCCTGTTCCTGGCTTTCTGTACAGCTCTTGACTTCCACAAAGCAGTCATCAATTCGGAGTTTGGCTTCCATTCCTATTGAGGAAGCTGGAAAGCGTTTCAAAAATGCTCCTCCGATGTGCCTGTGGTTACGACCTCTGAGCTCTGCTTAAAGCTTTTGGAAGCTGGGAGCCGTGGCTCACGCCTGTAATCCCAGCCCTTTGGGAGGCTGAGGCAGGCGAATCACAAGGTCAGTAATTCGAGACCAGCCTGGCCCACATGGTGAAACCACGTCTCTACTCAAAATAGAAAAAAATGAGCCAGCCGTAGTGGCGGGCGACTGTCATCTCAGCTACTTCGCAGGCTGAGGCAGGAGAATAGCTTGAACCTGGCATGCAGAGGTTGCGGTGAGCTGAGATCACTCCACTGCACTCCAGCCTGGGCAACAGAACGAGACTCCATCTCAAAACAACAAAAACAAAAACAAAAAACAAAAAAAACCACAACTTTTTGAGAGTTGGAAGACCAGGAAGTATAGTACCCGGGACTTCGAGTCTGGCCATGAATTTTGAATACCACACTTTCTACTTCTCTGTATGGCAAAGGGTGAGATATCCATCCTCTGAGACTCACCACTCTCATCTGACTTGATTTCCAGTTGATCCGATGGAAGTGAGTGATGATTAAGCTGATCGTGGGTGCCCGCTGCGTGATCTCTAGGTGACGGATGCATAAAGTAAAGGCAAAATGAATTTTAGATATATTCCTTAAGATTTTCAGCTTCAACTCCACACAATTCAACGGAAATATCCCCTGACCTGAAGTTCTGCTTTCCCTGCATTCCAGACAGGACATTTTGTTTTGTCCTTCTCTCAGTAAGGACTGAGTACTGTAAGAGGAACAAGTGAGTCTCTTTGTTTTCTGATTCCCCAGAGCCTATATCGTGCTTGGCACATAGGAGACAGCAAACGTCAAATATATGTTAATGATTGAATTGACACTTCCTTGCTTCACCAAAATTGGCTGTCATCAGCGTGACTTTGACTTACTTGATTCTTTTTGTTTTTTGTTTTTTGAGACGGAGTTTTGCTCTCGTTGCCCAGGCTGGCGTGCAGTGGTGTGATTTCAGCTCACTGTAGTCTCTGCCTCCCAGGTTCAAGCCATTCTCCTGCCTCAGCCTCCCGAGTAGCTGGGACTACAGGCGCACGCCGCCATACCGGGCGAAGTGTTTGTATTTTTAGTAGAGGTGGGGTTACACCATGTTGGCCAGGATGGTCTTGATCTCCTGACCCAGTGATCCGCCCTCCTCGGCCTCCCAAAGTGTTGGGATTACCGGCGTGAGCCACCGCGTCCGGCCAAACTTTCTGATGAAAACTCTAAGTCCACCTAAGCTAAGGACAGGAGTTAGAGCTTCCATGAATTTTAAAACAAGACCCACCGATTTGAGTAAGCAATTACTCTCTCGAAGGAGAAAAGTCCGAAAACACAATGATGAAATCACTAGGACCTAACTGGCATGTGGAACTATTTTCTGCTTATGAACTATCAACTTCCATTTCATTTCCAGATGGCATGGTCTCAGCTGTTATACAGTGTTTACAAATGTTCTAAATCAAGGGAATTTGTATCAATCTCGTAGAATAAATAAAATATTTGAGTTCTTAATTTCCTTTAATTAGGATAACCTTTTTCTTAAAGTGAAGACAATGCTTTTATTACATCTTTTCCTTCGGAAAAGATAGGCTGTATTTTCTAGCAATTACGAATTTGTTATATATGACGATCTGGTTCTTGGAACGTTCTTGAAGCTAGTGTCTCTAAGGCAGGTGTGTACAGCAAGACGTGAATAACACAGCAATCGATGATGAAAGCATTATAAGACAATTGAGTTTGTCAGAACTACAAAATATTGCTGAGTGTGGATTGCTCTGAAATCTGAAAACATTACTTGTGAATTGCTTCTATCCAAAATGCAGACACAATGCTGGGTATTGGTTTACTTGTTTCCGATTTTTCAACCCTCTTTTCCAGGCAAAAGAGGGTTGTATCCAAACGATACAGACCCACAGAGTCTAACAGATGTCTCTATATTCCTTCTCCTCGAACTCTCAGAGGATCCAGAACTGCAGCCGGTCGTCGCTGGGCTGTTCCTGTCCATGTGCCTGGTCACGGTGCTGGAGAACCTGCTCATCATCCTGGCCGTCAGCCCTGACTCCCACCTCCACACCCCATGTACTTCTTCCTCTCCAACCTGTCCTTGCCTGACATCGGTTTCACCTCCACACGGTCCCCAAGATGATTGTGGACATCCAGTCTCACAGCAGAGTCATCTCCTATGCAGGCTGCCTGACTCAGATGTCTCTCTTTGCCATTTTTGGAGGCAGGGAAGAGAGACATGCTCCTGAGTGTGATGGCCTACGACCAGTTTGTAGCCATCTGTCACCCTCCATATCGTTCAGCCATCTTGAACCCGTGTTTCTGTGGCTTCCTAGATTTGTTGTCCTTGTTTTTTTTTTCTTTTTTTTTTTTTCCCTCAGTCTTTTAGACTCTCAGCTGCACAACTTGATTGCCTTACAAATGACCTGCTTCAAGGATGTGGAAATTCCTAATTTCTTCTGGGAACCTTCTGTGACACCTTCACCAGGAACATCAACATGTATTTCCCTGCTGCCGTATTTGGTTTTCTTCCCATCTCGGGGACCCTTTTCTCTTACTGTAAAATTGTTTCCTCCATTCTGAGGGTTTCATCATCAGGTGGGAAGTATAAACCTTCACCACCTGTGGGTCTCACCTGTCAGTTGTTTGCTGATTTTATGGAACAGGCGTTGGAGGGTACCTCGGTTCAGATGTGTCATCTTCCCCGAGAAAGCGTGCAGTGGCCTCAGTGATGTACACGGTGGTCACCCCCATGCTGAACCCCTTCATCTACAGCCTGAGAAACAGGGATATGAAAAGTGTCCTGCGGCGGCCGCACAGCAGCGCAGTCTAATCTCAATATCTTCTTATCTGTTCCATTCCTTTTGTAGGATGGGTTAAAAAAGGCAGCAAGGTCAAATAAGAATGATATCACAGGGTGAACACCCATTGTGTCATTACGAGTAATACCTTCCTAGGATACAGAATATACTGTCACAGAGTACACACACATGGGGTACACCCACTGTGATATTAGAAGCAATATCTCCCTAAAGTATGATGAAAAATATCACAGGGTGTGCATACTGTGTGATATGAGGAGTCATATTTTCCCTGGATATCACGACTCATATCAAGGGTGTACACACACCGGGTACACACACTGTGATATCAGGAGTTGCATCTCCCTAGGATATTATGAATAATATCACAGGGTATACACTATGTGTGAACATCCACTGTGACATTTGAAGTCATATCTCTCTATGAGATGACAAATAATATCAAAGTGTGTACACCCCTGTGACATATTAGGAGTAACATCCTTCTAGGGTATTGCAGATAACATCACAAGGTGCACAGCTTCTGTGACCTTTTGCGCACACTTTGTGCCATTCAAGGAAACATCTCCCTAGGATATTAAGAATAATGACACAGGCGGTTGACACACATGGTGTACATCTCCTGCGCCATCAGGAGTAATATTCCCCTAGGATATTACGAATAATATCACAGCAGGTGTACATATATGGTGTTCACCCCATGTGACATTAGGAGGAACATGCCCCTAGGATGTTAAGAATAGTATCACAGGTGTTGAATACACATGATATACACCCTGGTGCCATTGAAAGTAACATACCCCTAGGACATTACGAATAATATCACAGGGAGTACACCCCGTGTGACATTAGGAGTAACATCCCCCAAGGATATAACGAATAATATCAGGGGGTGCACATACATTGTGACCTTAGTGGTAACATCTCTTTAGGATATTACCAATAATATCACAGGTTGTCCACTGACCGTGATATTAGGAGTCCCATTTTCCTAGGATATTATGGATAATATCACAGGAGGTGTTCACACACAATGTGTACACCATGTGTGTACACTCAACGTGATATTTGAAGTCATATGTCCCTAGGATCTTACGAATATTATCAAAGGGTGTACACCCCATGTGACATTAAAAGTAACATCCCTTTTGGATATTCCGAATGCTATCACAGGGTGTGATATTAGGAGTGTGATATTAGGAGTAAGCTCTTCCTAGGATAACCCATGTGATATTAGGAGTAACCCCTTCCTAGGATATTACGAATAACATCACAGGGTGTACACCCCTGTGACTTTAAAAGTAACACCCCCCCTAGAATATTACAATAATATAACAGGGTGTACAACCCCTGTGACATTACGGTAACATCTCCCTAGGATATTTCGAATGATGTCACTGGGGGCACACCCTCTGTGATATTAGCAGCAACATCTTTCTAGGAGATTACGAATGATATCACAAGGTGTACACTCACTCTGATATTGGAAGGAATATCTCCCTAGGATATAAGCTATCACATCACAGAGTGTACACACATGGTGTACACCCACTGTGTTATTAGAAGCAATATCTCCCTATGATATTATGAAAAATATCACAGGGTGTACCCTCTGTGGGATATTAGAAGTAATGTTTACCATGGATATTACAAATAATATCACAGGATGTACACACATGGGGTACACCAACTGTGATATTAGGAGTTATATCTCCCTAAGATATTACAAATATTATCCCAGTGGGTGTAGCCCATGTATGTACACCCACTGTGATCATTAAAGTAATATCTCTCTATCAGATTGCAAATAATACCGAAGGCTGTACACCACCTGTGACATTAGGAGTAGCATCCCCCTACAATATTGGGAGCAATATCACACGGTGTACACCCCTGTAACATTAGGGGTAACATCCCCCCACAATATTACTAATAATATCACAAGGTGTACACGCATTGTGACATTAGTAGTAGTACCCAGCTAGCATATTTTCAATAATATCACAGAAGGAACACACCTGTGACATTAAGAGTGACATCCCCCTGGAGGAGTAAGAATATTATCACAGGGTGTACACCCCCTGTGATATTAGGAGAATCATCTCATCAGAATATTACGAATAATGTCACAGGGTGTTATCTTCTGTGACATTAGGAGTATAGACCCCTGGGAAATTATGAATACTATCACAGGGTGTACACCCCTGTGACATTAGGAGTAGCATCCTTCTAGAATATCATGAATAATATCACAATGCCTACACCCCCTGCGTCATTAAGAGTACAATTGCACTAGGATATTATGAAAGAGAACACAGGGAGAACACGCTGTGTGACATTAGAAGTCACATCCCCCGAGGATATAAGGAATAATATCAGAGAATGTACATGCATTGGGACATCGGTAGTCACATCTCTTTAGGATAATAAGAACAATATCAAAGGGTGTACACGCATTGTGAAATTAGTAGTGAACTCCCGCTGGGATATTACGAATTTTATGACAGGGTCTACATGCCCTGTGACCTTAGTAGTCACGTTTTCCTAGAATATGACGAAGACTATTAAAAGGTGTACAGGACCTGTGATTTACGAGTAACATTTCTATAGAAGATTACACGTAATATCACTGTGTGTACACCCCGTGTGACGTTAGGAGTCACATCCCAAAAAACTATAACGAAAAATTTCACAAGGTGTGCAACATCTGTGGCATTAAAAGAAACATTTCCCTAGAATATGATGATAATATCACAGAGTGTACACCCTCGGTGATATGAGGAGTGATATCTTATAAGGGTAATAAGAGTAATTTGACAAGGTGTACAAACCCTGTGACATAAGGAGTGACATCCCTCCAGGATATTCCGAATCATACCAAAGGGAAACTACTCCGTGTGACAAAAAAATCAACCTCCCCTTAGGAGATTAAGAATAATGGCACAAGCTGTACACACATTGTGACATTATTATTAACGTCCCGCTAGGGTATTGCGAATAATATCAGAGTGTGTAGACACTTGTGACATCAGGATTCACGTTTCACCACATTATCACGAATAATATCACAGGGTGTATACCCCCGGGACTCAAACAGTGACACATTCCTAGAATATGGAAAATAATGTCCCAGGGTGTTAACCAAGTGTAGCAGTAGAGAAAACATAATACGAGAAACGGAGTAATATCACCCCCTCTCCCCCACTGGATATTACGAGCCCCATCGCAGGGGGGTGAGGCGCCCCCCGCGATGCGGGGAGTAAGAGCCAGCCCCTCTTGCCCCCCTGGCTCTTAAGACCCCCATCGCAGGGGGGCGAGGAGCCCCCCACGATGCGGGGAGTAAGAGCCAGCCCCTCTTGCCCCCCCTGGCTCTTAGGATCCGCGGTGGACTCACAGCCTGTTTAACATATTGTGAGTAATATCACCTCCCCCTCTGGAGATTTTGAACTGTTTCACAGACCGCTGTACACCCGTCTGTATTGGGAGTAATATCATCCTCTTCCTCTCTGAATATTAGGAACAGTATCACAGGGGTATTTCTACTCCCTGGGATACCAGGTGTCAGGTCGTCCTCTCCCACGTTGCAACTAGAAACTATATCAGTTGGGGACGTGTCCACTTTCTGTGATATTGAAAGCAATATTATCCTCTTCCCTCCAGGATCATGGGAACGATATCCTTGGGGGTGTCCACTTTCTGCCATATATGTAGTCATATCACCCCCTCCGCCTTGGAATATTTTTAAGGACCATCTCACACGGGGGTGTACACTTCCTGTGATGTTGGGAGTAATAGCATTCTCTTCTTCTGTGAATATTAGGAGCAAAATCACGGGTGGATGCACACTCAGTGCTATATTGTGAGTAACGTCATACTCCAACCACTGGAGATTTTATTCGGATCAATGTCACTGGCTGGTTGTACACCTACTGCGATATAGAACGTAATATCATGCTCTCTCCCTCCCTGGACATTACGAGCAATATAACAGGTGGGTATACACCCACTGAGGTATTAGGGCGTAATATTAGTATGAATTATTCCTCATTTATTATTAACATGAATATGAATGACCGATATTAATATTAATATTAAGAAATAATTGCTAATAAAAAGTTTTCAGATTATTAATATTAATAATTATTAGGAGCTAATATGACTGTTTTCTAATGAATAAGATCAATATCAGTTATTAATATCAGGCATCATTAATCATTAATATAATCATGTATTGTTATCTTTAGTATAAGTATTTAATATTAATTATTATTATCGGTATTGATTTTAAAAATTATATTATGGGTTATTAAAATTGATAATTATTAGCGCCAATTAATAATTGAGATTATTAATTGCAGTAAGTCGCATTGCGCCATTCCACTCCTCCCTCAACAGCTCGTTTACAACCCAAAACGGGGACACAAATGCCCCTGAGAGAGCAGCGATATACTGGGTTAGATGAGGATGGTCACGTGCTGGAGAGGCGTGTTTTTGGGTACCAGCCCTTCACCTGTGTCGACCTTCTCAACTGGGAAAACAATACAACGCCCCATACCGAAAAGCCACAAGCCCTAATTGATTTGCTCCAAGCTGTTATCCAGACCCACAACCCCACCTGTGCTGATTGGCACCAGTTGCTCATGTTGCTCTTTAACAGCGAAGAAAGGCGGAGAGTCCTCAAGCAGCAACTAAGTGGCTAGAGGAACATGCACCAGCTGATTATCAAAACGCCCAAGAGTATGGAAGGGCCCAGTTGCCAGGAACCGACCCTCAGTTGGACCCACATGAAAGAGGGGATATGCAAAGGCTAAAGCGAGACAGAGAAGCTCTCCTGGAAGGATTAATGAGGGGAGCTCAGAAGGCCACAAACGTTAACAAGCTCTCTGAGGTCATTCAGGGTAAAGAAGAAAGTCCAGCACAATTCTACCAGAGACTGTGTGAGGTCTATCGTATGTATACTCCCTGTGATCCCGATAGCCCTGAAAATCAGCACATGATTCACATGGCTTTAGTCCGTCAAAGCCCAGAAGACATGAGAAGAAAACTGCAGAAACAGGCTGGGCTTGCAGGGATGAATCCATCCCAATTACTAGAAATAGCTAGCCAGGTGTTTGTAAACAGGGATGCAGTAAGCCGTAAGGAAAACGGCAAAGAGAATGGAGGTCAGGCCCGGCGATATGCCGACCTGTTTGTCAGCTGCAGCAATCAGAGGGGCCCCCACAAAGAGGCAAGGGAAGGGAGGCCCTGGGAAAGAAACTCAGCTTGGCTGTCAGAGTTTGCAGCGTAACCAGTGTGCTGATTGTAAAGAAATAGGACAGTGGAAGAACAAATGCCCTCAGCTCAAAAGAAAACAAGGTGACTCAGAGCAGGAGGCCCTGGACAAGGAGGAAGGGGCCCTGCTCAACCTGGCAGAAGGGTTCTTGGACTGAGGGAGACCCGGCTCAAGCGTTCCCAAAGAGCCTCTGGTCAGAATGATAGTCAGGGGTGGAGATATTGACTTTCTTGTAGATAGCGGTGCTGAACATTCACTAGTAACCGCCCTTGTTGCCCCCTTATCCAAAAAGAATATTGACGTCATCGGAGCCACGGGGGTTTCAGCAAAGCTAGCTTTCTGCTTGTCTCAGACTTGTACTGTAGGAGGACATAAAGTCATTCATCAGTTTTGGTACATGCCTGACTGTCCCTTGATCTTTTTAGGAAGGGACTTGCTCAGCAAGCTGAGAGCCACTATCTCTTTGACAGAGCATGGCTCTTTGCTGGTAAAGTGACCCGGAATGGGAGTCATTATGACCCTTATGGTTCTCCGAGAGGAGGAATGGAGACTTTTCTTAACTGAGCCGGGCCAAGAGAGAAGACCAGCTCTGGCTAAGCGGTGGCCAAGAGTACGGGCAGAAGACAACTCTCCGGGATTGGCCAGTGAAGACGGGCCCAGCCGGTGAGGCAAAAACAGGACCCGGTCCCCAGAGAAGCCCTTCAAGGTATCCAGGTCCGTCTCAAGCACCTAAGAACTTTTGGAATTATTGTTCCTTGTCAGTCTCCATGGAACACTCCCCTCCTGCCTGTTCCCAAGCCACGGACCAAGGACTACCAGCCGGTTCAGGATTTGCGCTTGCTTCATCAAGCTAAACTGACTTTACATCCAACAGTAAATAACCCGTCCACATTGTTGGGGTTGCTGCCAGCTGAGGACAGCTGGTTCACCTGCTTGGACCTGAAAGACGTTTTCTTTCCTATCAGATTAGCCCCTGAGAGGCAGAAGCTGTTTGCCTTTCAGTGGGAAGATCCGGAGTCAGGTGTCACTACTCAGTACACTTGGACCGGGTTTCCCCAAGGGTTCAAGAACTCCCCCACCATCTTCGGGGAGGCGTGGGCTCGAGACCTCCAGAAGTTTCCCAGGAGAGACCTAGGCTGCGTGTTGCTCCAGTAGGTTGAGGACCTTCTGCTGGGACACCCCACGGCATTCGGGTGTGCCAAGGGAACAGATGCCCTACACCGGCACCTGGAGGACTGTGGGTAGAAGGTGTCCAAGAAGAAAGCTCAGATCTGCCGACAGCAGGTACGTTACCTGGGATTTACTATCCAACAGGGGTCGGAACACAGCCCGGGGTCAGAACGAAAGCAGGTCATTTGCCATCTAGGGGAGCCTAAGAGCAGAATGCAGGGGAGAATTCTTAGGAGCTGTGGGGTTTTGTAGACTGTGGATCCCAAACTTTGCAGTATTAGCCAAGCCTTTCTATGAGGTCACCAAGGGGACAGGGACCGGGAACCTTTGGAATGCGGATCCCAACAACAGCAAGGCTTTCATGAGTTAAAGGAAAAACTTCTGGCATCCCCAGCCCTGGGGCTACCTGATCTGACAAAGCCTATTCCATCGTATGTAACAGAGAGAGAAAAGATGGCAGCTGGACTTTGAACCCAAACTGTGGGGCCCAGGCCGAGGCCAGTGGCCTACATCTCTCAACAACTGGACGGGGTTTCTAAAGGATGGCCCCCCTGTTGGAGGGCCTTGGCAGCAACTGCCCTGCAAGTACAAGAAGCAAATAAGTTGACTGTTGGGCAAAACCTGAACATAAAGGCCTCCCGTGCTGTGGTGACTTTAATGAATACTAAAGGACATCATTGGCTAACGAATGCCAGACTCACCAAGTACCAGACTTTGCTCTGTGAAAATCCCCGTATAACCATTGAAGTTTGTAACAGCCTACACCCCGCCACCTTGCTCCTGGTATCAGAGCCCTGTCGAGCCTGATTGTGTAGAAGTGTTGGACTCAATTCACTCTAGCAGACCTGACCTCCGGGACCAGCCTTGGCCATCAGGAGACTGGGAACTATATGTGGATGGGAGCAGCTTCTTCAACCCCCAAGGAGAGAGAGGTGCAGGGTATGCAGTGATAACCCTGGACACTGTTGTTGAAGCCACATCGTTGCCCCAGGCCACTTCAGGCCAGAAAGCTGAACTCATTGCTTTCATTGGGGCCTTAGAACTCAGTGAGGGTGAGACTGTCAACATTTACACTGATTCTCGGTATGTCTTTTTAACCCTTCAAGTGCATGGAGCGTGATAGAAAGAAAAGGGCCTATTGAACTCTGGGGGAAAAGGCACAAAATATCAACAGGAAATCTTGCAATGATTAGAAACAGTATGGAAACCCCACAAGGTGGCAGTTATGCATTGCAGGGGACACCAGCGAGCTTCCATCTTGCTGGGTTTGGGGAATTCCCGCGCTGACTCAGAGGCTCCAAAAGCAGCATCTGCCCCCTTCTGGGCATCAGTGCTCCCTCAAGCACCTGATCTTGGACCTACTTCTTCTAAAGAAGAAAAGGACTTTCTGCAGGTAGAGGGAAGGACAATTGATGGAGGAAGGATGGATTCGGTTAGCAGATGGGAGAGTAACTGTGCCACAGCTGCTAGGAACTGCAGTTGTACTGGCTGTGCAAGAAACCACCCATCGAGGTCAGGAGTCACTGGAAAAGTTGTTAGGCTGGTATTTCTACATCTCACCTTTGTCAGCCCTTGCCAAAACGGTGAGGCAGCGGTGTGTTACCTGCCGCCAGCATGATGCGAGGCAAGGTCCAGCCGTTCCGCCCGGCATACGAGCTTATGGAGCAGCCCCCTTTGAAGGTCTCCAAGTGGACTTCACAGAGATGCCAAAGTGTGGAGGTAAAAAGTATGTACTAGTTCTTGGGCGTACCTACTCTGGGTGGGTGGAGATCTGGGTCTTCCTCCCCAAACGTGGATGTTAGCAACGAGATCACAGAAGGGGTGTAGACACCCTGAGACATTGGAAGTAATATGATCCTCTCCCCACCTGGATACTGGGAAAGATACCACAGTGCGGGTATACGTTTCCTACGTTGTTGCGAGTAATATCATTCTTTTCCTTTCTGGATATTAGGGAGAATATCACAGGGGTGCTGTGCAATTACTTTGACATTGGGAGTAACATCATCCTCTATTTTCCTGGATATTGGGCACAAAAACACAAAAGGGTGAACAACCCCTGCGATATTTGGAGTAATATTATCCTCTCCCCTCACGATTATTAAGAACAATATCGTAGGCGTGGGGGATGAACACCCCCTTTCATGTTTGATATCATCCTCTTTCCCCCTGGATATTAGGAACAATATCAGGAAGGGATGTACAGACCCTGCGACCTTTGCTGTCATATAATTGTCTCTCCCCTAGATATTAGGAAAAAATGTCACTGGGGATGTGAACAGCCCTGCGATATTGAGAGTAGTATCATCCTCTCCCCCTTGCATATTGGGAACAACATCACAAGTGGGGTGTACTCCCCCTTGCATATTGGGAACAACATCACAAGTGGGGTGTACTGCCTCTGTGATATTGGGAGTGAAATTTTCCTCTCTTCCCCTGCACATTAGGAAGGGTATCAGAGGGGTTGGTGTACATTCCCTGCGATATTCAACGTAACCTTATCCTCTCTCTCCCAGGGTATTCAGAACAATATTATAGGAGGGGTGTACACCCTCTGCGATATTGAGAGTCATATCATCCTCTTTCGCTCTGGATATTAGGAACAATATCACAGGGTTTTGTACCCCACCTGCGATATTGGGAGTCATATCATCCTCTCTCCCTGTGGATATTAGGAAGAGTATCACAGGGGTGTGGAAACCCCCTGCGGTCCTGGGAGTAATATCAGCCTCTCTCCCTCTGAAAATAGGAAGATTTTCACAGGGGTGTGTTAACCCCCTGCGATATTGGGAGTAAGATCATCCTCTCCACCCAGGAAAAGACTAACAAGGTCACGGGGGGTGACCTTGTAAATCCCAGCACTTTGGAAGGCCGAGGCTAGTGGATCACAAGGTCACAAGATCGAGACCAGCCTGGCCAATATGTTAAAACCCCATCTCTACTACTAATACAAAAATTAGCCGGGTGTGGTGGTGTGCGCCTATAGTTCCAGCTACTCGGGAGGCTGAGGCAGGAGAATTGCTTGAACCTGGGAGGCAGAGGTTGTGGTCAGCCAAGATCGTGCCACTGCACTCCAGCCTGGGTGACAGAGCAAGACTCCGTCTCAAAAGATAAAAAAAAAAAAAAAAAAAAAAAGAAAAACAAAAGAAGATGCCATCTAGGAGTTTCATAGCTAGAGAAGAGAAGTCAACGCCTGGCTTCAAAGGACAAGCTAACTCTCTCGTTAGGGCTAATGCAGCTGGTGACTTTAAGTTGAAGCCAATGCTCATTTACTATTTAAAAAATCCTAGGGCCCTTGAGAATTATGCTGAATCTACTCTGCCTGTGCTCTATAAATGGAACAGCAAAGCCTAGATGACAGCACATCAGTTTACAGCATGGTTTCCTGAATATTTTAAACCCACAGTTGAAACCTAATACTCAGAAAGAAAGATTCCTTTTCAAAACATTTATGCTCACTGGTAATGCACCTAAGCCAAGAGCTCTGATGGAGATGTACAAGGAGCTTAATGTTGTTTTCATGCCTACGAACGTAACATCCATTTTGCAGCCCAAGGATCAAGGAGTAATTCAACTTTCAAGCATTGCTATTTAAGAAATAAATTCTGTAAGGCTATATTTGCCATATAGATAGCGATTCCTCTGATGGATCTAGGAAAGTAAATTAAAACCTTCTGGAAATAATTTACCATCTTGGATGCCATTAAGAATACTGGTGATTCATGGGAGGAGGTCACAGCATCAACATGAATGTGAATTTGGAAGAAGTTGATTCCAACCCTCCTAGTGGGCTTTCAAGACTTCAGTGGAGGAAATTAACTGCAGATGTGACAGAAATAGTATGAGAACTTGGCCAGGCATGGTGGCTCATGCCTGTAATCCCAGAACTTTGGATGGCTGAGGCGGGTGGATCACTTGAGGCCAGGAGTTTGAGACCAGCCTGGTCAACATGGTGAAACCCCATCTCTACTAAAATACAAAAAATTAGCCAGGTGTGGTGCTGCGTGTCTGTAATCCCAGCTACTCGGGAGGCTGAGGTGAGAGAATTGCTTGAACCCGGGAGGCAGAGGTTGCAGTGAGCCGAGATCATGCCATTGCACTCCAGTCCTAGGTGACAGAGAGAGACTTTGTCTCGGGAAAAAAAAAAAAAGAAATAGTAAGAGAACTAGAAATAGAAATGGAACATGAGGATGTGACAGAATTACTGCAATCTCAAGATAAAACCTGAACAGATGAGGAGTTGCTTCTTATAGATGAGCAAAGTGGTTTCTTGAGATGAAATCTACTCCTGGTGAAGATGCTGCAAACATTATTGAAATGATAAAGATTTAGACTATGACATAAACTTAGTTGATGAAGCAGTGGCTGGGTTTGGGAGAATTGACTCAAATTTTGAAAGAAGTTGTACTGTGGTTAAAATGGTATCAAACAGTATCACATGCTACAGAGAACTCTTTCATGAAAGGAAGAGTAGATTGATGTGGCAAATGTAATTGTCTTATTTTACAAAATTGCCACAGCCAGCCCAACCTTCAGCAATAACCACCCTGATCTGTCAGCAGCTATCAACACTGAGGCAAGATTCTCCACTAGCAAAAAGATTACGACTCGCTGGCCGGGCACGGTGGCTCACGCCTGTAATCCCAGCACTTTGGGAGGCCGAGACGGGAGGATCACGAGGTCAGGAGATTGAGACCACCGTGGCTAACACGGTGAAACCCTGTCTCTACTAAAAATACAAAAAATTAGCCGGGCGTGGTGGCAGGCACCTGTAGTCCCAGCTATTCGGGAGGCTGAGGCAGGAGAATGGCAAGAACCTGGGAGGTGGAGCTTGCAGTGAGCCGAGATCGCCCCACTGCACTCCAGCCTGGGCAACAGTGCGAGACTCTGTCCCCAAAAAAAAAAAGAAAAAAAAAAGATTACGACTCACTGAAGGTTCAGAAAATTGTTGGCTTATATACACTGAAAAACCAAAAAATGTGTGTGACTTGCTTTATTGTCATGATCTGGAACCAAACCTGGAACATCTCCAAGGTATGCCTGTATACATGTGTTGTACAGGGAGAAAAGCAGGGGAACAAATGAAACTGTAGAGCACACATGTAAAGATATAACTTTGTAAGGGAATAATGACAGAAACTACACGGGAGCTTTGGGACTTACAGTGAGTGCTCAAAGGAAAAGTCTGATAAAAGCTACAGTCACCCAATAACTTAGAAATAAAGTATGAATTTAAGTTTGGATCCAAGAATAATTTATGGCTAAAGAGCAAATAGTCCAAAAGCTTTGTGTATACTGTATCCAAGGCTCACTCACTTGCATATTCCACGTGTGAGACAGGGAAGGAGAGGAGTTCACGCCTACCTGTAAGAAAGGGTATCAAGCCCGTTGATACTTGTATTTGTGTGTGTGTGTGTGTACGTGTGTGTGTGTCTATGTCTCAAACAAGCATCAGTTTCTTAAACAGAAACCTGAAAAGGAAGGGAAAACATTAAATCCTCACTCCATCATCATACATACCTTGTTCAGCACAGAGCTCAGAAGGGCTGAGGGACCCACCACAGAGTCATCTAAGGAGTCCAGAGAAGAACACACCCGTAGAAAGGCCAGGCCAAAGGACTGATGACGCGTGAAGGGTCGGGAGCAGGTCAGGCGAAGTCGATCCCATAACTCTCCTGAGGCTGGAGCCAGGAAATCAACTCAAGGAAAAAAGAGAAACAAAATCAGGGGGGAATGGAAATGCATAAATGGGAGAGACAGAGGAAGAAAAGGTCAATACTAAGGAAAAGAGCTATAGAGAGTAACCTCCAACAAAAGAAGGAGGTCTTCAGTAAATGTCCCCTTAGGCTTGGGTGTTCAGGGTATGGTAATGCCAAGCAGGCCAGTCAGGGCCTTCTCATATTCAGTCTCTTGCCTTCTCATCACTCCTCTGTCACAGTTCCACACTATTCTCAGCATGAATTCTATACCTCTCCAGGGACCTCATCAATATCTCATTTTAAGAAGAAGTTACCTGCAGAGTAAGGACCCAGTGGATTACCTGAGATATATATTGGCCCTTCCTGGATCATAAGACCTCAACCTCCCTCACACCACCACGTGCTCTACATGCTCACGGTATCACATTCCGATATCACCAACCCTCCACATCTTTAGTTCCTAACACTGTCCAGTCAGTACCTCACTTTCTCCAAATCATATGCCCCTCCAATGTCACTCTTCCTTTACAACATTACAAATACTTCCAACTTAAAACAGACAAATCCTTATGAGACTGTACATCCCTAGAGGCTAGGAATCAGATCTTATGTTTTTCTGTAGTGCCTAGTGAACAGAGATTTGTATAAATTCAGTAAACATTATATGCTACACAACTATAACCACTATGTAGCCTTCCATCACTTACATAAACATCTATCCTACATCCACACTTATACCCACAAAAACATATTATTGTTATTATTATTATTATTATTTGAGACAGAGTTTCACTCTTGTCACCCAGGCTGGAGTGCAATGGCCCAATCTTGGCTCATTGTAACCTCTGCCTCCCAGGTTCAAGCAATTCTGCCGCCTCAGCCTCCCCAGTAGCTGGGATTAAAGGCACTCACCACCATGCCCGGCTAATTTTTGTATTTTTAGTAGAGATGGGATTTCACCATGCTGGCCAGGCTGGTCTCGAACTCCTGACCTCAGATGATCCACTTGTCCCAGTCTCCCAAAGTGCTGGGATTACAGGCATGAGCCACCACGCCTGGCCACAAAAATATATTAATCAATAAGTGTGTGTGTTCTATATATTGGGCCCTACCGAACCACAAGTTATATATAAATATAAATAGTTCATAAATCTCCATCTCCCCAGCTAGCATGCATCCTCACCACACAAATCTCACACACAAGCACACCATTCCTTAACCACCCTTTGCCCCCAACAGATATAATTAAACCCCTGCACAGGCTCCCTCCCACAGTCTACACCTAATAGCACTCACAGTCCTCTTTAGTACTGCATCTCTGTTTCTCATAAAGACCACCCCCATCTTTTCTGCTTTTGCCCTCTTTACCATCTTTAAACATGCGGACCCCGGAGCGGTTCTTCCCCTGCTTTGAATCAGTTAGAGACATTAGCGTGGTTGCAGGGAGCAGGGTTATGAAAGGTCTGTCCAGGGGCCAGGAAGAATGGCCCACATCAATTTGCAGGAACGCACAGCCACAGTTACCTGGGGACAAAAGGTTGAGAGAAGGATAAGAGGAATGAGATGACTGAAGACAAAGGAATACGGTGGAAGGAGGACACTCCTCTACTTTACAGCTAGCTGAAAGCCAGAAAGGTTCAGCGATATGTGGAGTCCCACAGGGAGCCAGTAACTGGAGTGGAATGAGACTCCAGTCCACCAAATACCAATGTCACACGTTCACCATGTTCCTCCCAGCCAGAAACCTTCCCCTGATTAAAGAGACTTGTTGCTTCTCTGTCCTCTGGCCCCGGTGGAAAGCGCTAAATTCTGTCTCTCTTAATTCCTTGCTAGGGTGCCTGACATCTCTCTGTCCCGACAAAACTGAGACCAGTGGACTGGACAGTTCTAAATTCCAGAGAATTCTAAGGTCAATCTTCTCAATCCATAAACTCCTATTCAGCCTTCTTGGATTATCCTCGCACAGTTCATCTCTCCAGCATCCTCCTGACACAGATATTTACAGGTGTATGCAGGTTCTATTTGTTGGGATTTATTTTTATTTTTTGTGAGACAGGGTCTCACTGTTGCCCAGGCTGGAGTGCAGTGGCATTATCACAGCTCACTGCAGCCTTGACCTCCTGGGCTCAGGTGATCCTCCCACCTCAGCCTCTCATGTAACTGGGACTACAGGTGTGCGCCACCACACCTGGCTAATTTTTGTATTTTTGGTAGAGACAGGATTTTGCCATGTTGCCCAGGCTGATCTCACACTCCTGGGCTCAAGGGATCCTCCCGCCTTCGCCTCCCAAAGTGTTGGGATTACAGGCATGAGCCATTGTGCCTGGCCGGGATTTATAATTACGTCAGTGTCCTAAGGTTTTACCCAGGCCACTAAGATCAAAGCATGGTAGTTATGTTGCATAATTTGAGGAGCGCCATTCACATTGTATTCTATGTGAATAGAGCCCTTGGAGTTCTCCACACAGATCTGCTCCAAGGGCAAGGGCCACATTTCCCTTTGACACCCAGGTAAAACTTATTCCATAAAGGCTGCTCAGCCAGAATGAACTGAGACATGTTAGTGGAGTAGTTAGAGGGGACTGTCATTCCTGTGTTCTTCCTCAAGGTTCCTAGGCCACAGAGAACTCACCCACATCAATGTAGCCAGTGGGCACTGCCCTCTCCAGCTGTAGTTCTACTTTCAATTGCCCACTCTTGTCCTGAGGGCAGCCGAGCCAAGGTCTCCTTGGACTATCTGGGTTTAGCAAGTTCTCTACAGGATACTTGGGATCCTAAGTAAGAGAGGAGGAGAAAATCAGGAATCTCACTGCGCCCAAGGGAAAAAGGATGCCCATGAATGAGGGATCGCTAAAACCCCAAACCTTCCCAGTCATCCTAACATGATAGAAAAGGCACCAGATGGGAGGCCATAGGAATACTGTTATCATGTGCCAAGTGGTTTACAGATACCATTTTTCTCTATCCCATTTACCAGATGACCTCCTTTAATCTTCATAACAATTCTTAGGTGGTTACTATTATTACTTCCAAGTTAACAGATCAATACTGAAGCTGAGAGGTTCAGAAACTTACTGAAGGCCATAGGCTAAATAACCAAGCAAAGCAGAATTTCCAGGTTTCGGAAAGCAGAGCTCTTTTTTTTTTTTTTTTTGAGACAGAGTCTTGCTCTGTCGCCCAGGCTGGAGTGCAGTGGCACAATCTCGGCTCACTGCAACCTCCGCCTCCCGAATTTAAGCAATTCTCTGCCTCAGCCTCCTGAGTAGCTGGGATTACAGGTGCCCACCACCATGCCCAGCTAATTTTTTTGTATTTTTAGTAGAGACGGGGTTTCCCCATTTTGGCCAGGTTGGTTTTTTTTTTTGTTTGTTTTTTTTTTTTTTGAGACAGAGTCTCACTCCGTAGCCCAGGCTAGAATGCAGTGATGCTAGCTCGGCACACTGCAAGCTCCGCCTCCCGGGTTCACACCATTCTCCTGCCTCAGCCTCCCGAGTAGCTGGGACTACAGGCGCCCACCACCATGCCCGGCTAATTTTTTGTATTTTTAGTAGAGACGGGGTTTCACCGTGTTAGCCAGGATGGTCTCGATCTCCTGACCTCGTGATCCGCCCGCCTCGGCCTCCCAAAGTGCTGGGATTACAGGCGTGAGCCACCGCGCCCAGCCAAAAGCAGGCCTCTTTTTTTTTTTTTTTTTTTTTTTTTTTTTTTTTTTTTTTTGAGACAGAGTCTCGCTCTGTCTCTGTCGTCCAGGCTGGAGTGCAGTGGTGCAATCTCGGCTCACCGAAAGCTCCGCCTCCCGGGTTCATGCCATTCTCCTGCCTCAGCCTCCCGAATAGCTGGGACTACAGGCGGCCGCTACCACGCCCAGCTAATTTTTTTTGTATTTTTAGTAGAGACGGGGTTTCACGTGTTAGCCAGGATGGTCTGGATCTCCTGACCTCGTGATCCGCCCGCCTCAGCCTCCCAAAGAGCTGGGATTACAGGCGTGAGCCACCGTGCCCGGCCCAAAAGCAGAGCTCTTAACCACCATGATACGCTATTTCATTTATAAGATTTTTTTCTTATTTTTTTTTGAGATGGAGTTTGCTCTTATTGCCTAGGCTGGAGTGCAATGGTGCGATCTATGCTCACTGCAACCTCCGCCTCCCGGGTTCAAGCAATTCTCCTGCTTCAGCTTCCTGAGTAGCTAGAATTACAGGCATGCACCACCACGCCTGGCTAATTTTGTATTTTTAGTAGAAACGGTTTCTCCATGTTGGTCAGGCTGGTCTTGAACTCCTGACCTCAGGTGATCTGCCCACCTCGGCCTCCCAAAGTGCTGGGATTACAGGCGTGAGCCACCGTGCCCGGCCAAGATGTTTTCAAGGACATTTATTTATCTTTATAGTTATTCTGTGGGATAAGAAAGTCAAAGATTTTTATTCTAAGTTTATAACTGATGCTTAGATATAAAGTGATATTTATACTCAATATCAACAATAGTGATATTGAATATAAATTCTGAGTTCTAACCTAAAGTCAGATATTTTTTGGTTGAGCGATCTTGGGTAAACTACTTTCTCTCTCTGGGTCAAAATTTCTTTCCTTCTGTAATTTCAGCTACTTGGGGGGCCAAGGCAGGAGAATCGCTTGAACCTGGGAGGCGGAGGTTGCGGTCAGCCGAGACTGCACCACTGCACTCCAGCCTGGGAGACAGAGTGAGACCCTATCTCAATAAGTAAATAAATAAGTAAATAAATTTCTTCTTCTTTTTTTTTAGAGACAGGGTCTTGCCCAGGGTGGAGTGTAGGGATACAATCATGGCTCGCTGCAGCCTCAAATCCCTGGGAGGATCACTTGAGTGATCCCCCTGCCTCTGCCTCCTGAGTAGCTGGGACTACAGGTGTGTGCCACTGCACCTAGTTAATTTGTATTTTTAATGGAGACAGGGTCTTGCTCATTACCTAGGGTATAGTGCAGTCGCATAATCACAGCTCACTGTAGCCTTAACTTCCCAGGCTCAGGATCCTCCCACCTCAGTCTCCTGAGGAGCTGGGACTACAGGTGCGTGCCACCACACCCAACTAACTTTTGTAGAGATGGGGCTTCACCATGTTTCCCAGGCTGGTCTTCAACTCCTGGGCTCAAGCAATCTGCCCGCCTCAGCCTCCCAAAGTGTTGGGATTACAGGTGTAAGCCACCGCACCTGGCTAATTTTAAAATTTTCTGTAGAGATGGGATCTTGCTATATTGCTCAGGTTGGTCTCCAACCCTAGCCTCAAGCTATCCTCCCACCTCAACCTCCCAAAGTGTTGGGATTACAGGTATGAGCCCTGTAATCTAAATGTCTTCATCCATAAGTAAAAGAGAGAGACCAGACTCATGGTTTTCAACCTTTTTTGTTTTAGCAATAAAACCCTTTTAACTGAAATCTTACACTGAGGGGGGTGTGTGTGTGTGCACGCGTGCATGTTTTTTTGATAAATAAAAGGAGAGCTCTGGTTAAAGCACAAGTAGGGAGGACATACTTGTCCCCCTCTCCCTTTCAACTTATAGAAGTGGATCTCTAAAGAGTACAGTGGAAAACACGAAGTTTGAAACTAGCTAATGTTCTCTAGCATTTTATAAGGCTAAGAGTCTATGAAGCAGTTGGGCATGGTGGCTCACACCTGTAAATCTCAGCACTCTGGGAGACCAAGGCAGGCGGATCATGAGGTCAGGACTTTGAGACCAGCCTGGCCAACATAATGAAACCCCATCTCTACTAAAAATACAAAAATTAGCTGGGCATGGTGGTATGTGCCTGTAATCCCAGCTACACAGGAGGCTGAGGCAGGAGAAACACTTGAACTCAGGAGGCAGAGGTTGTGGTGAGCCGAGATCACACCACTACACTCCAGCCTGGGCAACAAAGCGAGACTCCGTCTAAAAAAAGTAAAAAGTCTATGAAGCAAATTGTTTAGCCTGACCATGCAGGTAAGGAGGGTAAGTGTAATATTAATTTTCTTTTTCTTAGAATAGGGGTTAATATATTAGTTCCTAAAGATCCTCTAAGGGTTTTTTTGTTTGTTTGTTTGTTTGTTTGTTTTGATACAAGGTCTTGCTCTGTCGCCCAGGCTGGAGTGCAGTGGCACAATCATGGCTCACTGTTAGCCTCAACCTCCTGGGCTCAAGCAATTCTCCCATCATGGCTTCCTGAGTAGCTGGGACCACAGGCACATGCTATCACACAGGGCTGATTTTTTATTTTTTGTAGAAATGGGATCTCCCTGTGTTGCTCAGGCTGTTCTTGAACTCCTGGGCTCAAGAGATCCTCCTGCCTTGGGCTCCCAAAGTGCTGGAATTACAGGCATGAGTCCCATGCCTGGTCTAAGGATCTCCTTGAAATGTGTGGGGATGTTTTTGACTGTCACAATGACTAAGAAGCCTGGGGGCCAGGGATGCTAAGTATCTCATCATGCAAATAATATTGCTACAAAATACAGACTTATGGCCCCAAATGCCAATGGCACCCCTTGAGAAAGACCAGGATAACAGAAGGGAAAGAGGTGGAGTAGGAGTAAATAGAGCAGTGACAGGAGAGGAAAGGGTGGGAAGTCCCTCAGAATCACCACATCAGATCAGGCCTGGTCTCAGGGCCTAGGATCTAGCTCTAATTGGGATATTGTAGAACTTTTAGGAAGGAGGCTGAGATCACACTTGATGCTGGTGGTAACCTCACAGGTCTGGGATTACCTCAAGTGTCCTACCCTGTTCTAAATGATAGAATGATCAAACTCCCCTTCTGAGGATCCTGGTGCAGTTTCTGGGCTTACAGCTTTGCCAGTGCCCTTCAAACTGGGCGGAATCCTGAGGGTGCTGCTTTCTGTACTTTCAACTTCTGAGAAGACTTCTTTTGCGCATCCTGCACTTCTGTGGGAACAACCTGAGGGCAAGAGCTGTTTCTTCTCTTAGACTCTGAACTCACAATGTCTCTTCTATTAGATTGGGAGTTTCCTGAAAGTGGAGCCAAGACTCCTATTTTTTTCACTCCTTTCAGTTATTAAGAAAACAAATCATGCCTGCTGATTAATATACCTGAGAAGAAAATGATACCACATGGCTGATCTTCACAGGAGCCATGGTGGGCCCAGCAGCTGTTTCAAGTACAAGACAAAAATGCTTCCTCTCAAGATTTCTTCTGTCACTACTTTGGCACTGACTATGTGTTAGCTTCCAGAAAAGCAAGAATCCTCACATTACTCCTGAAAAAGAGAACAGAAGAAAAACAAACTAGCCATGGCTGTGGTAACAGGAGTTACTTGCAGCAGTCAGTTCATTTCTGTTTTGTTTTTTTTTTTTTGAGACAGAGTCTTGCTCTGTCACCCAGACTGGAGTGCAGTGGCGCAATCTTGGCTCACTGCAAGCTCCTCCTCCCGGGTTCACGCCATTCTCCTGCTTCAGCCTCCCAAGTAGCAGGGACTACAGGTGCCCGCCACCACGCCCGGCTAATTTTTTGTATTTTAAGTAGAGATGGAGTTTCACCGTGTTAGCCAGGATGGTCTCAATCTCCTGACCTCATGATCCACCCGCCTCGGACTCCCAAAGTGTTGGGATTACAGGTGTGAGCCACTGTGCCTGGCCGAGTCAGTCCATTTCTGATGACAAACATGGGCCTGGTGGGAGTGGTGGCAGGGAGTAGGTTTGGATCAGCTGATGAGGCTCCAACTCGAATGAAACCAGAAGGCAGCACAGCAGCAAGTACAAAATAATATATTAAGATGTTAATGTTGGATTTATATATAGGTGAGTTCTCAAGGGCATGAATTGTGCCTTAAATTGTACACCTTTATATCACTAGAGCCTAGTACATAGTAAGGATAGGCAACAAATGTTTGACTAAATGTATGACACAACTTTTCTTCTCTTAAAATTAATCTTCCTACATTTAGCTTTTCTTGAAGTTATTCCTCTACTAGACATCATCAATGACTTGCTGATTTATTGCAAAACCCTTGCTAAGCTGGGTGTGGTGGCGTGTGCCTGTGGTCCTAGCTACTCAGGTGACTAAGGCAGGAAGATCACTTGAGCCCAGGAGTTGGAGGCTGCAGTGAGCCATGACGGTGCCACTGCATTCCAGCCTGGGTGACAGAGTGAGACCCTAACTCTAAAAAAAAAAAGTTCTGGACCGGGCGCGGTGGCTTATGCCTGTAATCCCAGCACTTTGGGAGGCCAAGGTGGGTGGATCACGAGGTCAGGAGATTGAGACCATCCTGGCTAACATGGTGAAACCCCGTCTCTATTAAAAATACAAAATATAAGCCTGGCGTGGTGGTGGGCGCCTGTAGTCCCAGCTACTCGGGAGGCTGAGGCAGGAGAATGGCGTGAACCCGGGAGGTGGAGCTTGCAGTGAGCAGAGATCGTGCCACTGCCACTGCACTCTAGCCTGGGCTACAGAGCGAGACTCCGTCTCAGAAAAAAAACAAAAAAAAAAGTTCACATGGGTATTTGTACTTCGTGTTTTGCCAAACATTTTATGTAAAATTTTAAATATATGCAAAAACACACATATTAGTATAATGAACTTATGCATCCATCACCTTACTTCAACAATTCCTTGCTGAAAGGAGTTTTTAAAGTTGTCTGAGTGTCTTTAGGTGGAATCTCTTCAAATATTTATCCCTGTCCATTTTATTCATGTTTACTACCCATCTGGCTCCTGAAAATATGAGTCCGTGACTCTTGATATACTCCTGGCCATAATGGTCTTTTTCTTACCCTCCCCACCAAAACTTTTTTTCCCTTTTCTCCACGATTTTGCTCATGCCATTGCCTCTGCTTGGAATGTTCTTTCTCTTTCCCATTTACCAAATCTAATGCATCTTTGGTGCTCAAATGTCACCTCTCCTCTGCTTAAACAGCTCAAGGTGACAGCTCCAACCTGTCAATTCTCACTTAGCCTTTAACAGAGTGCCTCACATTACAATTATATGGGTATGTCTTCTTTGTCCCTTGACAAATTGTAAGCTCTCGGCGGACAGGTTTCACGTCTGAATCATTTCTGTGTACCCAATGTAAAAGGGAGAATATAGTTCCTGATTTGCAAATGTCTGTTGAACGAATGACCATAAAAATTGTGCTCCAAAGGGCTCACAGTCATAAAGCATTCAAAATGGGGTAGATTGCAGCAATAGCAGTAACAAGCTCTTAGTGAATGCCATCTAAACATCAAGCAGTCCTCACAGGCCACAGCCAGTATGCGGCTAAGGCTTCAAAGACAGAAGAATGAAAGATGAGTCCTGAGTCTCCTCTCTAGGGCTCAGATTAATTAAAGCTCACTATTCCCACTACGGGAACTCACTGGGCACACAAAAATCTTTCCTCTTCTGCTAGATTTTAGAGATATAAAAATAATAAAAATAAGACATAGTCTCTGAGCCAGGCGCGGTGGCTCACGCCTGTAATCCCAGCACTTTGGGAGGCTGAGGTGGGCGGATCACGAGGTCAGGAGTACAAAAAATTAGCCGGACGTGGTGGCGGGGGCCTGTAGTCCCAACTACTCGGGAGGCTGAGGCAGGAGAATGGCGTGAACCTGGGAGGCGGAGCTTGCAATGAGCCGAGATCACGCCACTGCACTCTAGCCTGGGCAACAGAGCAAGACTCCGTCTCAAAAAAAATAAAAATAAATAAAAAGACATAGTCTCTGTTTTGAAGAAACTCACAGCATATTTTTGTGATTTGATGCGAAAAGCCCATCTCTCATCATCAATGAACACTTGGGCCAGGCATGGTGGCTCAGGCCTGTAATCCCAGCACATTGGGAGGCCGAGGAGGGTGGATATCTTCAGCCCAGGAGTTCAAGATCAGCCTGGGCAACATGGCGAAATCCCATCTCTGAAAAAAAAAAAAATTAGCCAAATGTGGTGGCGTGTGCCTGGAGTCCAAGCTACTCAGGAGGCTGAGGCAGGAGGATTGCTTGAGCTTGGGAGGCAGAGGTTGCAGTGAGCTGAGATTGCACCATCACACTCCAGCCTGGGAGACAGTGAAACCCTGTCTCAAAAATAAATAAATACATAAATAAATAAACACTCTTGGTTTGGCAATCCTGACAATCAAACTGCTTGTAGTTCTCACAAGATTAAGTTCTTTGAGAACTCCTTCCCTTACAAAAACTGTTGCTGCCATTTTTTGGTAATTACTCGTTTACCCTGTATGCCTTCTCACTAAGTAGCAAGCTCTTTGAGGATGTGGATTTTTGTCATGTTCATGATCTCCCACACTTCAGAGCAGCATCATGATTCTGTCAGAAACAATAAAGTAATAAATGATGTTCAGGAAATTGGTTGACAATGTGAAGAAAAATAAAAGTAGATCCCTACCTCACAACGTATCTAAAAAATTATACCTAGGCTGGGCGTGGTGGCTCACACCTGTAATCCCAGCATTTTGGGAGGTTGACGTGGGTGGATCACTTGAGGTCAGGAGTTTGAGACCAGCCTGGCCAACATGGTGAAACCCTGTCTCTACTCAAAATACAAAAATTAGCTGGGTGTGGTGGCACATGCCTGTAATCCCAGCTACTGAGGAGGCTGAGGCAGGAGAATCACTTGAACCCGGGAGGCAAAGGTTGCAGTGAGCCAAGATCACCCCTCTGTACTCCAGCCTGGGTGACAAAGTGAGATTCTGTCTCAAAAAATGAAATAAAATAAAATAAAATAAAATAAAATAAAATAAAAGACAAATAATTATACCTAAAAGGCTGGGTACAGTGGCTCACGCCTGTAATCTCAACACTTTGGGAGGCGGAGGCTCAGGAGGATTGCTTGAACCCAGGAGTTCAAGACCAGCAACATAGTGGGACCCCATCTCCACAAAATATTTTTAAAAATTAGCCAGGTGTGGTGGCACATGCCTATAGTCCCAGGTACTCACAAGGTTGAGGTGGGAGAATTGCTTGAGCCTGGGAGATGAGACTACAGTGAGCAGTTATCACGCCACTGCACTCCAGCCTGGGCGACAGAGCCGGACCCTGTATCACTCAGGCTGGGCACAGTGGTTCACACCTGTAATCCCAGCACTTTGGGAGGCCGAGGCGGGTGGATCACTTAAGGTCAGGAGTTCGAGACCATGGCCATGACCCCATCTCTGCTAAAAATATGAAATTTCCCCAGGCGTGGTGGCGCGTACGTAGTCCCAGCTATTTGGGAGGCTGAGACATGAGAATCGTTTGAACCCAGTAGGCGGAGGCTGCAGTGAGCCCAGATTGAACCAGTGCATTCCAGCCTTGGTAACACAGCGAGACACCGTTTCAAAGAAAAAAAAAAAGCACTCAGATTAAAAAACAAAATGAAACACAATACAATACTATATAGTCATGGCTACATATAATTATTAAAAATGGACTGGGAGAACACAAGCTAATTCTAATTCATAATAGTTGCTTCTGGAGAGGATGAGAGGGTAATAGGCTTGAGAGTAGAAAAAACAGGTAAGTTTAACTTTTATTGTATTATCTAGCTTTTAAAAAATAAGCAAATAAATCATAATGCCAGTAGTCAATTTAGGGTGATGGGTGTACAGTATTTACAATATTCTCCGTATTAAGTGTCACAAAATAAAAATGATTATTTTTAAGTAAATGGGATGCCTGTGGATGATGTAGATAATTCCCTGTAATTTTCTGTTGGTCCCAATGTAAAGCTGACTTTTCTAGACGTTCTGTGGGCTCACAGGCCATCCTAGTTCCATTCACCAGACAGATCCAGGCGGACGCCCAGAGGCGTGTGAGCTGGGGCTACAGGCTTGCAAGGTATCGAGTTCACCGGCTGCTGAAAAATCAGTTATGAAGGTATACGTAGGGGTGGGACAGTGAATGGTGTATAAAAAGGAGGGTAAGGCAGAAGCTGGGGCCGCAGGATGTGGGTTAGAAAAGTGTGCCGAGGTGTGTGAACTGGCATGACAGCCTAAGTAAGACGCGGAATGTGGGTGCCCTGGAGGTCCCGCAAGGCTCTTCAGCTCTCAGTTTCGGGAGCTCAAGCCGCACCGCTGCTTTCACAGCTCATCGGGAACAGGCTGCTCAGTTCATTTCCTTGATGGCCACCCTCCTCCCTCTCGGCCACTCCCCTCCCCATCAACAAATCCCAACGCCCCTCACCCGGGACCGTGGACCTCGAGGAGCCACCGTTGCCTCGGATCTCGGACCACCAAACCTATTCTCCCGCCAATTCGGCCTTCTGACCTTCGCCTTCTGACCCCGAGAGCTACTCTTCCGTCTTCCGTAGCACAGGAATGCGTTCTGGGGCTTCAAGAAGCTGCTGTTTTTGAAAATGAGTCCTACCGAGGCAAGATGGCAGGTGCTGCAGCCAGGAAAATACATTTCCGTGTGTTTTAATATTTATTTTCACTCACTACAACTCTTTCGTGGAGGGAGCGGAATTTAAACTTCCGGGTCAGCCTCAGTGCAGCTTGGGAAACGTAGTTCCTAGTCCCCACGTCTCGCTCCTTGGAGCCCAGACTGAGGGAGCGTCGCGAAAGTTGCCCGTTTTGGAACGCTCCCATTTGGCTCTCCAAAGGGAAGAATTGGTTAAATAGTTGCACTGAAAATAATGCGATTCAAATTTCTCATTTTCCAAGAACGCTCCCTTGCTGAAGCTTGCAAGGGCACGGTACTCCCCTCTCCTTGACCCTGAAACGTGCAGCAAGTAGATAACCTCCTGATCCCTGACAGTCTCCGCCTGTGTTGATGCCCCGCCCCCTCTGCTGGAGTCCGAGCCGCCGATTGGCTAGGAGCACTTGAGCAGCGGAAGCAGCTGGCTCGCGCGGGGACTGCGGTGAGGGGGCGAGCCGTGAAGATGGCGGCAGTGGTGGAGGTGGAGGTTGGAGGTGGTGCTGCTGGGGAACGGGAGCTGGATGAGGTAAGCGGAGTTGAGAGACGAGGAGAGACTCAACCTGAGACTGAGGGGAGGGGCAGTGAGGTATCGGGAGGTGGGGGTCTTAGGAGAGAAGGGAAAGATCCTGAGAGGGAAGGAGCTGACTAGGGGGCGGGTGCGTGGAGAGCGAAGTCAGAGGCACTCCTGACTTGGGGACTCCGAGGCGGCCTTGGGAGTAGAAGACTTGCATTAGCCTCAAGGGTGAAGATGGAGGACAGAGAGAGAGGTCGGAGGGGTGGGGGTGTTAAGATTTTGTGATTACTAGCTGGGTGTCTTAGGGTAGGACCGAAGGGCTAAGAGGTAGTTTGAGTTGGAGGGACGTGAATTTCTTCAGGGGAAGGCTGGGCTTCTACTGTGGGAGAGGACTCTGTCTAAGCCTAGGGTGGGGGTTGGGGACACAGACCGGGAAAGAGTGCTAATCCACTAGTAGTATAGCTTTGAGTTATCTTAAAGTTGGAACTGTTTTATTTATCGTTCCATTCTAAGACTTTGTATCTAATGCATGCTCAGTAAAGTTTTGGCCAACGAATGAAGGAACAAGTGGATGAATAAATGATTGTATGCCGGAATTCATGCATTTATTCACTTAATAAACATTATGACTTTTGCTCCGGGTTCTGGGCCAGGTGCTAGGGAGACAAGGGGCCCCTCCGTTGAAGAGCCCACAGTCTAGTGGTGGGAGACAGACAAGAAGACTAGTCATTGCATTAGAGATATAATGGTGGCACTGAGAAGTGTGCAACATTTCAGCTTGGGATAGGGAAGGCTTCCCGGAGTTGCTGAGTTTTAAACGATAAATAAGTGTCTCTCTCTTCTTCTGGATTTATGAGTTCCTTGAAGGTGAGCTCCTTGAGATTGTATGTTCCCTTTACCTATCTAATAGGCATTTAAAGACTGGTGTATTAAAATACCAGTGGTCCTTGAAGGAATCACTAGGAGGAAGGAGATGTTGAGTGTGAAAGGAATGAAGGGACAGGGCAGAGAAGCAGAGACAGAGGTGAAAAGATTCTGAAGCCATGGAGACATTGATAGCTAGTGGTGTTTGTGATCTTGCACATGCCAGCATATGGGCAAAGACATCACAGGAATAGGAGGAAGGGGATTGGTTGTCAGAGATAGAACCAGTGAGATCTCTGAGGGGTCAGAATCTTAGAGGCCCCTTGCTGTGTGTTGGGTGTGGGAAGAGTGGGGAGGATTGGGGATGATTGAAGATGAGGTTCAGAGAAAGGGAGAAGTGGACTTGGGAAGCAATAAGACTGTTGCCTGGTAGTGGGATGAGTTGGAGGAGTTGGATTACCTGATTGGGATCATTAAGGTGGGAGGAAGGGACTGAGAAATTGACAGGTGATCACAGCAGGGGGATTTTTAAAGAAGTGTTGTAGTCTTCTACCTCCCAATCACTAGAGACTACAGGTGTTTGGATACCAGTTGGTTGGTTAGGTGGAGTGGTTGTGGAAATGACCTCCAAGACCCCTTCTAGCTTTTACATTTCTGTGATTACAGTTGGCTGTGGTTCAGTGAGATATATTTGAAGACACTTTGGAAAGGGTAAATACTGTATTGAAGTTCTTATTTAAGGTTTGTTAGTCATGGGCTCTCCCTTGAGACAATTACGTATATCTCAAAGCTGTAGTTACATATGTCAGGGTTCATTGAGATAAACAGCAGAAGTTTTGGCAGAGGAGAAAATAACATTTTCTTTTTTTATTTGAGATGGAGTTTCGCTCTTATTGCCCAGGCTGGAGTGCAGTATTGCAATCTCAGCTCACCACAACCTCTGCCTTCTGGGTTCAAACAATTCTCCTGCCTCAGCCTCCTGAGTAGCTGGGATTACAGGCATGCACCACCACGCCCGGCTGATTTTTTGTATTTTTAGTAGAGACAGGGTTTTTCCATGTTGGTCAGGCTGGCCTCGAACTCCTGACCTCAGGTGAGCCGCCGATCTTGTCCTCCCAAATGTGCTGGGATTACAGGTGTGAGTCACCGCGCCCGGCTAAGAAAATAACATTTTCATTAAGACATGTTTGATTTTTGTTTCTTAGCTTTTCTTTATTGCTTGAAGGACTTGAGAGCGTCTAGTAGTATAATAGACTTTACAGAGTATCATGCATAGGAGTTAACTTTATATGAAACCACTAGCATTCATTCCAGGAACCTTGTTACTTGTTTCATTTCCTGAGAAAAGGTATAATCTGTTGTCTGGAAATTCCGTGTGGACTGGTTCTATCTTTTTTGTTGTTGTATGTTTGAGAAAGTAAGCTCTGAGAAGCAGAACAGTCATCCCTTCAAGCTCCAAAAATAACAGAGGTCTGGTCTGGCAGACCTTAGTTGGTATTCAGGTTTCTACTAATGTCTCCCCAGCTGTTTCTTTGCAGCCTTAGCTTGTGAAACAGCAGGTGAAATCCGTCTTTAATATGTAATTATGGGGTCTACTGTGTGTTATGCACTGATAATTCAAAGATGAGTAAGACAGGATCTTTACCAATTTACAGTCGAGTGAAGAGACATGCAAATAGCGTATTATAATACTAGATAATTGCTGTAATGGAGGCATGTAACAAATGCAGTGGGGCACAAGAGATCAAGCACTTGAGTCAGCTAGGGGGAGTCAGTAAAGTCTTTATGATAGAGATGGGTTTGAGCTGAAAAAGGTTGGGTTTACAAAAGAGCAGTGGTTTACATGTGGCATTAATATTGCCCCCTGTGTAGCACTTTCTGTTTTATTGATAGACTCTAATGTGGAGCCGAGATTATAATTGGGTAATGGGTAGCCTGGCTAAGATGGAGTTGGTGTACTTTTCTACTTCTTTGGAAAGAAGTTACACGCTGTGTATATTCAGGATATTATACCTATGTTTTCCAATATTAGATGCCATTAGCATGATACGTAGTCTGGAATGGCATTCATTCATATTCCTTTTCTCTTTTTTTGTCTGGTTTCATTAATACTTTCTCTAGAAGTTGAGACGTAATTTAGGCTTTCCTAATGGCTTCTTTCTTTAGAGGGATAAATAGAAAAGAGGGTTTAGGAAAAGAGCTACCAGTAGAAAAGGCTACTATTTATTCAGCTCTTAACCATACACCAGCCTCTGTTTAAAACCCTTTACCTGCATCATCTCATTTATTATTAACAGTAGGCATGTGAATTAGATGGAGTTAACCCCATTTTATAAATGAAACTGAGGCTAGAGAGGCTAAAGAACTTTCCTAGGATTCCACAGTTTGTGAATGGGGAAGTACAGCTTCTGATCCAGGCCTGCCTGTGCTATATGGAGCTTAGCCCATGCTATACTGAGCACCTGGGTTCCATTTCTTACTCCACTATTTGTGCTCTAGGGGGTGGGAACTTTAAAATTGTATCGTCTTAATCATCTCATGTAAAAATTGATACCGTATATTTGATAAGTGGCTGTGATTCAAAAGAGCATTTTGAATCTCACATTTGTGAGGAAGGTTTTATTAGTATTCCCTATTTGTGATTGAGGAAGCTGAGGTTCAGAGGATTTGAGATAGGCCAAGAGTCTTGAGGCTACCAAGTGGTGTCACAAAGATTTAAACCCATGTTTCCAGATTCCAGAGTGTTTGTTTCCCTTCATTTTAAAGACCCAAACTCTTTTCTTTGTGTATAAAATTTCCATTTTCAAAACATAAAGCAGCATGTCATCCCTGAGGGGATCAAAATGAGGGTTAACCAAAAGAATATTGGTTTTTCCATACAGGTCCTTTAACTTACTGATAACTGGTGGATTCTGCTGAACCCCTTTTCAGGAGGGATGATTAGCCTGTTGGTAGTTAGGGAGAGGAGAGATGGGCCTAGCCAGCTCAGCTCAGGTATTAAACTGGCCATGATGACTGCCTAAGCTCAGTTCTGTCTCTCAGCCTGCCAAAGTACAGCATGCTTGAGATGCTAGTAGGATAAGATGTGGGTACCAGTTAGGTGGCCCAAAAGCCAATCTACTCCTGGAGCTAGTGATTTCCTCCTCAAAGGGGAGGCTAACCAACCTCTGAGAGGAATTAGATGCACCCTTTTGGCACAGAAAGCTAGCTTGGGAATTAAGGTAAAAAAGCACTTCAATACCCAATAGGGCCAGCCAGGGCATTGCCTGGCTAGTGCCTGTGAATCTGGATGTGTCCACTCTCAAGTCCTATTTATCTGCCAAAATGATGTGAAATCATGCATATCAGTGAGGAGTTTCTAACTCAAGCCAGAGTTCAAAGCAGGTATCCCAGCCTGCAGCTAACTTGAGGTATTAATATTATTGCCTCAAGTGAATAATTTACCTCTCTTTGGCCCTGTTTTGCTCTTGTTAAAAGAGAAGACTGGACTAGATTGGTGGTTTTTAAACCTTTATTTAGTCATGAAACCTTTTATTCAAACAAAATTTCACTCTGAAGCCTTGTGGTCCTTGAATGGATTCAACAGAACCCCTAAGGTGCTTGAAGCCACCCTTTGAAAACCAAGGATTTTTCTGTTATAGTCCACTGATTGGGTGACCCCACTTCATGTTCCCTCAGCCCGCTTGTACTTTGTCTAGGCTCACCAAGCATTATAAAATTGTCTGCCTTCCTCACTAGACTGTAAGCTTCGTGAGAGAGCAGAGTCCAAGTGTATCTTGCTCACCATTGTATTCTCTTCACTCTGCATGTTCCTGGCATACAGTAGGCACCCAATAAGTATTTGATAATCGTTGTTTTTGATTAATAGTATGATAGCTACCATTTACTGGATGTTTGTGATATGCCAGCTCCTCTGCCTAATGGTATATGCTTTTTTATTAAATGTTTACGACATCCCCGTGAGAATTGAGTTATTGGATGAAATCGTCTCTAGCTCTTTCTGGCTCTAGCACTCTATGTACTGTTTCTAATTACTTCCGGGCTTTGTTGGTGCTGTCCAGTCTGCCTAGAATACCTTTCTTTTCCCTTATTGCCTTTTGAAATTCCACCTGCCCTTTAAAGTTCTAGCTTGCTTGGCTTCTTGGACTATTCCGATCTACACTGCTACCTTTTCCCCCTGCCTTTTATGGTTTTCTCTGTTTAAGTTTGTTCCCTCATTTCTCAACTTAGTCCTCAAACTTCTGAAACGTCTGTGTGCCAGGCACTTTGGTGTGCCTGATAATACCAAAATGGATAAAGTGTGATAATTGTCCTCAGAAAGTTCACAGACTGGTATGAGTAGAGAAAGAGTGATAAGTACATGCAAAATATGTCACAGGTGCTGTGATAGTGGGGTGGGTGCAGTGGGCACATCAAGGAGGAAGTGGCAGTCAGTGTTACGTCTCCTCTTCCCACTAGGTTGGTAAACCCCCAGTGGGCAGACTGTGGAAGTTCCCATCCCTTGCTTCTTCAAGCAGTAATCACTGGTTTTTTGTTTGTTTGTTTGTTCTTTCTCCTGTGGTTCTCTCCCTATAGACATTTAGTAAATGTTCCTTGTTGCCAGAGATTTTCTTCTCTAGAGATTTTTGGTCCAAGCCAATATCTTACTGAGGGATCAAGGCATATGTGACTGAAGTTTAGTCTTGGATATCTGACTACCTCTGGATTTTTTTTAGGCATGTAAAATGAGTGGTGGCAAGTGTAGTGGGGAAAAAGCCATAGGGTAGTAAACAGTGGGTTCATATTCTAGACTAGGAATAGCAGATTTGTTTTATCTCAGAGACAGCCATCTGATCATAGATGCTTAGAAGCCTGTGTCGAGAAGGATTCTGAGGCCAGGGCTTAGCAGAAAAGAGTGCTGAGGGTGAAATAATACAGATTACTTATTCTGTGCCTAGTCCTGTGCCAAGTGTTCCAAATGCATTCTTTTTTTTTTTTTTTTTTTTTAGACAGTCTTGCTCTGCCACTCAGGCTGGAGTACAGTAGAGTGATCTTTGCTCACTGCAACCTCAGCCTCCCAGGCTCAGGTGATTCTCCCACCTCAGCCTGCCAAGTAGCTGGGACCACAGGTGTGCACCACCATGCCTGGCTAATTTTTGTAGAGACAGAGTTTCACCATGTTGCTCAGACTGGTCTCGAACTCCTGGACTCAAGCAATCCACCTGCCTTGGCCTCCCAAAGTGTTGGGATTACAGGCATGAGCCACTGCGCCCAGCCCTTAGATTCATTATTTAATTTAATACCATAACCTTATAAGATATGTACTATTATTATTATCTCATTTTATAGATGTGGAAGCTGAGGCATAGAGAATTTAAGTAAGTTGCCCAATGTTATACAGCCAGGTAAGTGACAGAACTGGGGTTCAAATCCAAGACTACTTCAGTGCTTGTGCTGTTAACCACAACGGGCAATATGAGTACTCTATACTGTCCATCCTGTTCTATGCTAGACATTTCCATTATGTACATTTGGGTCTTCCTTTCCGGAGGTGATTTAACTGGAGTCATGGTATTTGTCTTTTCCACCAGACTGTGTTCTCCTCGAAAGGAAGGCCTATTCATTCCTATATCCTTTGTGCCTGGCATAGAGTATGACTCAATAAATGCTTAAATATGTGAACTCAGGAAAGATTCCAGTCCCTCTGTACCTCAGTTTTTAATCTGTGAAATGATAGGTTTGGACTAGGTGACCTTTGAGATCTCTTGCAGCTTTGAAAGACTTGGATCACAGAGTTTTATTTTGGCCATGTTTCTTATAACTCTCATCAGGTACTGAGTAAATACTAGTGAATGACTGAATGAATGAATGAAGACATAATATTCTTTTTCTTTTTTTTTTTTTTTTTTTTTGAGATGGAGTGTCTCTGTTGTCCAGGCTAGAGTGCAGTGGCGTGACCTTGGCTCACTGCAGCCTCCGCCTCCTGGGTTCAAGGGTTTCTCCTGCCTCAGCCTCCTGAGTAGCTGGGACTACAGGTGTGTGCCACCACGCCCGGCTACTTTTTTGTATTTTTAGTAGAGACAGGGTTTCACCGTGTTAGCCAGGACGGTCTCCATCTCCTGACTTTGTGATCTGCCCACCTTGGCCTCCCAGAGTGCTGGGATTATAGGCGTGAGATTATAGGCGTAAACTGCTGCGCCTGGCCTATAATTATTCTTAATAATCTGTGCTAATAATTAACATTGGAATGATAGAATTAAAAATGGTGATGGGGAAGGAAAAGACAAAAAGGCTTACATATAACCTCTTATTCCATCACCTTTGACTTTGGAATTCAGTCAAAACCTCATGCTCTGGCAGATACCCTGGCAGATTCCCATTTGAATTCCCATTCCAATACCTGCCACCCCCAGCTCACCCTTGCTTTTTTTTCAGGTCACTTTTTTATTTTTTAGACAGAGTCTCGCTCTGTCACCCAGGCTGGAGCGCAGTGGCACGATCTCGGCTCACTGCAAGTTCCGCCTCCTGGGTTCACACCATTCTCCTGCCTCAGCCTCCCGAGTAGCTGGGACTACAGGTGCCTGCCACCACGCCTGGCTACTTTTTATTTTTGTATTTTTAGTAGAGACGGGGTTTCACCGTGTTAGCCAGGATGGTCTCGATCTCCTGACCTTGTGATCCACCCGCCTCGGCCTCCCAAAGTGCTGAGATTACAGGCGTGAGCCACTGCGCCCGGCCTTTTTCAGGTCACTTTTTTATTATGACTTAATAACACATCTACTTCCAGAAGGAATTTAAGATGTCATTCGGTCAGTAAAGGGGTTAGGAGAGAGAGGAAGGAAAGATGAAGATGAAGAGGAATATTTTAATGCTTTAATGCAGGGACTATTTTTCTCATCTTTGTACATTCCTCAGTGCCTTGCTCAGTGCTTGGCACATAGCCCATATCCATATATTTATTGAGTAAATGAGAATGCTTGTAGATGTGGATTCTGTTAAGGATAAAGGGAATGTTGACTAAATTGCAAAGGTTGACTGGCATGCCTACTATCTGTTCTGGAAATAATACAATAGCCCCTATCAGTATTTGTTTATAAACTTCCTATGAAATATTTTCATTGGATTCATTTAAATTAATGCCAAATTGTTCCTTATCAGTGAGTCATCGGCACTGCTTTCTGCTCCCGTAGCGCCCTGTACAGATTTCCGTCAGCACTTACCATGTCGTATTGTCTTTTCCATTAGGCAGGGAACTCCTTGAGGGGACTGCACCTTATCATTTTTTCATCTCTGTATTTTCAGCACCTAATCTTGCACAGTGGCTAGCATGGAGTAGTTATTTAAATATTTATTGAACTTGAATTTTTATTTTTTATTTTTTTGAGACAGAATCTTGCTCTGTTTGCCCAGGCTGGAGTGCGACCTTGGCTCACTGCAACCTCCGCCTCCTGGGTTCAAGTGATTCTCCTGCCTCAGCTTCTGGAGTAGCTGGGATTACAGACACTGCCACCATGCCCAGCTAATTTTTGTATTTGAAAATGAATCTTAAATCTAGTCCATCTGCCCATGTTGAACATCCCCAGAAAATGGACACCAGTGTGTATGTGAACTCCTCTAATGATAGCGAACTAATCGTTCCATGGTCAGCCTATTCCTTCTTTGAATGCCTCTATTGGAGTGTCCTTCAGATTGGATTAGATTCTTATTTCTGTATTGCTTCAACTTTTTAGTCCTTGTCGTACCTTTTCCCAGATTCTGCTTCTTTGCATCTCTGACTTGCCATGGCACAAACACTGCCAGAGAATGCCTCTGGGGGATGTAGGCCCAGTAATCCTGGCTTTATTTGGTCTGAAATCTTACTCCATGGAAGGCAACCCAATATAATCTATCTTGTGTCATTCCTCATCTCCATGTTACTTCTTTATGTTTTCCCTTGAAGTCATTTGCTACCTCTACTCCTCAGAGAAAAATCTGTAGGTAAAATAAACTCATAAGTTCCCTCTAAAGTGCAGCTTTCCCAAGAGGATGCTGGATCATGGCCATGGGGCTTTTGGCCCTGGGCAGCTAGGGAGAGACTGGGGAAAGAGGAAGCAGAGAGCACAATCCCTGCCAAGGTTTCTGTTCATTTTGTCCTCCTTTCACAGAGTGTTATCAATAACTCAATGTATTCTGTTACTTAGAAGCCTCAACATTTTACTCCCTGTTGCCCATAGGATTGAGCCTAACTACCTCTGAGCTTGTCATTTAGTGCCCTGCGAACAGTCTTTTCTCCTATTTTAGTAACAGGAATAGCTAACTTTTTTAGTGCGTACTATGTGCCAGGCAGTAAAGTAAGCATTTTACGTGTGTAGTCTCTTAATTTTTTTTTTTTTTTTTTTTTTTGAGACAGAGTTTCGCTCTTGTTGCCCAGGCTGGAGTGCAGTGGTAGATCTCTGCTCACCATAACCTCCGCCTCCTGGGTTCAAGCGATTCTTCTGCCTCAGCCTCCTGAGTAGCTGGGATTATAGGCATGTGCCCCCACGCCTGGCTAATTTTGCATTTTTAGTAGAGACGTGGTTTCTCCATGTTGGTCAGGCTGGTCTCGAACTCCCGATCTCAGGTGATCCGCCTGCTTCGGCCTCCCAAAGTGCTGGGATTACAGGCGTAAGTCACTGCTCCCGGCCTTAATTCTTCTAAGAAACCTTTTATTTGAATTTATTTTATCCTAAATTTATTCTCCTACCATAAGCTTTTGTTTCATCCATTTCTTCTGGGATCTTTTTCTTCTGTGCAACCACCTCTTCTGGTTAAGGAACAATTTTTTCCTTTTTGGTAGGATCATCTCAGTGTGGCAGGGGAGCTCATGTATAGGTTAATTTGGTTTTGAGCTCTGTAAATATGGCAGTGCATCTTGGGTGCTTCATGCACCTGGATATGTTTGATGACCAGATAATCTATTAATACATCTAAACTCTTTTTTTTTTCTTTGAGACGGAGTCTCGCTCTGTCGCCCAGGCTGGAGTGCAATGGTGTGATCTCGGCTCACTGCAACCTTTGCCTCCCGAGTTCAAGCGATTCTCCCACCTCAGCCTCCCCAGTAGCTGGGATTACAGGCACCCGCCATCATGCCCGGCTAATTGTTGTATTTTTGTAGAGATGGAGTTTCACCATATTAGCCAGGCTGATCTCGAACTCCTGATCTCAGGTGATCTGCCCACCTTGGACTCCCAAAGTGCTGGGATTACAGGTGTGAGCCACTGTCCCTGGCTCATCTAAACTGTTAAGTTCAGCATTACTCTGCATTTTTAAGCATGTGCAGCAAAAATTCAGTCTTTTTGGTCCACTAACCCTGTGCCCAGCCTCACTGTTTGGCTTAGGCACACTTACTGACTCCACAGTTGGAACAATGGAATGGCTTACATGGCTTCTATAAAGTGACATCTTTCAGATACTTTGTGGCTTTTTGGATTTGCACCGCCCCCCGCAACTTCCCTCCACCCCTATGGCCTGGGCAGTTTCTTGACTCTTAAAGTGAATATGAAGATTTTAATATCTTGATTTGCATGATTTTGTGGGGTGTTCTGGGTCAAGTTAATAGCCAACCATTTTCACAGATCATCTTAGGCTGCTTACTGGAAGAGGAAAAGCTAATTCTATTTTAATACTGTTATCTTAATTTTCCAGATGAGAAAAACTGAGACACAGAAAAGTAATTTATTCAGGGTCACACAGCTTGTAAGTGGAGGTGGGATTTGAACATGGTGATACAACCTCATGTCTTCATGTTATAGTGTACACTATTGCTGGTATACACTATGACATGGATTCATTATTTTCAAAAGTCACTATGTATTTATTGTGCACTTAATTATGCCAGGTACTCTTTTTAGTCTTGGGAATTAATAAATGGACAAAGAGACTATCTCTGCTCTAAAGAAGTTATGGTCTAGTTGGGAGAGGAACCCATCAAGTGATAATGACAATATAGTATGAGGAGTAGAGTTATAAATTACGTACAAGATGCCACAAGTGTACAGAAGAAGGAGTGCTTAAGTCTATTTGGGAGCATTAAAGAAGACTTCCGATAGGGTATGGCATTTAGGCTGATTCTTAAAAGTTTATCATGTGGATAGGAGGCCACTTTAGGCCAAGGTAAAAGCATATGTATAAAGGAATAAAGACATGAAGTCTCTAATCCTTGAGCATATGATTCCTCACTAATGATATATTTACTGATAACTGCATGCTTTGTGCAAGTCACTATGTTAGGGATTTGGGTTGAGAGAAAACCATGTTTCTTGCATTCAGGGAATTTACAGTCTAGTTAGAAAAATAAGACATGTAGTCCAGTTGGAAAGATAGTGGCCATAATTCTAAAATAAGAAGTACTAAATGTTTTTTTCCGGTAGAAAAAAACAAAGTACTGTAGGGGAAGTACCCTCTCATGGATATGGCTAGGGAAGACTTCTTGGAGAGGGAGCCATTTGAGTTCGGCCTTCATGGATGATTTGAATTTCATTAGAGCATTAGGAATGAACGCCCAAGGTCAATGTTGAGAAATGAGGATGTATTTGTGATTAGCAAGTAAGAGAAGAGTAAGAGCTAAATTAAAAAAGGTAGGTTGGGGCCAACATGAGGTTGACTTTTGAATGCCAGGCTGAGGAGTTTGGATACATTTATTCATTCCTTCAGTCACCAATTATTGAGTTCTGATATATGCTAGATACTGTGCTGGGGACACAAAGATGAAAATGTGGCTCCTGCTCTCACGAGATTAATAGTCCTGTGAGGTAAACCAGACATGGGAACAGATGGTTGTAGTATAGTGTCAGCATGTGTTAAGTACTGTGATGACACAAAGGAGGGAGTGATTAACTCTGCTTCGGGAATCCTTAAAGACTTAATGGAGAAGATGTTTTGAGTTTGTTCTTGAGGATTAAGTTGAGTTCAATAGGTAGTCAAAATCAGTGAGGTAAGGAAGAGTGAGTGGTCCAGCAAAATGAAAAGATATGCAAGGCTTGGAGACGTTAAACAGCGTGGAATATTCTGGGACTGTACGCAGTTCTGTATGACTGGAATTTAGGTTAAACGTAAGGGGATAGCAGTGAGTGACTGTGCTAAAAAGCCTGGGCTGTAGAGAGCCACTGAAGAGTCTTGAGCAGGGGAGTAATGTGTTTAGATCTCTGTCTCAGAATGACCAAGTCTAATTGAAGTTTGGAAGTTACTTTTGGAAGGATCAGGTTGGAAAAAGGAGAATAAATCAGTTAGGAGATATTGCAGTAGTTTAGGAGCGAGATGATGCGGACCTGAGCTTGAGCAAAGACAGTAGGGTAGAGAGAAGTGAGCAGCTATAAAAATGTTAAATAGCAGTGCTTTCACTTATTTATGTTTTGCCCTTTATTTCTCTCCCTAATTCGTTCACTCATGTATTCAGTAAACATTTATTAAGTTTGTGGTCTGTATTAATTATTCATTATTTCCTTCTTCAAATACTTGTGACTTCAGTGTCAAACATTTTTCTAGGTCCCAGTAATTCAGCAGTGAACAAGACAACTGAGGTCCTTGCTCATATTAGGTTTAGTTTCTAATGTGGTAAAGTAGATAACAAATAAACAGGATAACTCCAGATGGTGACAAATGCTTTGAGAAAAGTAATGTAATGTGATAAAGATGACTAGAAGAGAAAGGCTACTTTAAATAGGGTGATTATGGAAAGCCTCTGAGGAAATGCTACTTGAACCAAGTCCTGAATGGTGAAGACCTAGCAATTTCGAGATTTGGAAGCAGATATGTTCCAAGTGGAGGGAGAAGCAAGTACAAATTAATGGGAATGAACAAGGCATGTCCTGGGACCAAAAAGAAAGCCAGTGTGACAGATCATAATTAGCAAAGGAAAAATGGTTCTGTATGAGGTCAGGGAGTCTGGCAAGGTCAGATTTATAAGGCCTTGTAGCTGCTGTGATACATGTTGAATTTTATTGAGCGTGTAATGAGAATTTTTTTTTTTTTTTTTTTTGAGACGGAGTCTTGCTCTGTTGCCCAGGCTGGAGTGCAGTAGCGCGATCTTGGCTCGCTGCAAGCTCCGCCTCCTGGGTTCGTGCCATTCTCCTGCCTCAGCCTCCCGAGTAGCTGGGACTACAGGTGCCTGCCACCACGCCCAGCTATTTTTTTGTATTTTTTATTAGAGACGGGGTTTCACCATGTTAGCCAGGATGGTCTCAATCTCCTGACCTAATAATCCATCTGCCTCGACCTCCCAAAGTGCTGGGATTACAGGCATGAACCACCGTGCCCGGCAATGAAAAGATTTTGATTGGGTTTCAAAATGGGAGTGATGTGAGCTGATTTTCATTTTTTAAAAGATCTTTCTGGCTGCTTTGAGAAGAATGGATTGTAGGAGGTGACTCAGTGAGAGGGTTAGGAAGTTATGGTAATAGTCCATATGGGAGATGATAGTGTTTTGGATTCGGTGGGGGGTGTTTTAGTCCTTTTGGGCTGCTATAGTAAAATACCTTAGACTGGGTAATTTATAAACAACAGAAATTTAGCCGGGCACAGTGGCTCACGCCTGTAATCCCAGGACTTTGGGAGGCTGAGGCGGGCGGATTACTTGAGACTAGGAGTTTGAGACTAGCCAGGCCAACATGGTGAAACCCCGTTTCTACTAAAAATATAAAAAATTAGCTGGGCATGGTGGCAGGTGCCAGTAATCCCGGCTACTCTGGAGGCTGAGGCAGGAGAATCGCTTGAACCTGGGAGGCGGAGGTTGCAGTGAGCCAAGATCGTGCCACTGCACTCCAGCGAGACTCTGTCTCCAAAAAAAAAATCTATATATCTGTATATATATATATATATAGATATATATATGTACACACACACACACACACACATATATATGTATATATTTCTCACAGTTCTGGAGGCTGGGAAGTCTAAAGGCAAAGTTCTAGCAGATATGATGTCTGGCAAAGGCTCTGTGCTTCAAAGGGGGCTCCTTGTTGCTGTGTCTTCACATGGCAGAAGGGACACACAGCCTCCCTAAAGCCACTTTTGTAAGGGCACTAATCCCATTCATGAGGTCTCCACCTTCACAACCTAATCACCTCCTAAAGGTTCCCTCCACCTCTTCTTAATACTATTGCATTGGAGGTTAGGTTTCAACGTACTAATTTTGGGGAACACAAACATTCAGACCATAGCAGGGATAGCAGAGACGATGGAGAAAAGTGGATAAATTTAGAATATGTTTTGAAATAGAGCCTACAGGACTTGCTGGTGGATTGGATATGTGATGTAAGGGAAAGAAAATAATCAAGCTTGCTTTTATATTTTTTTGAATTTTTTGCTTTGACTTGAGTAAATGGCATCACCATGGTACCATTAGGTGCCATGTTAATTAGGCAGTTGGAAATACGAGCTTATAGCTCAGGGAGAGGTTTGGACGTTGTTCTGGGACTCTGAAGATCTGGCTTTTTATCCTAGCTCTGCCATGCAGCTGTTATCTGTGACAAGTCAATAAGGTAATGCTGTCAGCTTTAAAATAATAAAGGCATTTGTTACGCCAGCCTCGTGTATGTTGGGAGAATCCTGTTCACTTGTTTATTGATTGGTCACATACTGTGAATTTACCAAGGTACTGCATTAGATGTGAAAGATAACAAAGACATAGGCCTTGCTCTCAGGTTGCTCATGGTGTAGTGGAAAAGTTAGTAAACAGATGTAATAATTGCTATAATATGAAGAAGCAGAGATTTCAGGGAGCACCAAAAATGGCAGGCAAGGGATCAGAAAAGACTCCCTAGAAGTGATACCATAGCTGAGTGTGAAAGTGACTAGAAATTAACCAGCTAAAGAAAGAATAGAAGAGCCCTCTAGGCAGGAGGAGCAGCATGTGCAAGGTGGGAGGTGAGAAAGAGAATGCCACCTTCAGGGAACTGTATGCAGTTTAGTATTACTGGAACCTCAGAGTAGAAGGTGGGGAGTAATGATAAAATAGGGAGACTGGAAAGGGAGGCAGATGTGATGACACATAAGGCCTTATATGCTGTGCTGAGGAGTTTGGATTTTTATCTGTAGCTGATGATTAGCTGTAGAAGAGCTTTAAGAACTTAGGTTGGCTGGGCACGGTAACTCATGTCTGTAATCCCAGCACTTTGGGAGGCTGAGGTGGGAGGATCACTTGAGGTCAGGAGTTCGAGACCAGCTTGGGCAACATGATGAAACCCCGTCTCTACTAAAAATACAAAAAATTAGCCAGGCGTGGTGGCATGCACCTGTAATCCCAGCCACTCGGGAGACTGAGGCAGGAGAATCACTTAAAGCTAGGAGGTGGAGGTTGCAGTGAGCCGAGATTGTGCCACTGCACTCCTGCCTGGGCAACAGAGCGAGACTCTGTCTCAAAAAAAAAGAGGAACTTAGGTGAATGACATGGATCAGATGTGCATTATAGAAAGATCATTCTTGGGGCAGAAATGGAGGAGGGACTAAGGGGCAGGAAAAATTTGCCTTAATCCAGGCAAGTAGGGCTTCCAAATTTATCTAATTCTAAAATGCACATAATTTCTGGTGTATTATATATACTGCAGGAGAGCATATGTTAAGTCCCAAAGGAGCTGGGAGCAGAGGAAGGTAAAACTGGAAAGACAGCTAGGGGTCAGGTCATGGCCTTGTGTGGTCCCAAGAGCTCACTGTCCGTGCTCCTGTGGAGGGCATTGTGTAGTCTACTAAGGAGTTCTTACTTTCACAGGCAGCATTAGGACACCAGAAGATTTGAACTTGGGTGACACAGTGACTCGAGAAGTACATGAGGTTGAAGGACCTGGATTAAGTTTGTAGACTGAGTAATAGGAAGGAAGGAAAAGATAGTAGATATATTTCTTACCCCACTGATCTAGGCCTTCTGGTACTACCAGCCATGAACTTTGGTTTTCCCTTCTCCCTAAATCTTCCTTCAGTCCTAGCTGTATGCTGTGTTAAGTTTGGAAAGTATTTACTGCTGGCTATTAAAGATCAAGTAGGATTATGTTAGTATTTCTCTTACAAGGAAGAGTCACTTTTTTGTTGTTTTTTTTTTTGAGACAGGGTCTTCTGTCACCCAGGCTGGAGTGCAGTGGTGTGATCATGGCTCACTGCAGTCTGAACCTCCTGGGCTCAAGTGATCCTCCTGCCTCAGCCTCCTGAGTAGCTGGGACTACAGGTGTGTGCCACCACACTTGGCTAATTTTTAAATTTTTTGTAGAGATGGAGTCTTGCTATGTTACCCAGCTGGGTCTCCCAACTCCTGGCCTCAAGTGATCCTCCTGCCTCGGGCTCCCAAAGTGTTGAGATTACAGGCATGAGCCAACATGTCTGGCCAAGATTCACTTTTATTTATTTATTTTTAAGATTTTTAATTTTTTTCACATGGCCACTGTGCCAAAAGGAGTCACTTTTAAACTTAGTAGCCGTTGGCTGTATCAGATGGCTTTCCCAGTTCCTCTGGATTCTTCTGCAATATCATCCCCACTGTTTGTTCAAGAGAGAATTAAGAGAGAATTACTCAGTGTCTGAGTATTTCCCAAGCATTTGCTTTGTGTCTAGTTCTAAGTGTGAAGTGTGAAGGGGATGCTGAACAAGTAAGTCATTTATCCTTGTTTCCAAAGCAGTTAATATTATTTAACATCTGTCTGTCATTTATTGAACACATACAGTATACCAGATTATGAGCTAGTTCTCTGAAATACAAAGAAGAATACGACTCAAATGATCCTTTAACCATTTCAGATCCACTAGGATGGCTAAATGGGAAAAACTGTTTGCAAATCATATATTAATAAGGTATTTGTCTATAGAAGATATAAAGAGCTTTTACAACTCATCAATAATAAAAAAAATAACCTAGTAAAAAATGGGCAAAAGGCCAGGCCCAGTAGCTTACACCTGTAATCCCAGCACTTTGGGAGGCTGAGGAGGGTGGATCACTTGAACCCGGGAGTTCAAGACCAGCTTGGGCAACATAGAGAAACCCCATCTTCCCTGAAAATAAAAAATAGCCAGACATGGTGGCTCGTTTCTGTAGTCCCTGCTACTCGGGAGGCTGAGGTGGGAGTATCACTTGAGCCCAGGAGGTTGAGGCTGCAGTGAGTTATGTTTGTGCCACTGCACTCCAGCCTGGGTAACAGAGTAAGACTCTGCCTTAAAAAAGAAAAGAAAAGAAAAGAAAAGAAAAATCCGCACAGAAACTTATACACAAATATTGATAGGAACATTACTCATAATAGCCCCAAGTAGAAATAACCTAAATGTCTATCCTCTGATGAAAGGATAAATAAAATGTGTCTGCCTATGCAATGGAATATTATTTAGTAAGAAAAGGAGTGAACTCCTGATAAGTGCTATAACATGGGTGATGGGTGATCCTTGAAAACATTTTGATGAGTGAAAGAAGACAGTCACAAAAGATCACATACTCAATGAATGAATTTATTTATTTATTTTTGAGATAAGGTCTTGCCGTGTTGCCCAGGCTGGTCTGTAACTCCTGACTCACAGGATTTTCCCCTGTCACCCTCCACAGAGTAGCTGGGTTTACAGGCATATGCTGTCACATTCAGCTGCTGAATGAATTCATTTGTATGAAAGGTCCAGAAAAGGCAAATATATAGCAGTATAAAAGAAATTAATGGTTACCAGGGCTTGGGGATGGGAATGAGGAGTTAGTAAATGAGCATGAGGTTTTTTTTTTTTTTTTAGAGTGACGGAAATGATTTAAAATAAGATGGTTGCATCTTATTTTATTTATTATTATTATGTTTTTGGAGACAGAATCTCCCTCTGTTACCCAGGCTGGAGTGCAGTGGTGCAGTCTCAGCTCACTGCAGCCTCTGCCTCCCGGGTTCAAGTGGTTCTCCTGCTTCAGCCTCCTAAGTAGCTGGGATTACAGGTGCTCTGGCTCTTTTTTTTTTTTTTTTTTTTGAGACAGTATCGCTCTGTCACCCAGGCTGGAGTGCAGTTGCATGATCTCGGCTTGCTGCAACCTCCGCTTCCTGGGTTCCAGCAATTCTCCTGCCTCAGCCTCCCTAGTAGCTGGGATTACAGGCATGCGCCACCACACCTGGCTAACTTGTATTTTAAGTAGAGACGGGGTTTCACCATGTTGCCCATGTGGTCTCAACCTCCTGACCTCAGATGACCCGCCTGCCTGGCCTCCCAAAGTGTTAAGATTACAGGCTTGAGCCACTGTGCCTGGCTGGTTGCATCTTATTTTAAATATACTAACAATAATTGAATTTCTTACTTAAAATGGATGATATGGCTAGGCATGGTGGCTCACACCTGTAATCCGAGCACTTTGGGAGGCCAGCGCCGGAGGATCACTTGAGCCCAGAAGTTTGTAGAGACCTCATCTTTACAGAAAATAACAAAAATTACCCAGGCATGGTGGCATGTGCCTATAGTCCTAGCTACTCAGGAGGCTGAGGCAGGAGGATCCCTTGAGCCCAGAAGGTTGAGACTGCAGTGAGCTATGATCAAGCCACTGCGCTACAACCTGAGTGACAAAGACCTGTCTCAAAAAAAAAAAAGGAATTGGGCAGTGAAGGAGTGAAGGTGAGTAGAGAATTCTAGAGAGAAAAGACGGCAGCAGCCAAAGAAAGCACTGAGGGATGAAAGAGATAGATAGTTCAATGTGGCTGGAATGTAAGCCATTTGGTGGAGAGTGGTGAAATAAGGTCGCTGGTTGGGCCATATTATGAAGTCCTTTGTGTGTCCTACTAAGGAGTTTGAACTTTAACCCCAAGGCAATAGAAAGTCATCAAAGTTTGTCAAAGTAGTAGGATGATGCAATCAGGTGTGTGTCTAATAAAGATCACTGTGGCTGCTGCTGTGTCATGAATCTGTGCTGGCAAAGTTAGAGTCGGGGAGATCATTTTGGAGGCCACTCCAATTGTTAGAGAAAGAGCAAGGGATAAAGTCTGAACTAAGGCACTATGGCAATGAAAAACTCAAGGGAGATTTTATAGATGTTTAGATATGATCAGCACATGAACTGTATGGGCTGTAAAGGCCTTAGGAGTTCATAGAGGATAGTTCTGTTCTGAAAGATTCTGGAGGAGGTGACACCTAGATTGGATCTTTAAAGATGGGTAAAAAGTTTGAGTATATGGAAAGCTGCAGTGCATATAGGAAAGAGTGAGAGAGGAGGGCCAGAGAGGGAGGAAGCCAGACTGAAAAATAGGAATTTGATGGGATAGCAATTGAAGAACCAAAGAAGCAAACTTAGTTGCTCCCAAATTTGAAAAGTTTAATTTAAAAAGGTTTTTGGCCAGGTGCGGTGGCTCACGCCTGTAATCCCAGCACTTTGAGAGGCCGAGGCAGTTGGATAACTTGAGGTCAGAAGTTCGAGACCAGCCTTGTCAACGTGGTGAAACCCCATCTTTACTAAACGTACAAAAATTAGCCGGGCGTGGTGGCTGCACTTGTAGCCCCACCTACTTGGGAGGCTGAGGCATGAGAATCGCTTGAACCTGGAAGGTAGAGGTTGCAGTGACCTGAGATTGCGCCACTGCACTCCAGCCTGGGCAACAGAGTGAAACTGTCTCCAAAAAAAAAAAAAAAAAAAAAAAAAAGCTTATCAACTCAGCTGGCCAGGAGGTTGTGCTTTCTGATGAGGGGTGGGGGTAAAGGGCAGGCAGCAGCTGTAGCAGCTGTTAGAGCCAACATCTACTTTCACTTCACTGCCCAAAGTGTGCCACCCTTGTCAGGCTAACCATATCCAGTGTCTGCATGATCTCCAGCTGATTTATGACTTTGGTGGCCTGAAAGGTGAGGTTTCCACTTCAACTTATTAGCCTTGAATTCTTGGCAAAGCTGAGGAGTTGGGGAAGAATGTGAATGAGAGGAGAATGGGGAGCTACAAATGTGGTAGCCTGTGAACCTTTGGACTTCACTTGTTATCTTAATCACGCAGAATACCACAGTATCTGAACCCCACCAGATAGAGACAGTTAGCCTGGTTGTGCTGAACCTACCAGGTTTCATGAGCTAGCTAATCTGTCTTTTTCTCTGGGGCTTACACAGCATTTTGTGTATATGTCAAAGGTTATCCTTATCATATTATTTTATATTTAATAGTCTGTCTCTCCCTACTTCTTGGACTGTGAATACATCAAGGGCAAAGGTTGGGCTTATTCCTCTTTAATGTTTTGTGAAAGAATGAAGTCTTGGCTGGGCATGGTGGTTCACGCCTGTAATCCTAGCACTTTGGCAGGCTGGGGTGAGCGGGTCACTTGAGCCCAGAAGTTCAAGAGCAGCCAGGACAACATGTGGAGACCCCTTATCTACAAAAAATTTAAGAATTAGCTGGGTGTGGTGGCACGTGCCTATAGTCCCAGCTACTCAGGAAACTGAGGTGGGAGGATTGCTTAGGCCTGGAAAGTCGACACTGCAGTGATCTGTGATTGCACTACGGCACTCCAGCTTGGGCGACAGAGTGAGACCCTGTCTCAAAAAAACAAAAACAGGCCAGGCATGGTGGCTAATGCCCGTAATCCCAACACTTTGGGAGGCCCAGGCAGGCAGATCACTTGAGGTCAGGAGTTCAAGACCAACCTGGCCAACATGGTGAAAACCCCATCTGTACTAAAACTACAAAAATTAGCTGGGTGTGGTGGTGCGTGTCTATAATCCCAGCTACTTGGGAGGCTAAGGCAGAAGAATCGCTTGAACCCAGGAGACCAAGGTTGTGCCACTGCACTCCAACCTAGGTGACAGAGTAAGACTCCATCTCAAAACACATGCACACGGCCGGGCACGGTGGCTCACACCTGTAATCCCAGCACTTTGGGAGGCTGAGGTGGGTGGATCACGAGGTCAGGAGTCCAAGACCACCCTGGCTAAGATGGTGAAACCCTGTCTCTACTGAAAAAAAAAATACAAAACATTAGCTGGGCGTGGTGGCACGTACCTGTAATCCCAACTACTCTGGAGGCTGAGGCAGAGAATTGCTTAAACCTGGGAGGCAGACGTTGCAGTGAGCCAAGATTGCGCCAGTGCACTCCAGTCTGGGCGACAGAGCAAGACTCCATCTCAAAAACAAAACAGAACACACACACACACACACAAAACTCGCACAAAAAACCCAAAAACAAACAAAAAATATAAAAAAAAGAATTCTCTAGCTGTATAGTTGATCAGTTGTTAGTATGAAAGGATCAGCTGAATTGTCTGAAATGCTAGGTTGCTCAGCCAAAGAGGTGAAGGATTGGGTTTCAGAGTTTAGGGCCCTTTACAGTTAGCAGATACTTGAAGCCAGGGTGGGAGGCCATCCTCTGAGTGATAGATATTTTTGATGTATGCATATGGTAGTCCCTTGGTAGATTTTTATTGATATAGCCAGGCACGGTGGCTCACGCCTGTAATCCCAGCACTTTGGAAGGCCGAGGTTAGTGGATCACTTATGTCAGGAGTTTGAGACTGGCCTGGCCAACATGATGAAACCCTGTCTCTACTAAAAATACAAAAATTAGCCAGGCGTGATGGCTTGCACCTGTAATCCCAGCTACTGGGGAGGCTGAGGCAGGAGAATCGCTTGAACCCAGGAGGTGGAGGTTGCAGTGAACCGAGATCATGCCATCGCACTCCAGTCTGGGCGACACGACAGAGCAAGACTCTGTCTTAAAAAAAAAAAATTGTTGATATGATTTGGTAGCATCCAGTTATACCTCACCACACTAAAGGCATCTTACTTTTTTTTTGTTTGAGGCGGAGTCTTGCTCTGTCTCCCAGGCTGGAGTGCAGTGGCGCGGTCTTGGCTCACTGCAAGCTCCGCCCCCTGGGTTCACACCATTCCCCTGCCTCAGCCTCCCCAGTAGCTGGGACTACAGGCAGCATCTTAACTTTTAATTCTGTGGTAACTAGGGAAACTATAGCAGTTTTGAAGGCCAGAGTATTATAGCTCACTCCAGAACTTTGGAGTTAGACAGATTTTATTTGAATTATTATAGCATTTTAGCTGAAGAATGCAATAATGAGGCTGGGTATGGTGGCCCACACCTGTAATCCCAGCACTTTGGGAGGCTGAGGTGGACGGATCACCTGAGGTCGGCAGTTTGAGACCAGCCTGACCAACATGGAGAAACCCTGTCTCTACTAAAAATACAAAATTAGTTGGGCGTGGTGGTGCATGCCTGTAATCTCAACTACTCGGGACGCTGAGGTGGGAGAATCGCTTGAACCTGGGAGGCAGAGGTTGCGGTAAGCCGAGATTGTGCCATTGCACAAGAGCAAAACTCCGTCTCAAAAAAAAAAAAATGCAATAATGAAAGTCGTCTAAGCCAACTCTCTCATTTTATAAATGAGGAAACTGAGGCATAGAGAGAGGTACCCTATTCATTGACATATAGCAAGTAAAGACCTGTGCCAGATTAGGATGTACATTATTTTTTTCTTCACTGAGAAGGGTATTTTGTTGCCTTGAACCAATTTTTTGGGGTGAAAAGTGGGAGCGAGATATAATCCTAGCCCCTGCAGAGGGTAGTCCTCTGTAGTCCTAGCTACTTGGGAGGCTGAGGTAGTCTCAGCTACTTGGGAGGTAGTCCCAGCTACTTGGGTGGCTGGGGTGGGAGGATTGCTTGAGCCCAGGGATTTGAGGCTCTAATGTACAATGATCATGCCTGTGAATAGCCACTGTACTCCAGCCTGGGCACTATAGCAAGACCCTGTCTCTTAAAAAAAAAAAAAAAAAACCATGGACAAAGGCTATGAATAGACTTTTCTCCAAAGAAGATACACAAATGGCCAAAGAACACATGAAAAGAAGTCCAACGTCATTTAGCTGTCAGGGAAATGGAAAATCAAAACCACATTGAGATACCATTTCATAGTCACTGGATGCTTTAATCAGAGATTATAAGTACTGGGAAGGATATGGAGAAATTGGAACCCTCACACACTGCTGGTGGGACTGTAAAATGGTACAGCTGCCGTGGAAAACAGTTTGCTAGTTCCTCAAAAGGTTAAGCAGAGACTTACCATATGATCCAGCAATTCTGCTTCTAGGTATACACTCAAGAGAAATGAAAACATATATTCACACAAAAATTTAAAGATGGATGTTCATAGTAGCATTATTTATAATAGCCAAAAAGTAGAAACAATGCCTACATTCATCAGCTGATGAATGGATAAATAACGTGGTATTTATACGATGGAATATTCTTTGGCAATACAAACGAATGAACTACAGTACATGCTACAAAGTGGATGAACCTTGAAAGAATTATGCAAAGTGAAAAGAAGCCAGTCACAAAAGACCATATATTTATGATCCCATTTATATGAACTGTCTAGAATAGGCAAATCTATAGATAGAGACAGAATGTAAATTAGTGGTTGCCTTGGGCTGCAGGGAACATGGAGAGTGACTGCTAACTGGCACATGATTTTATTTTGAGGTGACAAAAATGTTCTCAACTTGGTGGTGATAGTGGCACAACTTTGTGAATATACTAAAAATCTCGAATAGTATACTTAATTTTTTAAAATTTTAAATTGACAATTTATATATTTGTGTAAGTTTGTGGGATACAGACTGATGTTATAATTTATAAATACATGGCCAGGCTCGGTGGCTCATGCCTGTAATCCTAGCACTTTGGGAGGCTGAGGCAGGCAGGTCACTTGAGGTCAGAAGTTCGAGACCAGCCTGGCCAACATGGTGAAACCCTATCTTTACTAAAAATACAAAAATTAGCCAGGCGTGGTGGCGCATGCCTGTAATCCTAGCTACTCAGGAGGCTGAGGCGAGGGAATCACTTGAGCCTGGAAGGCGGAGGTTGAGTGAGCTGACATCGTGCCACTGCACTCTAGCTGGGGCGATAGAGCAAGACTCTGTCTCAAAAAAAAAAATTTCATAAATACAATGTGGAATAATTAAATCAAGCTAGTAACTTATCGATCACCTCAAATACTTAACATTTTTTGTGGTGACTACATTTGAAAATTCACTCTCAGCAATTTTGAAATGTACAATATTCTGTTATGAACAGTATTAACCATGCTGTGCAATAGAACTCAAAGAAAAAACATATTCCTCTTGTCTGAGATTTTGTACAGAATAGTACATTTTATTTATTTTTTTAGAGACAGGGTCTTGCACTGTCACCCAGACTGGAGTGCATTGCTGTGATCAGGGCTCACTGCAGCCTCAAACTCCTGGGCTTAAGCAGTCCTCCTGCCTTAGCCTCCCAAGTAGCTGGGACTACAGGCACATGCCACCACGCCTGGCTAATTTATTTATTTTTTGTAGAGATGGGTTCTCGCTGTGTTACCCAGGCTGGTCTCAAATTCCTGGCCTCAAGAGATCCTCTGCCTCAGACTCCCAAAGTGCTGGGATTACAGGCATGAGCCACCGTGCCCAACCTCAGAATAGCACACTTTAAATGGGTGAATTTTATGGTATGTGAGTTAGATCTCTGTAAAGTTGTTAAATAAAGAGTCAAGTGTACAGATGCGTATGGCTGTAGATGCAATTTGTGATTGTGAGTGCTGGGATGTAGTAGCAGTGCTTCTCAAACTTTAATGTACATATGAATTATTTCAGTATCTTATTAAAATTCAGATTCTGACTCAGGAGGTCTGGGATGGAGTCTGCGATTTTCTGTTTCTTAACAAGCTCTCAGGGTACTCTTGGTGCTAGGCTGTAGACCACACTTAGCAAGGCAGTAGAGGATGTTTGTTCTTCAATAAATGGGGTCTGTCTAAAGAGCCTACTAGAGACCAGAAGGATTTGGCCAGAGTTTTGCAGTAAGGCAGAATGTGGTTTGGTGAAAGAAAGGGCCTTAAGGGACAAAATGAGCAGCCTGCCTACAGATGCAGAGATCATAGGGTTTATGATATTTTGGGGGGACAGGAGACCTGTTTGTGGGGATACGTTAGTGAGTCCCTGAGTCTTTTGAACCTAAAAAAAATGTAGCAGTCAACTTCTCATAATTTTTCATCTTTGCAAAATGTTCTCTTTCCCTCTGCCTAGCATTTATTTTTGGTTTAATGTCTTTCAAATCTGGGCATGACTGGGGGCCTTGTGAGATCCTAGTTGGGGAGCAATTGGCTAGCATTAAGTCACTGTAGGTCTTAGGAGTTGGATAAGGGCTCATGAATCAGTAAGTATCCTTATCTTGAGAGCCTTACCTAATTAGCTACCTGAGCTTTGGACAAGGTGCCTTCAGACTGAGTTAATGCTTGGCCCCAAATGAATAAACTCCTTAATGAGGGAGCAAATGAAGATGCCTTTCCAGATGGTACAGGTTAATTATAGCCATAGTTTACTCCTTCCCTTATTTTTTTTTACTTGAGCAGGAAGACTGGTTTGGATGTAACTTAAATAACCTTTTTGGTCAGGAGGCAAATATTAAAGCCAGATCATGTCTTACTCTTAACATTTGTAGTACTCCATGAAGTGCTAATGATCCTCTAAGCCTCAAGTCTAGTCTCAGCCTTAGTTCTTGCCCTTCCGAGCTGCCTTCCCTGAGGCTCTGACAGCATTACTGTCCTCTGCTTCACCAACATTCAATTATCTCTGGCCTCTTCTAGTAGTTTTAAAATATGTCCACTTTGCCAGGAGGAAAGGCAGTGAAATCACTTGATCACCTTGAATATACTTTCTTCACAGCTCTATAATGAAGTCAGAAGTCTTATTTCTCTATTTTCTAGATGGAGAAACTAAGCCATAGACAGTAGCATGCTTGGTCCATTATGTCAAAGAGAGGCACCTTCATGCCTGGCCCAGTATTCCAGATTTTCCTAGTTTCCCCCTCATTGGATTTGGTTTCTTGAACAGGTAGTTGCTTTGTTTTGTTACATAGTTTTTAACATGATTTCCCTGGTGTCAAATGAATACTCCTTTCCCTGATGCTTATTAGTTATTTTTCAAGTGTTTGTTTACTCTGTACAATTTAAGCATCTCCAGGTGAGGTGCTGGTTTGTCAGCATACTTGCTTCCCTTAATAAAGAGAATTTTCTTCAATTCCACAAGTACTCATTGAGTGCTTAATATATGCTCAGCTCTGTGCTGTTCTCCTTGAAAGACATAAATCACTATAAAGTGTGTCTTGGCTCTGAGGGAACTAATATGTTCATGGGATGGAAACAAATAAACATAAACAGGGCCAGGACTAGGGTGAGGGAAACAAGGTGCTAGGGTATAAACTTTAGAGAGCCATTCACTCTTAAGGTCCTGCAAGTGCAGGGTAGGTACCTGAGAGTGAGTGCTTCCTTAAATTTTGAGCCCCAGGTCTCTTGCTTGCCCTATCCTGGTGCTAGAGACAAGCTGTTAGACCACTTAGAAAGGATGTCTAAGATAACATGAGACTGAATGACTAACATAGAACAGTGCTTCTCAAATTTAATGTACATATTGATCACCTGGAGGTCTTATTAAAAGGCAGATTGTGATTCAGTGGGTCTGGAGTGGTACCTGAGATGTTACATTTCTATCAAGCACCCAAATGATGCTGATACTGCCAGTCCATGGGCTACACTTTGAGTGAAAAAGAGAAATATCCATGCTGGAGAAAGGCAGAGGACCAAATTCCCTAGGCTAGGGAATCAGGAAAGTTGCAGTTGGAGCTGGGTTCTTAAAGGATAACTAGGATGTAGATAAGAAACAAACAACAACAACAACGAAAAATAGGGAAGGGCATTGTAAGTACAAGGAAGGGTATGCAAAGGCCCAGAGACAGAAATGAGTCCCACGTGTCTTGGGACAATTAATAGATAGGCTTGGTAAGATGCAGGTCCAAGTTGGAGAAGAAGAAGAAGAGTTTTGGCATGTAGCTTGAAACCTGTGCATGGATTGTTATTTAGAAATGTGATTCATAATTGCCTGCTCAGGTACCTCCCATGTGTCCCCTCAGAGTATCTGACCTCTATCCTTCTGGGAGATGAAGGCCTGAGTCAGGGCACCTGAATAAATTCTGTGAGGCAGTGTGGGTAGGAAAAGGAAGGAGGGATGTTGACTTCATTACCTAGATTGGTTAGGCAAAGTCCTGGTAAATTTATTTTTTGACTTAGCTGGGAGATGTAGCAGCTGGAAAGGCCACCTTCAATAGTGATGGGCATTTCCAGTACACATACATAAAGGATGCCTGGTAAATATGTGCTGATTTGACTCAGTAGTAGAATGAAGTTCTACCTGTGTTACTATTTCAAATGTTCAACTTATGGGACTTTCCTGACGTTATCAGAACGTGGGTAACAGGACCTTGAACATCTTAAGTACTAAAGGAATGGTTGTTGATTGATTTGAGTATTTCTAAGGCCTTGTCTCTCTTCTGTAGATCAGATCAAAGAACATTTTCAGCTCAATTCAGTATAAGAATGCATTGAGTGACTTATGTACTGAGACTTGGGTATGCTTCTGTATGACTGCAAGGAGGTAGAAGACTTGAGCCCTAAACTCAAAGAATATAGTATTATTCTAGAGCAGTGGTTTTCAACTAGGGGGACGCTATGGCAATATACAGGACACCTTCCTCAACAGGGAATGAACCACCCTAAAATATCAGTAGTGCCAAGGTTGAAAACAAGCTCTGAAAAGATAAGACTACCAAATAGAACGAGAACTTTGAAGTCGGATGGCTAGTGATATCGCTAGTTAATAGCAGCAGGGCAAGAACTAAATTCAGTTTGCCCAGGTCCAGTGTAGCCTAGCGGCTACCATAGGGCCATTTAGAGTCACATGGTGTTATATCTAACTCTGTCTCCCACTAATCCTGATTCATACTTTTTGCTCTAGCCATACTCAATTGCTTGTGTACTATGCAATTTTATTCCTTCCTGTCCATTTTAGTCCCTTTGCCTGGAATGTATTTCTCTTATTTCTTCTTCTGGATAATTCACATCTCCTCCATAAAGCCTTCCCTAGTCTAAAACACCCCAGATTGGGTTAAAAGGTTAAAAGGCAAGGCACCTCTTTGTTCTATAGCTAGTCTTTATTATATAATAGATAAATTTTCTGTTTACGTCTGTCTTTCTCACTAGTCTGTGAGCGTCTTTGGAGTTAAGGATTCTTGTCCTCCTCTGCCCTTATTGCCTAGCACAGACGTGCAACACATTCAGTCATAGACATGAGTCAAACTAAGCTGTTAAAGAAGGGAGAGATCAGTGTGAAATAGAATGGTTGGTAAGGCTTCATAGAGATACTAAGACTTGAAGCTTCTCTAATTCCTTGAAGATACTGATAAATGTGTGAGCACCTTATATTGGCAGGGACAGTTTTAAGACAGTAACGGATTTTTCTGGTGGTGTCTTTCTACAGGTTGATATGTCAGATCTCTCTCCAGAAGAGCAATGGAGGTAAGTGTGGTAGTTCGGGCCCTGCAGTCTAGGAACTGCAGGTTAACCCAGCTTAATTGAGTGATATGTCTACCCATTTTGCTTTCTTGTCAGTAGGAGGCAGTGGCTCATGACCGGTAGGACTGGTCTTTTGGGATCTCTCTAAGTATCTGGGTTGCTCTCTTAGTCTTGAATGTGTAAGCAGATGATTGCACCAAATCATCTATCTGGGTTTCAATACCATTTCTACCATTTACTAGCTGTGTGATTTTTGAGCAAGTTACTTAACTTCTCACAACCTTACTTTGCCCCATTTGTAAAATGAGGATCATAACAATATCTATACCTCATAGAGTTGTGAGGATTAATATATGTGAAAATCTTAGAAGAGTGCCTGGCATGTGGTAAGCTTACAGTAAGTGTTAACTGCTTTGAAGATGATTATCATTAACATCATCATTATTATCCATGATACAGGATGGGGAGCTCTGGTTAAGAAAATGGGAGATGTATCTTCTGTTCTCAACTCTGCAACTAACTTGTTTTGTAAATAGAATGAGCCATCATATATCTTATGATGATTGCTCATCAGTAAAAGGGTTTCAGAGTGCCTGCCCCACGAACTTCACAAGGTGACTGACCAATGAGGTGATATCAACCTTAGAATTTAATAGTGAGAAAAAACCTATTGATTTTATTTAGATTAAAACTATTGACTATAAAAACATAGAATGGCAAAAATACCTGTTCACATGACAAACCCAGTGTGATTTTAGGTGATTTTAAGCTTAGTATGAACCAGTTGTGTACCTCAGCTACCAAAATATTCTGAATAATTTAAAAGATGTTCGTAGAAATATGCTGTCTGCTGTAAGAGAGGTGATAGTGCCACTGTGGTCTGCTCTGCTGAGGTCACAAATATTTTGTTCTAAGCATGGCATATTAAAAAGATCTTTAACTGGATCATGTGTAGAAGAAGGCAACCTGGATTAATAGTCTTCATATCATGTTATATGAACAGTGGTTAAAAGATCTAGAACTGTTAGCCTCAAAGGGCACAGGAAAATAGTGGTAGGAACAGGATGGTTTTGTTTTGTTTGAATAACATCATGATAAATCTTTGAAGGGGTGGCATTGGGAAAGAAGAGTCAATATGTCCTTTGTTGTTATGGAGTATCGGATTAGGTCTAATGGACTGAAGCTATAAGAAGATAGATTTTTTTTTTGTCTCATTGTCAGAACTGTCTTTAATAGTCAAGGTATATTGAGAGGTAATGAGCTTTCTGTCCCTAAAACATTGGGATTTTATTCATTTATAAGCAAATATTAGTACCTGCCCAGGTGTGGTAGCTCCCACCTGTAATCCCAGCACTTTGGGAGGCCAAGGTAGGAGGATCCCTTGAGCCCAGCAGTTCGAGGCTGCAGTTCATCTAGCCTGGATGACAGAGCGAGACTCTCTCCAAAAAAATAATATATGTATATGTACCTACAATGTGCCAGACACTGCTGGTTCTAAAATAGATTACCTTAAAAGGCATGTGTTCTCAGCCAGTGGAAGTATTCAAGCAAAGATTGCAAAAATGATTTTTGCATTGGGTGGGAACTTGAACTGGATGACTTCTCTGGTCTTTTCTAGATCATTCTTTGACTTCATTTTGTGCACATCCGTTCACTGATATGTTGTCTGAGAACAAGAAACTTATCTCTTGCTATCTTTATAACTCCTCATAGCCCTTAGGTGTTTTTAAGTGTGCTCTACCCTCTTAGCCTATTCTCACAACAACTCTTGAGTCAGGCAGAAAAAATATGGACTCCTTTTGACAGATGAAGAAATTGTGATATACAGATGTGAGGTTAATTGGCCATGGCCATATAGGTGGGTCTGAATCTAAGTTTCGAACTCCCAATCCTATTCTCTTTCTGTCAGATTCTCCCACCCAGGGTAAAGTTTTATGTCAGATGAACCCTTAGGTGCTGAGGCTTACTGACTGGCATTTGGCTTCCCACTCTGCCCACCAAGTTTTCCCCCCTTACATTTTGTTATGAAAAACTTTAAACACATAGAAAAGTTGAAAGAATTGTACAGTGAACACCTTTATACTTACCACCTGGGTTCTACACTTTTTGTTATATTTGCTTTATTGTTTATAATTCATCCTTCTGGGTTATTTTTGCTGTTAATGTTTAATTGCCCATGGAAATTCCATGAAGACACTATTTATGTTGTCCTTTTCCTCCCTCCTAAATACCCTGGTGTAATGGGAATTGTATAAAAGCTTATGACTCAAGTTACATTTGTATTTGATTTTATTATTTATTTAAATTTGCCCTTTCCCACACATTCTGATGTATTTGATTTTCTCTCTAATTCCTTCTCTTCTCTCTCTCTTCTTCTTTTTTTTTTTTTTTTGAGATGGAATCTCATTCTGTCGCCCAGGACGGAGTGCAGTGTTGCGATCTTGGCTGACTGCAACCTCCACCTCCCAGGTTCAAGTGATTCTCCTGCCTCAGCCTCCTGAGTAGCTGGGATCACAGGCATGCACCACCACACCCGGCTAATTTTTGTATTTTTAGTAGAGACGGGGTTTCGCCATGTTGGCCAGGCTCATCGTTAACTCCTGACCTCACGTGATCCTCCGGCCTCAGCCTCTCAAAGTGCTGGGATTACAGGTGTGAGCCACCGCGCCCGGCCTCTAATTCCTTTCTCATTCCTCTCCTTTGGATGACTGTGACCCAGAGTGGTAGGAGTGACTGTTCTTAGAACAAGTTTTTAGCCAGTATTAGCCAAGGGAATCACTTGCTGCCAGTCTTTAAGACCAGCGAATGCCAGCCTTAGATTAATAAAAAGTTTCCAGCTGTACTCTCTAGTTACTAAACTTCCTTGAGCCTTTGAGGAGGCTGTTTACCTGTGGATACTGAGGGTAAAGTCACTGTTGGATTAGTATAAAGTTGAAGCAGTCCAGACTTTTTAGGCTTTAACTAGTCTTAAGGATTTCTGACTCTGGCAGAGAGGGTGGAATGAATAAAGCAAGACTTTAATCCTGGAATCAGCACACATTTGCAGCGTTACTCCTTTACTGCTGTCATAAATATTGGTGACTAAGCGTATGAGACTTTATGTCTATAACCTCTTTGGGTTACTTTCTCGTTCCAGCATCAGGTTGAAATAGACTTGAAATGGGCAATGATGCAGGTTTCTCCTGGGACCTCCTTCATGCTACAGGAAAGGTGTCAGCTGTTTCTTCCATGGGGGCAGGCAGCAGGCCACTTAGCTCTAATTCCAATATCTAGGCTTGGTTGCTGGGGGGTCCGTAGAGCCTGTATTCTATCTCGACATGCCTGTCTGTTAGGGTGTGTGTCCTAGCCCCTAATTTGTGTGGTACCCTGCAGCTATGAAGCAGGGAATGTGTTCTGAGCTATGTACTGGTGGGATATCCCTGGAAAGCACTGTCCCTTTATCACTACAGCATCCCTGACTTGATTCACCCCATGTGTTTGGCTTTCAGGGTCGAGCACGCACGCATGCATGCCAAGCACCGTGGCCATGAAGCTATGCATGCTGAAATGGTCCTCATCCTCATCGCAACCTTGGTGGTGGCCCAGCTGCTCCTGGTGCAGTGGAAGCAGAGGCACCCACGCTCCTACAATGTAAGCCACTTTGCCTCTTACTTCTTTGTCTGTCAGTCATCAAGAGACCCTTCCTAAGTATTCTAGGTCCCAGCCTAACCCAGGCCACATGGAGGTGGAGAAAGACAATAACAATGAACTTTATGTATGAATGATGAATAGTGTATTGGCGAGTGTGTGTCTAAGGGTCAGGTGATTCAGAGGGTGAAAAGGATAGAACATAAGACTATGTTCATAGGCAGAAAAGATAGGTTTTCCCTTCGAAACATTGTGGGACAGGTTCATGAAGGAGATAATCATCAGGAACTATTCAATTGGAGAGAGCAAAGATGAATTGACTGGGAAAACTAAGCATCTCATGAATCTTACAGGATCTAGATTACACTAATCTAAATTTTTTTAAAGAAGGATCGGGTGTGGTGGCTCATGTTTGTAATCCTAGTACTTTGGGAGATTGAGGTGGGCAGATGGCTTCAGCTCAGGAGTTCAAGACTAGCCTGGGCAACATGGCAAAACCCTATATCTACAAAAAATAGAGAAATTAGCCAGGCGTGGTGGCATGCGCCTATAGTCTCAGCTACTGGGGAGGCTGAGAGGTGGGAAGATTCCTTGAGCCTGGGAGGTCAAGGCTGCAGTGAGTCGTGATCGTGCCATTGCACTCCAGCCTGGAGACAGAGCAAGACTCTGTCTCAAAAAAAAGAAAAAGAAAAAACAGTAATGGTTGAAATTAGGTGGGGAAAATGACACACAGAAAACAAATAGCAAAATGGCAGAAGTTAATTCTTCCTTACCAGTAATCACTTTAAATATAAATGGATTAAATTCTTCCATTAGAAGACAGAAATTGGCAGATTGGTTTTAAAAATCCCCTCATTTATCGATATGCTGTCTATAGTAAATTCACTTTAGGTGGAAAGACACAAGCCAGGAGTGGTGGCACACACTTGTAATCCCACCTATTGAGGAGGCTGAGGTGGGAGAATTGCTTGAGCCAGGGGATTCAGTAAACTCATAAATGAGTGAAAGCCCCCTTGGCATTTCTGTGCTTATATGTAGAAATATTTTTAATTATATAATTTTGGCTAATCTGCAAAGATTTTTTTTTTTTTTTTTTTGAGACAGAGTCTCGCTGTGTCGCCCAGGCGGGAGTGCAGTGGTGCAATCTCTGCTCACTGCAAGCTCCGCCTCCCGGGTTCACGCCATTCTCCTGCCTCGGCTTCCCGCATAGCTGGGACTACAGGTGCCCACCATCACGCCTGACTAATTTTTTTGTATTTTTAGTAGAGACGGGGTTTCACTGTGTTAGCCAGGATGGTCTCGATCTCCTGACCTTGTGATCCGCCTCGGCCTCCCAAAGTGCTGGGATTACAGGCGTGAGCCACCGCGCCCGGCAGATTTTTACAACCTATTCTGAAGAAAGTGAGTATGCATATATGCACTGCAGTAATTTTCAATAAGAACTTTTTCCTTAAGTGTGGAATCCTTTCTTTAAACATTATCTTAAGGAAAAACTCAATCTGGGAAACAGTTAAGAGGCTGCTCTGCTTGATATGAAGGTTGGGTAACCCTAACACCTCTGCTTCCCCCTCTGAAATCTCTAGGACTCATCATAGCACTGTTAGAAAACCACTGATGTGTTATTCATTAGTTAATTCTTAACAGGAGATGTGTCTGTGACTTAATGAGGCCAGTTGTACTAGGAATGTGCAGTTTACTTGTTACTACCACATCCTGTAAACATAATGCTGAATTTTATTGGTGAGAGGATATGCTAACATGATAGCACATCTTACACTGAGAAACTTAAACTCATATCTTTAGAAAATAAGAAAAGAAATCTACCTAGGAGTGGAATTGCTGAGTCATGTGGTAACTCTGTGTTTAATGTTTTGAGGAACTGAGAAATTGTTTTCCACAGAAGCTGCACAATTTTCCATTCTGTCCTAACGTGGGTTGGGTTTTCATTCCTCCACATTCTTATCAAGACTTCTTACTTCTTTCACTCCGTTTTTTTTTAAATTTTATTTATTATAGCTACTTTAGTGGATGTAGATGTCATTGTGGTGTTGATTTGTATTTCCCTAATGACTAATGATGTTGGGCATCTTTTCCTGTGCTTATGGGTCATTTGTATATTTTCCTTAGAGAAATGTTTGTTTAAGTCTTTGCCCAATTTTTGGTTGAATTTTTTGTCTTTTTGTTGAGTTGTTAGAGTACTTTATATAATCTGGATAATAGACCATTATCAGATATATGATTTTAAAATATTTCCTCACATTTTATCGGTTGTCTTGACACTTTATTGATAGTGTCCTTTGATGCATAAACAGTTTTTAATTTTGATGAAGTTCAGTATATCTATTTTTTAATTTTATTGGTTGTGCTTTTAGTGTCATATCTAAGAATCCATTGCCAAGTCCAAGGTCATAGAGATTACTCTTATGTTTTCTTTGAAGAGTTTCATAGTCTTGGCCCGGTGGGGTGGCTCAAGCCTGTAATTCCAGCACTTTGGGAGGCTGAGGTGGGCGGATCACAAGGTCAGGAGTTTGAGACCAGCCTGGCCAACATGGTGAAACCCCGTCTCTAATAAAAATACAAAAATAGCTGGGCGTGGTGGCACGTGCCTGTAATCCCAGCTACTCGGAAGGCTGAGGCAGGAGAATCGCTTGAATCAGGGAGTTGGAGGTTGCAATGAGCCAAGATCGCACCACTGCACCCCAGCCTGATAACAGAGCAAGACTCCTTCCCAAAAAAAAAAGAGTTTTATAGTCTTAGCTCTTACATTTGGAGTTTTGGTCCATTTTGAGTTTTTGTAAATGGTGTGAGATAAGAATCTAAGTTCATTCTTTTGCATGTGGATAGCCAGTTGTCCCAGCATCATTTATTGAAGAGACTTCTTTCTCCATTGGATGGTCGTGGCATGTCACGACCTTGTCAGAAATCAATTGATCAAAGATATGTTGGCTTATTTTTGTACTCTCAGTTTTATTCCGTTGATCTATATGTCTGTTCTTTTGCAGGTACCACATTGTTATGATTACTGTAGCACTGTAGTAAGTTCTGAAATTGGAAAGTATGTTCCTCAACTTTGTTATTATTTTTCAAGATTGTTTCAGCTATTCTGAGTCCTTTGCAATTCCTTATTAATTTTAATATCAACGTTTCCATTTTACAAACAAAATCAGTTGGAATTTTGATAAAGATTGGTTTGATTCTCTAGATTGTTTGGGGAAATGTTTCCATCTTAACAATATTAATCTTCCAGTACCTGAACACAGGATATCTTTTCATTTATTTGGGTCTTTAATCTCTTTCATCAATGTTTTGTAGTTTTCAATGTACAAGTCTTGCACCTCCTTTGTTAAACTTATTCCTAAGTATGTTATTCTTTTTGATGCCATTGTTAATGGAATTTTTAAAAATTTCCTTTTTGAATTATTCATTGCTAATATATAGAATTTCAACTGATCGTTTTGTGTTAGTCTTCCAACTTTGCTGAATTTATTAGCTCTAATAGTTTTTAAAGTTTTTTTTAGGATTTTTTATATATAAGATTGGTCATCTGAGAGTAGAGTTTCACTTCTTCTTTTCCAATTGGATACCTTTTTTTTTCCTGAGACAAGGTCTTATTCTGATTGCCCATACTGGAATGCAGTGGTGCAGTATGGCGATTTCGGCTCACTGCAGCCTCTACTTCTGCAGGCTCAGGTGATCCTCCCACCTCAGACTTCCAAGTAGCTGGGACTACACGCGCACACCACAGCACCAGGCTAATTTTTTGTATTTTTGGTGGAGAGAGGGTTTTGCCAGGTTGCCTAGGCTGGTCTCGCCCTCCTGAACTCAAGCAATCCGCCTGCCTCAGCCTCCCAAAGTGTTGGGATTACAGGCGTGAGCCACCGTGCCTGGTATTATAAGC